>NC_000011.10:114142121-114445151 GCF_000001405.40 Homo sapiens
TGTTGTCTTTGTGGCAGATGCTCATTATGAGGTTGTCTTTGCCTATATTCAGGCTTGGCAGGTTCTTGTGGCAGCGGTGGTTAAGGATTAAGGCATTGTGTGGAGTATGGTGGGGGCTGCAGCCGACAACCTTCCTGTTGCCTAAAAACTTTTTCTCCTTCCCACCCCCTTCCCCAGTAGCTCTATGCCCTGCCAAGTCTGTGCACAAGCCTTGAAATGACAAAGTACCCTTTAGTTAATTGCACAACGGATTGCCTAGAGTTAAAAGTTCTGATTTATATGACTATAGCTCTAACTGCTCAATAACACAGGCCTGTAATCTACCTTCATTTCAAACAGAACGGTGATTTATAGGGCAGCATGCCGCTTTAGCTCAGAAATGAGGTGTTCAACATATGCGCTGTTGACATAAATTTGGAATTTATCGCTGTTGTCAAAACTGCCTGTTGGACAAAGGTGGGTATTAAGGCAATAAATGGCTCAGAATAGTTTTCTGTCACATTTCCTAACCATTGTATTCAGTCTATTTGAGGGAAAAATATATACTTAAAAGTAATCAAATGTCCAAAATCCATGCATCTTGTTTTGAATGGTGGGAAGGGAGGATGTAGGGAGGATGGAGGAGCATGGGGCCTTGGGGAGGGGGAGCTGGGGGGATTGTGGAGGAGAAAGCTTTTCATGAAGTTATGGCCCGTTTAAAAAAGATTCCACTCTGCCTCCTCCCCCATCCCCATCGGGAGGTGGGCTTTCCTTTCTCATTTACAAAAACGGGGAGGAAAAATGAAAGCTCATTAAATAAAAATAGTAAAGGACATTTTTATGTGTGGGCTTAAAACCAGCAATGTCAGGGAGGAGTTAGTGAGTGGGGCTGTGAGGGAGGCAGAACAGGATTTTGTTTATGGGGAAATAAAGCCCCTGGCCAGCGTTGGTTTCTCTGCTGCCTTGGTGAGCGTGGGCTTGCTCCCACCTACTCTCCCAGGTTCCGAGGCTCCTGTGCACACGGTGAATGTGTGCTGGCTGATGAGGGTGAGGAGCGGTGGGTACCCGGCTCTAAGCAATATGTTCTACTCCATCCAAATCCCGATTGATTTATTACCCACTGTACAGCCAAGATGCATCCACCCCTCATCCATCCACTAATGCTGTGCCCTTTGCAAGGCTTGAGAATACAAGATGAATGAGGCAAAGCCCTGTCTTCATGTAGCTGCCCATCCAGCTGGAGAGACAGAGAAACAAGCAGATGCACCCTAGTGAGTACATCTGCTCCAACAGAAACACACTTAAAAGACAGAGGCTGGGGGGGAAAGGGGGTCAGCTTTGAGAGGGGACAGAGGGGAGCTACTGGGGAAGGCTTCTAGGGATGGTACTGACCCTCTTGCCTAGTGAAATGTCCTTTTGGAAGTATCAGGTTCCTGCAGGGAGATTACACAAAAATGTAGAAAAAATACGCTAGTGACAGGTCCTCCCTCCATCCCAGATGTGTGATGTTGTGGTCAGGTGATCACTGATGTGTGTCAGTGTATTGTAAGAGTGGGGCCAACGTCCTTGTGCATTGAGGCTCCAGCCTCTCTTCTCCTCCATGCCATGGACCGTCGCTGCATCATCTAAGCACAGGGCACCCAGGCGGGTAGCACAGGTGGCTTAGCAAATGCAGTCAGAGTCAAGGTTAAGAATCGATCTCTTCATTCTGTTTCAAGATTACATAGCATGCAGTATGTTGTTGGGTATTGTGTTGCACCGTGAGACTGAAAGTGTGGATGTTTCCAGAGAGCCGCTGCTTGGCCTCTGTGCTCGTTGGGCCTCGAGTCACTGGTATTATGCATTTCCTGTGTGCTCGGGAGCCTTGCGTGTAAGGAGCAAGAGGAGCACGCAAGCTGCCTGGTGCTTTTCCCCATGAAAATGAGGCCCAGCAGGGAAGAGGATTCGTATTTGTTGCTTTTATTTTATTTTTCCTTTTATCTCCATGCCCACACGCTTGGACCGTCTCAGCATTGATAAATGTGTGCTCTCACAAACATGCACACAATCCCCTTTCTCTGGCCTGTGTGTTTGCCAGACACACACACACACACACACACACACACACACACACTCCCACGCACACTGGGCATGGACACCAATTGTAAACCTCGTCCGTGTGGCTCACCCTCCTTTTGCCACCAACCCCTGTCCTTTTCACACAAAGCTCCCTGTTGGGAAAACTCATAATTTTCACACCACACAGCCTTGACTGGCCATTGCTGGAATTACTGTCTCTTTGAAGTGCTTTCTACTGGGGCATTTACAGGCCGTTTTAATTACCTGCAGCTTGCAAAGGGCCTTGCTCTGTCCCAGCCTTTGTTTGTTTGTTCTTTGCAAGGAGTCTGTGTAGAAAGGAATACGGCTGACTTCTTTTACAAAAAAGAAAAGGGGGTAGAAAAAGAAGTTTGGGGAGCCCTTAACAGAGCTTCTTGCCGCAGCCTGCTGTGGGACACCATGCCCACTCTAACAAGGCCAGGAAGAGAGGCTCTCGCCCTTGGCTGTCTTCTCAGCAGGTTCCAGCACCGTGGGTCCCACTCCTGGAGCTTGCCTGGGATATTTTTGTTCATGCGTTTATGTTTTAATTATTATTAAGTATATTTTCAAGCTTTCTACCAGAGACAGCAAGGGCTGTCAAATCATGTTTCCCTCACTGTTGACCAAATCAAAGCTGGCTTCAGTTGAGCTGGGATCCCTCTTATATTTTCAACTAAATCTGTTCAAGGAAGGTGCATTATTAAATTATTGAGTTTAGACGTGGGCTGGAGGGTAGGGGTTGAAATCACATATGTGAAAGGAGTGCCCACTTTGAGCTGTCTGGTGTTTTTCTTTCCTTTTCTTCATTTTTCACTTGATTCTCTAAAAGGAACTACATATAAATAGCATTCTTTGGGGTTTCTGTTAAATATGAGTGTAGCATGTCATGTCTGCAGATGAAGATGCTAGTTTACCAAAGAAGCCTCAGAACTGTATCCCCTTTTTGGGGGGCTTTTACAGCAGAGGAAATCTTTATTCATTTATTCACTTAGTCCAAAAATGTATTGAGAAATTGGAAACCTCATACATTGCTGATGGGAATGTAAAATGGTATAGCTGCTTTGGAAAACAGTCTGGCAGTTCCTTAAAAGGTTAAACATAGAGTTACCATATGAGCTGGCAATTCCACTCCTAGGTATATACCCAAGAGAAGTGAAAACATATGTCCACACATAAAACTTGTACACAAATGTTCATAGCAGCATTATTCGTAATAGCCAAAAGGTCAAAACAACCAAATGTCCATCAGCTGATGAATGGATAAACAAAGTATGGTATATCCCTACAGAGGAACAAAGTACTGATACAAGCTATGATAGGAATGAAGCTTGAAAACATGCTGTGTGAGAGAAGCCAGACCCCAAAGGGTGCATATTGTATGATACCATTTATATGAAATGTTCAAAATAGGCAAATCTGTAGAGGAAGATAGTACATATGTGGTTGCCAAAGGCTGGGGGTTGAGGGGAGGAATGGAGAGTGACTGCTAATGAGTACGAGGTTTCTTTTCAGGGTGATGAAAATATTCTGGAATTTGATAGTGATGATGGTTGCACAGTTCTATGAATATGCTACAAACCAGTGAATGGTATACTTGACAAGGATAAATTTTGTGGTACGTGGAAAATACCTCAGTAAAGCTATTTAGAAAAGTGTACTGAATACTTACTCTATACAGCACACCCTGGCATACTCTGAGGTTATAGTGGATGGTTTCTGCCTTAATGTAACTTATAGTCTAGTAGAGATAAAGAATACTAATAAAAAGCTAATATATAACTGAAAATTGTGTTAAATGTTATAAAGGAAATCAACAAAATGCAATGATGGAAAATTGCGTTGATGGACAACCTACCTAGAAGGGCTGTGGGTCAGGAGCAGCCTGACTTTACTGGAGTCCAGCATACGGTAGGCGCTTAACAGATATAGGGTGAGTAGCAGTGGGGCATGAGTCGGCTTGCCTTCCCTGTAGAAGGTTATGAAGTCCCTGCGAGACCCACAGCCTGTCAGTAGACTCTGGGTACCATCATTCAATTTACTTTTTTTCTTAGAGGCCTCTCTGTTCTTGCTTCTATTCAATTAGATGGAGAAAATCCCAGGAATGCTCTCGGTGACTCCTTTTTAGCTGCTGGTTTTCCTGCCCCTTTCAGGGAAAGACTCTGGCTTAGGTAGGAATATGAAGGCAGACCCTGAGGTGAGAAGTCTGGCGAAGTCTGCCTGTTTATAGGGGCAAGTAAGTCATGTGGCCTCACTTTCTCCATCCACAAAATGGGCTCTATACTGTCCATGTCAGCCACAGGGTGGTTGAGATGATCCTCAGGAAGCCCTTTCAAAGTCAGACATGATCTATAAATGCATTACCTTCTTTATCATTAAAACCTCAGTTGGGGCTAGGCACGGTGGCTCATACTTGTAATTCCAGCACTTTGGGAGGCCGAGGCGGGTGGATCGCTTGAGGTCAGGAGTTGGAGACAGCCTGGCCAATGCGGTGAAACCCCCGCTCTACTAAAAATTAAAAAAAAATCAGCTGGGCATGGTGGCTCATGCCTGTAGTCTCAGCTACTCTGGAGGCTGAGGCACGAGAATCGCCTGAACCTGGGAGGCAGAGGTTGCAGTGAGTCGAGATCACGCCACTGCACTCCAGCCTGGGCGATAGAGTGAGATTCTGTCTCAAAAAAAAAAAAAAAAAACCAAAACCTGGGTTGACTAGATGTTCTTTTTTGCATTTTTCTAGAAGAAAGGAAGAAAGAACCAGTAAGGAAGCTAATATCTGTTTGGCTTTTGCTTTTTTTCTTCATTAAAATGACAATAATGTTTACAATGTGATTTGGTACCCGTACAGGTAATCCGTTCAGTCTCTTATCTTGTGTTCATAATTGATGTTTAGAGTGATAGCTCTCCAGCTCAGAATCCTCATAGAAAAGTAATTTAATTTTCAGTGTACCAAAGCAGAAAGAATGAGGCAATATACATTAAAAAGGTTTTCAGAATGGTTTAATTCCAGAGGAACTTTCTTCTTAGGCCTTTAATAAACCTCAGTTATTCTCAACAATCTCTGAGTTTCCATGGCTGGTCCATGGGATCTGAAGGTAGCATTGTGTCTCCCTGGCTAGAGTGGAAACATATAAAAATGATCCTGGATAACCAGGAGACAACATTTCCTTCGCATGTATCCAGGCAGAACAAGGAGATAAAGGAAAAGTCTGTAGCTTTTTGAAAACTGTTTTCCCAGAAATCGGTTATTTGTGCTGGTTAAAAGCCTTGTACGGGAGAGGGAGAACAAAAACCCTGTTCATCCATAACCATAGTTTAATTCCCTTATAGGGCCTTTTAGGATCTGGAGAGAATATTTTGGATTTATTTTTGTTTCCCTTGGGCTGACATCATCAAGCATGCATCATGGTGCCCTGTTTTGGGTTTGGAAAAAGCTCAGAGAAGCTATAAATCTTAAAGCATTTTACTATTTTTTCCTTTTCCTTTTCTAAAAGCACAACTTTTCTGGTCTCTTAAAAGAAAAAGAAAAAGAAAAAACTACAAAAGTATGTATTGATCTCTTCCCCTCGGATCTTAACTGCCCTGGCTGTAATACCTTGCTTACATCTGCCAGGTTTTTGTGCAGTTTTGCAACATCTCCTTAATCCAGTGAGCATAAATAGAACATTTCAATCATATTTGGCTACCAGGAACTTCACAGATAAGCACGCTAAGACCTTGTTGAAAGAGACTGTATGAGATTGTGTGCGATAAGATCATCCTATAGCCCAGTGCACAAATGAAAAACTTTTGTTCTTGGTGAAATTTGTTGATAGAGATATTTCAAATAAATGACTTAGGAGAACTTAGTATTTTAAAACAAAGGACCGGTTACGTAGCAGCCAGAAGCCCAGGCCTCTTGGTTCTCCACAGCCACGAAGATCCCTCCTTGAGCAGTTGCTGCAGGGAGATTAGTGTGCCCCTTTGTCATTTCTGACATTGTGTTTTAGCACTCGCAGGCAGCCTTATCTGCAAGTGCTGTATTCGGTGTGGTCATGGCCCCAGGGAATGCCATTGTCCTTCCTCATATTTTCAAGGCTCAGGACAGTTCCCTCCACTCTTCAGTCAGCTCCAGATTGGCCTTCATCCAGGCCAAGGCAGGATGCATAGGATGCATGGCTGGCTGGCTTCCTTCCTTCCTTCCTTCCTTCCTTCCTTCCTTCCTTCCTTCCTTCCTTCCTCCTTCCCTCCCTCCCTCCCTCCCTCCCTCCCTCCCTCTCTCTCTCTTTCTCTCTCTCTGTCTGTCTGTCTCTCTCTCTCTCTTTCTTTCTTTCTTTCTTTCTTTCTTCTTTCTTCCTTTCTTAGATGGAGTCTCGTTCTGTCACCTAGGCTGGAGTGCAGTGGTACGATCTCGACTTACTGCAACCTCTGCCTCCTGGGTTCAAGCGATTCTCCTGCCTCAGCCTCCTGAGTAGCTGGGACTACAGGCACCTGCCACCATGCCTGGCTAATTTTTTGTATTTTTAGTAGAGACGGGGTTTCACCATGTTAGCCAGGATGGTCTCGATCTCCTGACCTCGTTATCTGCCGGTCACAGCCTCCCAAAGTGTTAGGATTATAGGCGTGAGCCACCGCGCCCGCCTGCCTGGCTTTCTTTCTAAGAACCCCATAGAGAGCTTCTCTTTTGGACAGTAGGGGCAACTGTTTTTTACTGGTGTGTGTGTGTGTGTGTGTGTGTGTGTGTGTGTGTGTATCCGCATGTGTGTGTAGACAAGGTGAGTTTTTTTCCACCTCTACATTTTTCTCTTCCGATTCTCTTTCTTGTTTGTTTGCTCATTCAGTCAACAAAAATGAGCCCCTGCCATGTTCTGAGGTCAGTGATGAAGACTGAGAGGATGAATCTGGTATGGACCCTTATGCAGGAGATATAATCCAGCCAGCACAGACCCATGTCAGCCCCACAGCCTTTCAGTTTTGTAAACCTGGTTGGAAAGAACCTAAGAAATCATCTAGCTCAACCTTTGCATTGTTGCAGAGGTGTCAAGTGAAATCTAGAGAAACTAAGTAGTTTGGCCAAGGTTATTTAATGGATATCTGCAGAGCCAGGTCCCCTGCACTCAGCCCGATGTATATATATGTACACATATATACATGGTCAATATACCACTGTTTTAAAGGTGATTCTTAAGAAAACACAGCTGGTTTGGTATTTTCTCTCTCTCCCTTTAAACGGTTCCAAAACAACCAAATGGCCACTGTCTTCCCTAACTCTCCTGGTCTGGATCCCCAGCAGAGAGGCACCTGCTGTGTGCTCCCAAAACCTGCAGCATGGAAGGTGTTAACTAGCACTCAGTTAGTTCTTGGTTGTTTTTCTTAATCTGTTGTTTGAAATCCTTGGCTTTTATTGGTATATTTACTTTATGGCATACATAAAGAGCTGTATTAAAAAATAAATTGTGTTGTAAAAGCATTCGGTAATGTTTATTAATATTGACTAGTCAGGGAGCAACGAACTCTATTGCTAGAAGGATAATTTGTGGTAATACCCGCTAAGCATTCACAGCTTGTCAAATGACTGTCTAATCTCAACATTAAAAAAAAGTGGGCAAAAGGGTAATTTCCCTTATGCCTTGAGAAAATGAAAGTGACCCATTCCCCAGCCAACATTAGAATGATTGCTTCTTTTTCTCCCCTGGGATACCAGGCCTCCTTTGTGGTTCCAGGCAGTCCCATGGCTAGATTTTAGTGGTTAGGTATCCCTTTGTCTTAGGGTGGTTGGAAATTGCCTTGTTAGCAATAGCTTCTCATATGTCTGTTCTGGCTGCCTGGATCTGTGCTGAGGCCATAAAAGACAGAGATAAAGACATAGTTCTTGCCCCCACAGAGTGTATAGTCTTAAGGAACTTATAAATGGCTTAGTCTTGAATCTTGAACTTAATATTCCTACAAAATACATAAGGAGAATGACACTGGGTGTGACTAATGGCCTACTTAGCCTGGAATGTGGTACTTTTGGTGGCATGAAGAGACATTCCTTGGGAAGACATGATGTCACCCTTAGAAGGAAGGGAACATTCCCCAGAGTATCCCTGATGCCCTATGAATAACATGGTCTGGCTTAGGGTAGAGGCCGCTAGTAGAACAGGCTCTGTTTAGAGTATTCCTTTTACACAAAAAGACACATAGAAAGTACAGGAGAGCTAGTCTGGGCGTGGTGGCTCATGCCTGTAATTTCAGCACTTTGGGAGGCCAAGATGGGAGGATCACTTGAGCCTAGGGGTTCAAGACCAGCCCAGACAACATAGCAAGACCTCGTCTCTATTAAAAACAATTATTTAAAAAAGAAAGTACAGGAGAATGGACTGAATATGGAAACACTCTGCAGTCTCCCTGGAAGTTGCTTTGGGGAGGAAATACTGATAGCCTCATAACTTTGCATTCATCCCTTCCTCTTAAAATTAGAGCACAGAATGCCGTTGACTATTTCACCTTTCCTTTGTCATTTGAATTAAAGGTAAATGGACGTTGAAAGTGTGTTTTTGACTTAAAGGTCTAAGGAGGAAGAGTGAGCCCATTGCTAAAGTACATAAGCTTTCCCTTTACTCAATTCTGTGTCTACTTGGAAAGGTGAATGAGGCTAGGGCAAGGTTCTCTTATCACCGAGCTTAAGAGTCGGTTGCTTTTGCGGCTGAGAGCATTGGCAGAGCTCCATAAAGGGACCTACCTTATGCTGTCCCCACATGGGGCCCAAGGCTGCATGTCAGCACCAACTGCCCAGGTCCTGCTCGACAGGACCAGGAAGTTTGCATGGTGGCTGGGTAAGTAGATGATCTTGGAGAGTGTTGGTTCTCATGGGGGCGGCAGACTTTTTGGAGAAGAGAGGATCATTTAGGTCATGGCTGGGATCTTACAGAATCTCCCGTCTGCTTCCTATCTATTCTGAGTACCCCTCTGAAGCACTGAGAAGGTCAAATTGATGGTCATAGGATCAGAAAGGGGTGGTCATAGGATCAAAAAGCCCAAAGCATCGGGGTGACTTTTGCACTGATGAGGTCAAATTGATGGTCATAGAATCAGAAAGCAAAAACCCAAAGCATTGGGGTGACTTTTGCATGTGGAGTGGCCTCATACCTACAATAGGGTGAGTTGGGAAGGATTATGTACTGCATTGATGTGGTCTGAGTGTTGGTTCAGAGGATGGCTCAGTTAGGCTGAAAACAAGGACAACATCGTCTTATAAATGCCCTTACAGGATGGATTTCCCACTTTATTTTTCCTCATTCAAAGGCGGGAGAGAGCAGTGGGTAGTCCAGCTGTGGAGCCCTCCCATTCACTTTTCCCAATTACAGGTCCTAGTTCCCCATGCTGGTCTTTCCAGCAAAACTCACAGGTCAGACAATTTCAACCCTTGGATTATTGGAACTGAGGTTTCTTTCTCTAAACCTTCCCTGCCTGTTGGTCTGCTCCAACTTGAGCATTTGCCCCTGGGCTCAGGAACCTGGGAAGACATGTGACATTGGCAGTGCTGGGACATGAACCCCTCTCTCTCAGCTAGGTAGTGCTCCTGGGCTTTTCCCTTTGACATCTGCTAGTGCAGTGAGTTCTTCGCATAGCCTTCCCCCCTTGGTCCCTGGCTGCATAGGATGGAAGTGGGCCGAGCTTACCCTGCAGAGAGTAGACATGGTGGATGCCCCCTTGGGGCTCAGCTGTTGTGGTCAGCTCTCTCTGGAAGCTGAAGGTAGGGAGGATGGAGTATGGCTTGGGTCTCTCCTTGCTGCCCTTTATGCTGCTGTTGCTGTTCTAGGTAGGCTAGGTTGATAAAGGCTTACCCTGAAGATGACAGGTTGGTCTAATGGCTTCATGCTTCTATGCAGTAGCCATTAGCCTTCTTTGTATGGACTTTAGGAGCCACAGGACAGGGTCCAGTTTTGAATTGGAGGCTGTCTATGAAGCTGTTGTACTTAGAATATTGTTAGGATGAGCAAAGGAATGCCATAGATGCCACTTTACAGAGAGGGATTTCTCCAGCATCCTTGATCAATCCCTTTTGAACGAGGCCTCATGAGGAAAGGAAATATAGGCACGGTCTCTGCCATTATGGAGTTTGCTCTCTAAACCAGATGAAATCTTTATGAGTTTGCAGACTCACAATAGCACAGAAATGGTTCAAATGATGAGCTTGTATCTTGCTAGCTTCGTTTTACTAGTGAGAGTTGTTTGGTTGAAAACCAGTGAGAAGGAATGAATTCTTCTCTTCAGTTTCTTGTCAAAAGGTTCAGATTTGTTTAGCTTGAATTTCTCATAATGATTCAGCTTTCTTGAGACAATAGAAACTGGTTAGAGGTTAATGTGTTCTTTGTCTTTTTGGACATAAGTGAAAATCTGTTACAAGCAAGGTGAGTTTACCTAATGAGCCACTAAGAGTTGGGGAGAACTTGAGTCTGTTCCCCAGGAATGGAGAGTGAGGACCTGAAGCATATGGGGCAATGGAATCTCCACTGAGTATAGGATGGAGATGCGTGGGCTGTACTAGAACTGGGTTACTTTCAAAATGGTGTTCAGCAAGGTAGCTTCTTCTCAGAGAAGAGTGTGTGAAAACTCTACCACCAACTAAGGCAGTGTGCAGAAAGGTGCAAAAATGTCCCCAGATGTCTTCCTTCCTTTCCTGTCACAGTGGAGGCTGATAATCTCAGATGGCCACGTGCAATTAAACCTTATGAAAAGACAGGACTAGATTGGGAAGATGTGAGTGTGTGGTAAGGAAGAAGGAGGTGGATAGAATTTCCATTTTGATCTAAATGCTTTGCAGTTGCATAATGTGGTGATGGTAGTGGTGGGAGGTTGTGGTCTAAAGAGGGAATAGACTGTGAGTTCACACAAATTTGCACTTTTGCTCCAGGAATCGGTTGGAATTCTATTTCCACATTGGCTGTTCTGCAGACTGTGCCATGGAGAGTCTACTGGTAGCCAGGTACCTCAAATGCACTGAAATCCTCCACCATTATTTTCTTTGAATTAGGAGAAGCCTTCACTTTTCCACATTCTTCCTTTGGTAGATGAACAAGAATTAAAGATACGAGCAAACCAGTGCTGGGCTCTGTTGAACTCCCAGGCCTGTGAGGTTGTTCCCTTTTTCTCTAATGAACTTTATGTGCTTTGCCCAGGTCTCTCTGCCAGTGAGGAAAGACCTTTGCCCTTGTACTTCATGTGAAATCACATGGACACCATATTAATCTCTGGTAACCTGTATGGGGCACTGAGTTAGTGGGTCAGTTGCAGGGCAGTGACCTTACCCTGAGGATTAGACAGGATAGGACATCCGGGTCTCTGAAGGCAGCGAAATGCATGACAACAGAGTCATTCCGAGGACAGGCTGGTGGTAACTTCTGGAAGTTTCTTTCACTGAAAGATAAATAGCAAGTGAGTAAAGGAGGAAACTCAGGCCACTTGGATTAGATTTTAAATGACTAGATTGCTGGGATTGGGTCTAGAGGTTTGCTTGGGCAATCCTAGCCTGGCTGCCTCAGTGTCAGAGGACATCACAATGCACCGTAAGAAGTGGGACGTGGCTCAGGGAGAATAATAGTGCCCCTTAGAGGACCACCTGGTAGGCTAGGTAAAAGGATATGGGTAAGACTTTTGAATGATAAAATTTTGTCTCTATTCAAAATATTTGATGTGATCTTCATCACTTTATAGGTGATCAAACACAGAGAGATTGTGATAGCATGACTTGTCCAAGGTTAATGGCCGAGTCAGGTGGGAGGATGCAGGTCTTCTGGCTGCTGGCTGGGCATTCTTCTTTGTACCCTGCCACCTCTGTAGTAAAAGGGCAAGTGCCTGTCATCTTTCACACCAAGCCAATCCAGTTGGCCACGATAAGCCACTTCCACCAACTGCCAAGCAAATCCATTCATACCTAGAGAAAAGGCAGTGGTGTTACCCAAACCAAGAGTGTTTATCATGGTGAGGGATTTGATTTGGAACCCTCATGGAGAAGAGATGGGAGCCCCAGAGGGGAGTTTAGCCTGGTGGTGGCTCCCAAATCTGAAGACCGGTCACTCTAGTGTCCCTTTGGAAAATAAATCCAAATGGGTGTTCGTCCTCCTATTCCTCTTGACAGCCACCCTTCAGAAGTGGGCACTCCAGGAGCTAACAAACCCCTGGTGAAGAAAAGGATGAAAATAAACTGAAACCCTTATGTTGCCATCCACCAGATTTTGCCATGACTGTGTGCGAGTTCACCTGCCAAACCCCTTATGAATAGAGCCTTTGCCACTCTATAGAAGAACATCTCTTAGAACAGCAAGTATCTATCATGCCCGGGCAAGTGACAGGAATACTCCACCATCGTGTGTGTTTGCATGCACTCACATACCCCTAGGTATGTAGTTTAAAAGATACTTTGTCCAAAATGCTATTAGGACATGTCCCAGTGCCCAACATTGTGAAATCTATTTAGAGTTAAGAATGTTCAGTTAAAATGTTCTGTACTGTTAATATTTCTCAATTTGGGTGGATCAGCATGGCAAGGAGCAAGAGAACATGGGGGGGTGGTACCCCTACAGTGTCATAGATAAGGGTGTGTGTGTGTGTGTATGTTTGTGATTGAGAAATCATTTGTCTTTGGCAAGTGGGGAAAGGGAAAGCATGCAAACAAAACAATGTGATTGAGAAAGAGCTCTGCTGAGAGAACTTTGTGTGATCCCTATCAGAAGGCCGTACACAGTGGATACCATATGCTGGTCCTCATGCTGTGGGAGCCCATTGACTGTGGCTCTAGGGAGGCTCACCTGGGTCCACCACATGGTCTTGACACACTGCTGGGTTCTCATTCTGGGACTTGGAAGGGTGGGTGGCTCGGTTTTGCTACCATCTAGATACTGCCAGCTTGAGTGTGTAATACTCCCTCTCCCCACCTGCAGTTTTATCTGTTGTCAGTACCAGCTCTCCAGCCTTTTACTATGGTCTTAACACATCAACATTTTGATGGAGATAGAGGGCCTTGTTTTCCCTTCTGCCTGCCCCACCGCCCACAGATCCGGCTTCTGGCTGCCACGCCTGCCCTGTCCTGAGGGCCAAGGCCCCTGGGGACGTTGCAGGGATGGCGCAGAGACTGGGGCGGAGGTGGAGGCCAGATCCTGGATCCGGCAATAGCATGTATGGGCCTGACAACAGGAGTGTGGGTGGGCGGCAGCTTGGAGCCTCTCCCCAGTGCTCGGCTCCCTGCTAGCGCACCCGGTTCCCTGCATCTTACCAGCTCCCGTGCTGGCTCGTGACTGAGCTAGGGGTCTGGTGGGAGAGGCCCCGGGTTGGGGGTTGGGAGTTGGGATGGGAGCACTGCTGTAGGTTGGGCCTGTGACCGGTTGTTACTGGGACCTTGGTCTTCCCAGGGGTGATAACATGGGCCTAGCCCACCTCACAGAATCACAGTAATGGCAAAATGAGAGCATGTGTATGAAGAGCTGCAGATGACTATGACCACCCTACATTTATAGAATGATGTTATCCAGTTTCTTGAAACTCTGCTTTCTGTTGGGGCAAGACAGAGGGAAGACACTTCTAAAGCTGGGCCTTAGGGGAAAGGTGTGCATGTTGGGGTGGGTCATTGCAGTCCTAAGAACATCTGGATGCCAGAGAAGTATCTTATGTCTATAAGGGCATCAATTTATTCACAGGCTTATTCAGAGCCTCCTTTGTGTCAGTCACTGTAGTGGAAGTTGGAGGTAGGAGAGAGAAAAGATACAGGTGTAGCCCTCCTGGGTCCCATGGGCTCGTTCACAGTCACCACCCGGGAAAGGCAGTGCTACACAGAGGTGAGCAGAGGCTGTGGGCCTCCTGTGAGGTCTGTGCTAGTTTGACAGTGAGCATTATGTCTGTCTGACTGTCCTGGGTGTTGCATCCTTCCTCCCTCTGGAATTGGATCTGATTTTTTTTCTTGGTCCATGTGTCAGTGGTAAAGCCCGTGGACAAGACCAGGAATGGGTGCTTCACTGGCTGCAGTCCCTGGGCAGAGGGCGTGATTTACGCTGTCTGAGGATCCAGGGATGTGTTTCCATCGGTGCCCTCCTGTTCCCTTCCGCCTGTCACCTGCCAGAGGGATGGCTGCCAAGCCCCCAGGTAGGGGATGGCCCTGCCTCTTGTCCAGCCAGAGCAGCAGCAACCTCTCTTTTCCTTTCCCTTACAGGAAGCTGCACAGTGGGATGAAGACGTACGGGTGCGAGCTCTGCGGGAAGCGGTTCCTGGATAGTTTGCGGCTGAGAATGCACTTACTGGCTCATTCAGGTAGGCAAGTTCGCCTTAGTGGCCCGTTCAGATACAGGCAACCATCTCCTGCTTGCCTTTACCCCTCCTCAGAGCCTGCTGTGGCCTGCATGTCCCCACTGCCCGCTGGGGCCCTGGTCCATCTTGTTCCCTGGACCCTCCCTCCAGGCTTATGACACAGAAGATCCATCCTGATGGCGGGGCCACTTGGATGAACCCACCTTCAAGCTCTCGTGGGTTTCCCAGGCATCAGTGGCAACCAGTGCCCTGTGTGATCTACCTTCCAAAGTAGACTGCAGTTTCATTAGTGGAACAGTTGTGGAATTAGGTTCTCACTGTCTAATGAATCTGACTATTGGGTTCACATTATACAGGAGCCTTTAATTAAATGGATATAGAAAGGTTGGAACACAAAGCTGGTTATAGCGTGCTGTCTTTTGCAAGTTAATTTTATACAATTCTATTGAGGTCGACTGTGTGGCTGCTGGTAATTTTGCTCATGTTTGGGCAAAGCTGCTCTGCCCCACGAGGCGTGGAATGGGGAGAAGCACCTGACATTTGGCAGGCCCGAGTGTTCTTGGTGGAGGGAAGGATCTAGCAGGTCTGATGCGGTGGCTTTGAGGCTTAGGTCACCTGACTTTAGTTGTGGAGGCCTCAACTCTTCTTTGCCAGGTGCATAGTCTCTTCCCTTTAATTCCCTTGCCTTCCAACCTTGGAGTCATTTTTTAGGGGAGAGGAGAGGGCTGTTGTTTCATTTGGTCTTGTCTTCTCCTCATGTAGGCCAAGGCCTGCCTCTCCTTTCCCCATATTGGCTCCAGAAACTGGCCCTCCAGGCAGTTTGGCATTTGGGAAATGGGCTTTGGGGTCAGGCAGAGAAAGGTTCAAATCCTGTTTGTAATATGTGCTGTGTGACCTTAGCTACATTCATCTTGTGAACCTCAGTTTCTGCATCTGTCAAGTGCTGGTGTTGTTAACTTACATAATTTTTTGGAGGATTAAGTGACAGAATATACGTTGAAGGCATCTGTAGTAAGCCCCTGGCATACAGTTGGCATTTAATAAATGTTAATGGTTTCTGCTTGCACCTTCCTCCCTCATCCTTGTTTCTGAGCCTGTTGCCCCGGGGGGCGTGTCCCCATCCGCTCGTTCCCTGCCTGCCTGGCCGTTTAGTACTGTCTTTCCCCTGAGCCCATCATGGGTACAGTCGTGGAAGTGCTCTTCGTTCGCTTTTTCTGCTTCAGCTCCCCACTGCCTTGCTGCAGGGCCCATGTGGTTCCGCATTGTGTTGGATGTGGTCTCTCCCCCGGCCCTCATGGCCCTTCCTAAAGCGTCCTAACTCCTTCTCACTTCCCATTCTTCCCTCTTCCAGGCGCACGGATTTGTCCACAGCAGGCAGCTGGCAGCTATCTCTCTCAGCGCGTCTACTGTCCCCATGTCTTCGTGCATTCTGTTCTTCCTTCCTGTGGGCCCTCCCCACCCTGCCCCTGGCTCCACTGAATCATCCTCCTCCTGCCCATGTGTCTCACCTCAGCCCAGAGCCCTAACTTCCAGGCATTTCTGCGTCCGGATCTGCTTGACACTCACGTACACTTTTTCTTCTGTTTTAGGGACTTACACCTTGTATCTTCATGCTTCCCTTCAGCTTTGTACGCTACTTAAGGTTCAGAGTGTGGCGGGTTTCATGAACTATCTGCCTACCAGGTTGGCTACCCTTCCCTTGCTTTCTTGGTCTTGATTTTTTCTGCTTTAGCCCACCACTGCCTTACTGCAGAGTGTGGTGCGTCCTGCCCTAGACCCCTGTGTGGTGCTGGGCACTTCTGGGGCAGTGCACTTCTAGCCTGTTGGTAAAGCGTCTTTGCCCTCTCAGCCGCAGTAAGCGTCCTTTCTTATTGCTCTTTCCTTGAGTCCAGTGCTGTAGCCAGACTCATTTTCTTGGTTTGCTTTATGGGCTTGTTGCTTTCTGGGCTCTGTGGCTTTGTTTGCCCCATTCTGTCTACTTGGAATAACCCATCTCCCATCTTCCCAGATCTTCCAAGGTCCCTTCCATGATGCCATCCCCAGCTGTTCCCCACCTCCAGCCAGAAGCAGTCGTGCCTTTTCTGTGCCCATGTTTCTTTATTTGAAGCTATCTTTGGGTGCAGTTTTTCTTCTGTGTTACAGTTATTTATGGACTTATCTCTCTTACTTGGGAGGCGGGGTTACATGGTGGAAGGAATTTGGACACGTACCTACTGCTGATGTGATCTGGGGCAAGAACCATAAGCTCTTACAGCCTCAGTATCCTCATCTGTAAAATGAAAATATTTAACGCTATCTCGGAGAAGCTGTGAGGCTCACCTTGAATACATACCACCATAGCTAACATGTCATGGGGTTAGATCCTGTCCACGTTATGTCCAGCACACTGCCTGGCACATTATTGGTGCCAAGAAGTATTTGTTGAGTGAATGATGCAGCCTGGGATGCCGATGAACAGGGACACTCCTCTCTCCGGACAAGTCCCTCCTGTGGTAGGAACTGTTTATGTCCTAAGGACTCACTGGAGGGGACAGCCAGGAGCCCCTGGCTCGTATTGTATCCCTCTTCCAGGCGGTGTGACCCAGTGTGAGTTAGCCAGTGTCTCTGCTGTGAATCACACATCAGCAGCATTGGTGGGGCTGGTGGAAGCGGCTGCAGAAAAGAAAGGGTTGCTTGCATACTCATGTCAGGTGGGCCCGGTGTCCCCAGTTCAGACAAGAGTGTGACTGTGCAACTGCCCTGCGGAGCTGGCGGTTCCCTGGGGAAGCTGACTTTGGTTCCACCTGAGATGCTGCTTCCAGGTCCCCTGATCTCATATGGCTGCTCCAGAGGCTTTGGGAGTTGGGTCCTCTTTTCCTAGTTTTTCCTTTCCATGCCTGTCTTACTGGGCACTGAAGGCTGATTGTGTCAAATGATTTGTCCCTCTGCTAGTCACTTGCCAATGCCCTTGGAAAGGATGATTTGATGATTAGGCAGGTGCGATGAGTCATAGTAGTGTTTTAATTCACCCTTGCAGATAGCTCACGGCCTATATTCTGATATTTCTATTCTTTTTTTTCTTTCTGTTGTCCGGCATACTCCTCACCTCCGTGCTGAGAGGTCTTGAAAATAAAATAGCACAAAGGGCTTAGTGAGGCTAGACCATTTCCTGAATTGTTTGGCCACTGTTAAACAGGCCCTGGGGGCCTCTGGAGTGACCTGGACTTGTTGGGGAGTTGGGGTCAGAGGGCTGGGCTGGTGGCGCTGGGTCTTCTTACAGATTCCAGTAGTGGTTTACATGTTCTGATGCCTGAAAACAGAACTAGGTGATGTTTTAGAAGAGACATTGAATTAGATGATGTGAGGTTTTCCTGCTGCTCTATTTTGAAGGTTCCATGAAGAAAGCTGACAGTGAGAATGGGTGTGCCAGGTCTGTAGAGTAGACCCATTTTACAGATGACCAAGGGTTCAAGCAGCCCACAGCCTGGAAGAACAGTAGTTGCTCCAGAACCCTGGGCGGGGGAGGCGGGGGGGAGGCGAGCATTTTTTTTCAAAAGGCGCAGGCTGTGGAGAAGTGAGTCCAGGATCTGGGTAGGGGTTGTGGTTGCCCCCCTAAATGTTGCTGCCCTTGCACTGGCACATTCCTGCTGTTTTCTTCTGCTCAGCAGAGCCGAACGGCTCTCACTTCCTGGCTAGCTCTGTGTGCTGCCCCACCCCCTCTTGGCGAGCATTGCCTGTGTTTGTTATTGTAGTCCTGGCTCCAGGCCAGGCCTGGCTGCGAGCCAGACTTGTGGGTACAGTATGTACAGTGAGTGCTGAGCCAAGTTTGTCATCATACACCATTAATTTTTTTTTTCTAATCTGGTTGGGGTGGGGTGAAGGAGGAGGCAAGAAAAGAGTTTCTCCGATGCTTGAGAATAGGCCGCATTGAATTCCGCAGAGATGTCATTTCTGAAAGGCAGACGGAGCTCCGGCTTGTTCTTCCTTCGCAGTTTTTCCTCCTTTCTCTCCCTGTCGTCCTCCTCTCCTCTTCATTTCCCTATCACGCGAAATCAGCCTGCAGGAGATCGACAATGCAGGTCTTATTTTCAGTGACTAGAATACTAAATTTACACTGCTAAATCAGTTTTCATTGTGTTGAAATTGACAATTTGTTTAATTAGAAGTTTGCCCTGTAGGAGGCCCTTCTGAGAGACAGTGCCTTCCCTTTTTCTCTCTCCCTTACTTTCTGTTTTAAGGGTTTTTAAAAGAGCCTAAATGGTAGTAGTGAATTTCAGTTTAATTGAAGTTTTAATTTCAATTCGAATGTGTGAATTAATCAAGTGTTTATGGGCTATACCTGATGATCACAATAAGTTTAAACTAACTATCAATAACCAAACTCATTAACTAATGAGATGATCTGGCCAGGCCCTGCATTCTCAGAGGTGGTTTTGGGGGTCAGAAGGGTTTGCGTGTTGGGGAAAGAGGCTTGGGGTGGGAAGAGAGATGACCTCCAAGGCTTTGCAAAGCTAGCCCTGATGGAGGGTGAAGCTTGGGTGTAGGACTGTGGCCCTTCCCCTTCCTGTGTCCCAGGAAGACTCTGAAACCTCCCTCCTCACCCTCTGCTACCTTACCCCTTTTGGGGATCTGGCATTGAAGCATCTGTTGATCCACTGTCTCTTCGCCACTCCTTGTCGTAACACGAGAAGTGATTCCTAGCTCTGAGGTGTCCATGCAGAGACCACAGACACATGCAGTGACTCAAATTGGTTCTGAGATGGGCCAGTGTAAGGTTTCCCATTAGGTAGATTTCCCACAGCTTGGCTTAACGTCCTGGTGGCTTATAAGTGAGCATGCCTAGAACTGCTTGTCCCTATTTTTGACTCGGCTGCATACGATTAGGGTTTGAGTATTCATGTGGCCTGCTCCTATTCTGGGAGTGTCATTCATTTTTGGAGCCAGAGGATGTTTAATAAGCACGAATTGTGTGTCAGGCTCTGTGCACTTAACAGTGAAGACTGCTACAACATCCCTGCCCTCAAGGAGCTTAAGTCTAGAGTGGGAGATGAGTATGACTATGCAATCATCATACAAGATGGTAATGTGTGCAAAGTGCTAAGAAATCTAGGAGAAATTCAGAGTAGGAGAGTGTTTTGTGCCAGAGGGTAACAGAACAGCATTTTGAAAGGACTCGGTGAGGGGAAGCCGAAGCCACCTATGGAAGTGGGTGGTGTAACCTGCGAGTGTAGGCTGGGCCTGCAGGGAGAGAGCAGAGTGCAGGGTTTAGAAGAGATGGACGAGATACATCTGTGGAAGGAATAGCAAAATGATCTGCATTCTCCCTGAAGCACTGGAGAGCCACTGAAGGACTGAGTAAGAGGGTGACATATTTTTGTGTCTGGAATAGAAGGGACTGTTGGGCTTTTTTTTATGTAGACTAGGCTAGAATATAAGGTGAATAAAGCCTGTTGGAGAACTTGAAGACTGGCCGTCTGTGTTGGGGTGTGGCTGGAGTGTTGAGAGGCCTGTGCCTTCTGTGCTGGTTAGGGCCCTGTGGCCCCATTCTGCCAGGTGGGAGGCCCCATCCTTCCACTCCTCTCTTGCCCTTGTCAGGCACTGTAGGCCCTGGCTGTTGAGAAGCATCCCTGAGATGAGGCTCTTCCCCAGAGTTAGAGCCATGGGGAAAGAATGAAGGCTTTCGTTGATAGATTTTCTGATTTCAGCAGCAGCATGGAGTGGCTGGGGCTTATCACCTGGGACCTGGGTCATCCTCCTGGCAGGGAAAAGGGCTGGAGGAGTCCTTCAGATTGGATCTCTTAGGCTTTCCTCTGTCGCGGTTGGACGGAAGAAGAAAAGCATTACAAGATGGCAAAGATCTGTGGCTTGTCCTTGTTCTGTTTTATTTATTTATTCTTTTTTGGAGCACTGAGCTGTGGGTTTCAGTTTCTTCTCCTCAAAGACAGAGAAGATGGGGGAAGAGAGGTAGCTGGAAAATTCCCTGTGACTGGGAGGAGACAGTGCGAGGTGGTCCCCACGCTGATGATGGGAGAGGTGCCTTTGAGTCCAAAGATGGCTTCCCCTCATCTTGTCTCTCCTCCCATTCACCTCTCTCCTCCCAGATTAGGTATCTGCTCAGAGCAAGAGACTTGGGGCTGCCCAGGCTTGTGAGAGCCCATGGCCAATCCATGCACCCTCTGCCCACTCTCCAGTCAATACCAGCTATCCCTTCTGGTTAGCTTCCTACCATCAGGGCAAACCCGGGAGATGACCAGGAAGAAACTTCGTTCATGTTCCTTGACTCCCTCCACATTCCTTATGTGGGGGCGCCTTTGGTTTTTGGGTCAAGGAAGTGGAGAAGATCAGATGGGGGTGGCTCAGAGGCCAGGCTGCCCTCCCTTCGGTCCGCATGGGTGATGCGGATGCAGAGAGTGGAAAGGGTGAAGGGAGCCACTTTCCCCCAGCTCGCTCTTGAACACACTTCTCTTTCTCTCTCTCTCCCTACTCTGAATTTGGCTTGCTTCCCGAACTTTTTCCCAGAGTGGTGTCGTCACTGGCCTGCCGGCAGGTCTGGATGTTCTGCCAGCATTCCAGAGAGTTTATGATCGCTTGCAGATGCGCCTCCAAGAACACACTGTACCCAAAGCAGAAATTAATGCAGGCTTGACTACCGTCCAAGCCCGTACACGGGAGAGAGGAAAAGGAAAACAAAAACTGTTTAATGCTGTTTATAAATTATACACTGGCTGATGAAAAATACATTTCTTTCCTCTCCCCTTTTACTCTCCCCCCAACCCGTCCTCAGTCCCCCCCCAACCCCACCCCCACCCCTTCTCGCTTTCTGCCTCAAGAGCCTAAACTGAGACCAGAAGAATATGGTTTTGCTTTTTAGCTCCTGTTTTGGCTGGGATCCGAAACCCTGCTGCTGATTCACAGCCAGAGTATTTTTCCCCTTTACCTGATGAAATATACTGATTTTCCAGCCCAGATGGGGTGTTTTTGGTTTTGTTGTGTGGGTTGTTTTTGTTTTTTTTGGTTTTTGTTTTTTGGCCAGGGATTTTGTTTACAGCAAGTATCAGGTTCCATGATGGTGCTGGGTGCGATGCTGGCCCCAGGGCAGATAAATCCCCCACGTAACTGCCACCTTAGTGCTGCGGTTTTGCGTGCCTGGGTCCCCCGGTCCTAGTCAGGCCAGCTGAACCGAGAAAGTTGGGAAAGTTCATTGCAGGTCATGGTTTTAAACAGTGTTTTCACCAGTTCTCTCCCACCCCTTCACCTACAGCCCCTGTGTGAAGAGGGGGTTCACATGTCCCTGCCCCCAAATACACATGTCTCTGTCTCCATATGGTGCCTTAGCAGGGGTTGGGGAAGCTCGTTCCATCTACCCCTCTGGATCCCAGCATCTCCTCCCACCCCGCAAATCCCCCATCCCAATTTATTCTATAAATTTGTTTCCACATTATGTCTATCCATTTACATGGCTTTTGTGTTTTTTAATACTGCTAATGTTTATCGTTTGCCCAACAGGCTCGACAGATTTTGCTTCCTGTAGAGCATCGAGGCTTTAGAGCCCCCTCGTTGCTAAGTAGCAGTCTCCCTGTACTGTAATGGGCTGATTTTGTATTCTGTTCAGCGCTGTATCTTATTTTTGTATGCAAGACAAAGTGTTTTGATGGAGGACGATTGCGGCAGTGTCTGGAGGCTGTTTGGAGTTTTATGGGCTGTACAGTACACTGTGTGCTCTCTGAACAGAACACAGGCTGTTGAATTTTGGATTGGATTTGTCATTTTTCCCCCCTCAGAGAGGAGCCTGTCAGATAGAACATTACTTTGAGGGTGGAGGGAAGAAAGTGGAAATTATGTAATAACCTTCTTCCTTCTCCCTCTCTCGATGATTTTTCTATCTCAGCATAGGGTGGTTTCTTCCACACAAACCCTGTCTCATGCCACCACATGATTTTGCACAGCTAGAGGATGACGGTCTTATTAGGAAATGAATGGTGCCCTAGAGGGATGGATGCTGGGACATCTGTCTGTCTGCCATTTATTCTCCTAGTCTCCCTTTCCTCTCCTTTGCTCCTGCCATCCTTCCTACGTTCTGGGTTGCCTTGCTGGTCCTTGTTATTGTCTGAGGATGAATAGATATGGGGTTATTGGGGAGGGATATTTACGTGGGATCAACCTGATAATGGCAATGCCATTTCTGATTTCCAGGGCCTTTTCGTCTTCCCTTGGCTTCGCAGACACACACCCTGCCGGAAGCGTTCTTAGGAGGCCTGGCCGTGCTTTCTCTTGCCCTCAGCCCCATTCCCTAGCCCTCTAACCAGGCTGGGCCTGGGTATCTGTATCCAGGGCTGTGCCTGAGGGGCCCCACCCTGCTTTGGGCATCCATCACGCTACTGCGGCCCTTACTTTCAGTGCTCTTGTCCAGGTCTCTGTGGTGGCAGGTATTTATTTTTCAGCTCTTCTCTTCTCCTTCTATTTCTCCCCAATCTGCTTTCATCTCACTTCATCTCTTTGTCCCTGTCCTTTGTGTCTGTGTCAGCCTCGGCCTTTTCTTGACACTCCTGTGTATTTTCTGTCTTCCTTCTTATGTCTTCATCTGTCTTTGTCTCCATCTGTCTTCGTTGGTCTTTTCTCTGTCTCTCTCTTTCTCTGTCTTTGTCTCTGTCTCTGTCTCTCCCTGCCTCCCTGCCTCCCTGTCCTAACCCACCACCTCAAAGTTTTTTTTAGCTTGGAAGCTGGGCAGTGGTTGGAATGGAAAACAAAATGTCACTCTGGCCCAGAGGTCTCCCCAGAGGGGAGGACTCTTGAGCCAGTGTCCCTAGAATGCTCCCAGCACCTAGAATCTCATGTGCTCTTGTCCCTTGCCTCTCAGGGGCCAGAGTGGGGCTTCTCTGGCTTGGCCCCTGCTTTTCCCAGGTCCCTGGATGTTCCCCCCAAATCCCAGTTGTGTTGAGAATGGGCAAGTAGTTTAGCAGGGTTAGGCTTTACAAGGCCCTTATTGGACTTTGCTGGTACTGTGCTCTCCTGGGCCAGTACTGTGCACCTGAGTGCAGGACTCAGCAGCTGCCCTCACATACTCATGCCCTAGCAAAGTGCCTGGTACATAGGAGTGTTGTGCACTGATAGTATCTGTCAAATAAATGAATATCCTGTTATAAAAGTGTTTGTACTACTAGGGCAGATCTGGGTTTGGTGGGGCCTGAAGCGTACTCAGTTTTGGGTGCTGTCTCTCAGAAAAGGATTATAAATACCAGGTGTTAGAGCCTCTCCCAGGAAAGGGGTCAGTGCCAGGGAGAGGCCTGAAGCTTCAGCTTTACTGGCTTCCGGGAGAACAGGCCTGGGTGAACCACTTGAGAGGTTGCTGTTGAGGGGTCTCACTTGGAACTACTTAGTGGGGTGGCTCAGGGCTGAGGATAGGAGGGTGTCATCTGCCCAGCTCTGGGGACCTTCAGAACCTGGGACATCTGTGCTCACAGGCCTCAGGTTTATGTTCCATAGAGGTCAAGCCTTTGGCAAATGGCTGCAGGTCGCAATGGGCCTGGAAACATCATGGTATTTCACATGCTCTTCTCAGTGAGGTTGCTTGGTAGGGATGGACCCTGAGTTCCAGCTCACCCAGAGCAACCAGGTAGGCAGCCACTCTTGGTAGCATCCTGGCCTCCACACTAACCCTCGGTGACTGTCAGTGAAATGGCATGGCATTCACTCCTCTCCCAGGTGTTCAACTGCCTAGGTCTGTGGCTGTGGCTCTCCTGCGTTCTTGGGGCATAGAACTGCAAGTATCGTGGGGCAGAGGACTGGTCTACGTGTGTGTGTGTGTGTGTGTGTGTGTGTGTGTGTGTGTGTGTGTGTAACCATGAGGGAGAGGGGGCCTGGAGGTGATGGAAGGTGTTTGCAGACATCTGGGCATCTGTTCTGTGGAGCTTGCAGACTCATCCATTAAATGAGGTTGGTGAAGATTGCAGGATTGGACAGTCCTTTGGGTAGAGGGACTCACTTGTTGGAGGGTATGGAAAAGCTGCAGTGTCTCCTAGAAATCGGGGACACAGTCCTAATCAGAACACCATGTGTGCATGTGTGTGTTTGTGTGTCCAAGCATGGGAACAAAAAGAGATTGAGAAGAAGCATTTACATGAAATACTCAAATTTGTTCCTTTGCTGTAATGGGCCCGCACAGACCATTACCTTGAAGATTTAAAAACTAAATGAGCTCATCATATCGAGTGACTTCTACCGACATTCATGCTTGATTGCAAAGCCTGCTTTACCTTTGAATTTCAACTTCATTGTTTGTTATTAATTCTCAGATGGTGGTGGTGTGTTTCTACCTTTTGGATTCAGCCATGAAAATGTTGATTTTGTGTGATGGATGTGAACATTTCTCAACAAGACCCCACTGAAGAACCTTTTCATTTTAAAAATAGCCCCATGACCTTTGGGGCTCAGACTGGAGTTTCCGAGGAATCCAGTGGGCTGAGGCAAGGCTTGGGTTGACTTTGGAGGGGGCAGAAGTTTGCATTTTTTTGTCTAATAATTTGAGTTTCATATGAATGATTCTGTGCTCCGTGCAATACTATGCATTTTCATAACTGTCTCTTTCACTTTGGGTAAAGGAAGGGAGGGAAAAAATAACAGCAGCAGCATTCTGTGGGCAAAGGAAGAAAACAAGAGAATGGGGCAGAGAACAGGCTAAATTTAAAATTGTAATTGGCTGACTTCCACTGGCTTGCGGGTGTTTTAATGACTCATAATAACTTCATTTAAAACCAGCTGAGCAGAAAATAGATTGGAGAGGAGCCTCGGGCCATTATGGATTTGTGGTTTTTTTTTTTTTTGGTTTTTTTTTTTTTTTTTTTTTGACAAGCTTGGTTTTCAGCAGCCAGGAAGGCTCTCAGAGAGGGCTTGGCTGTGTTTTCTCTCTCTCTCTCTCTCTCTGAGGGTTGGTGGTCTGCCCAGGAGAGATTGTATAGAAACCAGGGCGAGTTTTTTTGTTTTTTTTTTTTTTTAAATTCTCCCTCTACCCCTTGCTTTTTTTTTTTTTAACTGATTAAAAATAGATGCCTTGAGGTATTATTTTAGCATCAGTAGGATTTTTTTCACCTTTGATGTGGTAAATGGAACATAAATAAAATTGTTTTTGAAATTACTGAATTAATTAGGTAGTAAAGCAACCACAATGCATAAATGTCCTTGGCCGTCTGGTTTTTCTCCCTAACCCTGATCTATATTTGTAGGGCGTTCCCTTTTCTCCCCAGCCCCCTCCTGCTCTCCCAGCGACCCCTCCTTCCTCTGAGCCTGCACCTTCCCTTTGAATGGCAAGATTCTTTTATCATCCCGGCAACAGCTAAATGATTTTTTAAAATCCATAGGATTTTGACAGTATTGGTTCTATCTGGTTATCTGATCAGCTCCAGGAGTTTTGGGACTTGCCAGAAAAGGCTCTAACCTGGCTCTAGTTGTTTTAAATAGGTCCTGCCTGTTTCCCATGCTAGGCCTGGTGCCCGACCGGCGAGCGTTCCTTTTTCTCTTCTCTTTTGAAAAGTCAGCCGACTCAGCCCTAGGATGTGTCTGTCTGGGCAGGACAAGAGGCCGCCCTCCATCTGATCGCTCTTAGCCATTTATCTATCCCCTCTTATGGCACCTGTCACCTTCTTTGTTACATAGCTATTTATTTGCTTGGCCTTTTTTGCCTACTAGACTGTAAGCTTCTTGAGAACATGTGATTTATTTGTGTCCCCTATACTACCTCGCTTAGTAACCTGAATGGTGGTTATAACTCAGTCATTTGAAAAATAACCTAATGGGTGAGTGAGCAGGCATGCGGATGGGCACATGGTAAGGAACAGACCTGAGGTGCTGCCTGCTTCCCTCCAGCCCCAGGAGTCAGCAATCTGGATGAGAAGACAAGGATGGAAGGCGGGGACCTTGTCAGTAGTGTGCTCTGTTGCATCCTCACAGCGGGACACATAGCAGGCTCTCAGGAAATATCTGTTGAAGAAGTGAAGGGCTCAGGATGCATGGTTTGGCTGCAGGAAGGAGAGAAAGACATTTATTGAAACTTGCTGTGTTCCAGGCACAGTGCTATGTGTTCTGCATATCTGAACTCAGTCTTTCTTCAACTTTGGAAGACAGATATGCTGATTCCGTTTTGCAGATGAGGACAGTAAAGAGTTAACTTGCCTAAGATCATAAAGCTAGAAAGTAGCAGAGCTGGACTTCAATCTCCCTCTCTTTCTCTCTCCTTCCACCCTGTGTCTTGCTTTTCTATTATAGTATAGCATGCTGCTATACCTAGCCCTGGCCTCGTGCTGTTTGAGTGCCTAAATGCCTGCTTCTCTGTTTGTAGAGCTAACCAATCTCAAACTGGGGAGCTGAGACCAGGAAGGCCCTGTGCCCAAGGGTCCTGGGGGTGGGGAGGGTGGCATAGTAATTGGCTGCTGCCTGTGTGCCTTGCACCTGTGCCACCAGGAGCAGGTGTGGCTTATTAGCCTCTTCCTGCTCTGCCAGAGGAGCATGTGTTCAGTGGTTGTGAGTTGTGGCTATGACTTCTGCTCAGTGCCTTGTAGGGTTGGGGATAGGAGGGTTCTGGGAGCCTTGCAGGAGGGTCTGTGGGTTAGTGTGTGGCCCTCCCACCCAGGGAGAGCTTGACTGTGTCATGCCCCCCACTCCTCCTTTGCACTATCCTGCCAAGTAGGAGGGGTAGGAGGAGAGAGCTGCCTGTGGTCCCTCCTGCATGGCGACGCAACTGGGTGCTCTGCTTCTGGTAGATGCACCCTGTGATGCTGGGGTGGGGTGAAAGGGGCAGCCGACCTGTGCTGCAGCCCAGAAATGTGAGAGCTGTGACCACTTGGGCTATTACTAGCGCCTTAGACTTCAAGCGTCTTGGAGTATGATGCATCAGGAAGGTTGGGCCTCCCTGACCTTTCAGATTATGTCCAGTGAAGCTGGACCACTTGACATGAGGCTGGTTGTGTCCATTCTCTGACAGCCTCATCTTCCCCAGGCACGCGCTGGGGATGCTGGAGCTTTCTCTGGGGAGCGAAACATCAGCCAAATGGGAACCAGATGGTGAAGGTTGAGCAGCAGAGAAACCTCGATGACTACTCTGGGTCACACGTGTGGCCCTCTTTTGCAGGAAATCGTTTGTGAAGTCATTCATCAGTTAGCAACTGAACCTAGGGCCAGTGGTGTGCAAAGCTTGGCAGGGTGGACAGAGGGGTTGAAGCCAGTGTCCTTGTCTGCAAGAAGCTGGTGGTCTGGCTGAGAGGGTGACACGAGCCCCCTGGCAAGAGAAGGCGTTGAGCAAGGCTGGGTGTGCTCATTGTGACCGCAAGAGGAAAGACTGAGTGCTGCAGGCATTTAGAGTGGGGAGAAGCTCCTAAGAACCAGGGGAATGAGGAGAGCTTCGGGAAGGAGGTTCATGGGATTTTGATGAGGTCTTTGCTGCTGGAGTATCCAGAAGGAGTGCTGTGGTGGGAGTGGCCTACCTTTCTGGACAAGAGGAAGCAAGAACTTCTGTGAGCTAGAACCATCCAGGCAGGCATCTCTTTCCTCCTCATCCTCCTCCGCCCATAGCCACCTGGCAGAGACTTAGAGCCCAGTTTCTTGCACTTGGGAGTCCTCCAATCCCTGTGATGGCTGTGGGCCTCCTTGGCCTGGAGGTTGAGAAACACTGCATTAAAGATGAAAAGCTGCCACTTCAGGGGGCCCCTCCAAGTTGAGGCATCCATAAAACAAACACATGTGAAAGCAAGGCTTAAAATTGGATGCGGACCCAGAAGATTGTAAATTTCTCATATAGGATTTGATGGACTAAAAAATATGTTACGAGTACCTAGAACCCCACAAAGCCTAGGTTGAGAAGACAGGTCAGAGGGCTGCCTCTGGGTGAGGCTGAGGACAGAGTTGGCCACCCTGGAGGGCCAATGGAGGAAGCATCCGAGGACGGTCTCAGGACGTGCCCCAGCCCACCTCCTCGGACCACGTGGGTGAAGCCCCTGTGTATGCCTTTAGTGAAGACTGAGCTTGTTCACCGCGTAGATGGAAGCCAGTGGGAGAGAGGGGCGGATACCTCTGTAGTCAGGGGCTCCTTTTGTTGGCTCTCTCCAGGATTCAACCTGACAAAGACATGTCTTCCAGACTTTTCCCCAGTAGTTAACGCACTCCCTCCTCCTTCCCCCAAACCAGTCCCGTTTTGATTGGAATTCTTTCACTTGCCTGGGACAAGGGGAAAAAAAAAAAAGCAAATTCTAAAGTTTTCATTAGGTAGTTGGGATAAAAAGTCTTCTGGGGTAGTTGGATTAAACTTCAGCAGCTCTCTTACTGACTATTATAAGCTAATTGAGCACAGGGAGCTCATTGGCGGCTGCATTTTTGTTGGAGTAATTATGAAAGACCACAGTCATTTTCAGTAACAAGGTAACTCCGGGTAAAGACAGAACTCTCTGAAACTTTGGATTTGCTGGAGTCTTCCTTCCTCAGTTGCCTTTGCTAATATGAGCCCGGGATAAAGGCCCAGAGACCAGATATTTTGGGAGGCTACTATCTTGCCTGAATATCCCGGATCTCCCAGTGCCTTCATTGGGGCCTAATGGACATAATCCAGCACATCTGAGAGAGCACTGCTGGGGGGCCAGTTTTGCATTAATTGAGATTTGGGGTCTGGAGTCAGAAGCTCTGGAGTATAGGCTCGAGAGGGACAGGTGCAGCCTTTGAAGCTGACCCGGGAGCAAAGAGAATCACAGTGCACTGTCTTCATTACTTATTTATGCACCAAGAGCAGGGTCTGATTATAGATAATGAGGCCGAATGATACTCTCTGTCTCTAATGAGGTCCTGTCTGTCCTGTCCGAGCAAAGCGTGGACCAGCGTATGTAGGACTGTGATGACAACCCTGGGGATCTTTTCTAGCCCATAGGATTCTTGATGGGGAAACATTCCTAGACATACAGTCCTCCCACTGAACTCCACCCCCATCCAGAATCTCTATCAGGAGCTAGGAGCCGGCTCAGTGGGCTGGGAAGGGCCTTTCAGTGCCCTTTGGACGGGGCCCTGGGGCCTTGCCAAGCTGAACGTGTCCTCTGGGTGGCCTGCCTCACCTCTGGCCTGCTGCCCATCAGCATTGAATCATGCCCCTCAGAGGACAGCATGTAACTGTGCTTCCCGATATAGCCCCCGGCCCCCCAAGGTGACAGGAAGAGTCATTGTCACGGGAGTACTCCATCTTTCTGACACCACAAGGCCGGCGTGGCTTTCTTCCCTACTGCTCAGCCCTGCACAGCCTAGAATTCTGCTTTGGGAGCATACATAGAGTTCACAGAGCTATTTTTTTTTCCTACTCTCCGTCTCCCACTTTAGTTTTCAGAACTTTATCTCAGTCTCTGGCACGGACTATCTGCTTCCTTCCTCCATCTCAACATTATAAAAGTTTGTCACAGTCAGAGGCTGGCTGAATCGAAGCAGAAATGTGGTGTTTGGTTAAATTGTAAAATTAGCTAGGAAAGTTAATGAGGCGTTCCGCCTCTGCCTGCTGAAGAGCAGGACGTTTATGAAGGTGCTTCAAAGCACCCTGCCTGAGAAGGAAGGAAAGGGAGACAGGAGCAGCAGGGGAAGCTGCCCAGGAGTGTAGAAGAGCCTGGTCCAGGTGAGTTTCCAGGCCTTGGACGTGCCTTTCACTCGCTTAGCTGAATGGAACCTGAGAAATCATCCCCTCAATCCTCCTGCTGTGGGTCCAGCTCCATCTACCCACTCCGAGTCCATAGGAGTTCCCTACTACATGTCCAAGAATGTCCTGCGACCGCACACAGCTGGCCATGGTTAGCCATTCTAGTGCCCAGATTTCCTTTTTGTCCTGGGCAAGGCAGAAGAGACAAAAACTGAACACTTTGCCTTAGAAGGAGCCCATGGTAGAAAGGAGGAAACCAGAGATAATGACAGTGGCAGCTGACATTTCCTGGAGGCCTACAGGTGCCAGGTACTGTGCCAGATTGCTTTACTTCGTCATCTCATTTGAGCCTCACAAGACCCATTTCAAGTTGGTACTGTTAGGACATCCATTTTACAGATGAGGAGACTGAGTTTACTTGCCCAAGATCACCTAGCAAGTAAGAGACAGAGCTGCGCTGTGACCCCAGGGCTGCCTGACCCTGAAGCCCCTGGTCTTAACCTCTGCGGCAAAGTTGTTTCCATCCCCTTTCCAGGCTGCCCATTTCTCCCAGCCCACAGCTCACGTGGTACAGATTGCACGTTTGCAGATGCTCACCCTGAAGCTTTGGAAGTCACGGTCTCAAAGGTGCACGTGGAAGAGCTGCCAACAGTCTATTTCCTGCACACACCAAACTCGCAGGTCTTCTAATTACACCAAACAAACCTTTCTGTTTTCAAGCAGCTATGGGCTTAATATGGCAAATAGTTTCCCACCTGGACCTCTGGCATGGGAGGAGCCAGAAAAGACGAGTTTTGTTTTGTTTTGGTTTGTTTTTTTCCGGCAGGGAGGTGGTTCGTACTTAGAATAGGCATTAAGTGTGGCAGGCAATATTTCTGTTTTGAAAAGTGTGGCATCTTAAGGCTGCTGAATTTTGAGCCTGCAAATGTCAGTGCCGTAGTTGTAATGTAACACCTCAATTATGGTGCAGGGGGTAAGGAAGCCAGACTCTGAAACCTGCAAGGCTCTTTAGATCCACAGCCTGAGCCACAATTAAGGTTTCAGAAACACCAAAGGCAAGCCAATGAGTGTCATTTTTAACCAGTTTGAACATTTTACTACTTCCTAACATCAGAAGCACCCGGGCTAGAGAGCCCGCTTCTTGTCCTCAATAAAGTGATTAAGCTGAATGGGTGTTGGGGAGTATTATTAGGCTGAGAAGGGCTAAAAATAGACATGCTCTGTTTTCTAAAAGCCACAGCAGGCCTGGAGAGACTGGCAGCATCGAGGTGCCACTGAGGGGCCCAGGGGAGGGGAAGGGAGGGTGGCAGTCTCTGGAGCTCCGTGTCTGAGATGGGGATGGTGGGTGTTGTGACGGGTGGGTCAGGTGGTGGGGCCTCTTTCCCAGCTGTCACCAAGAGTGGAATCACAGTGGAAGCACATCCGTACCCGTATATGTGTATTAATGACTTTAAAGGAACTGACAACTCTGGAGTCTCTAGGAGGGATGCCTAGGCCTAAAATTTACGTACTCAGCCCCAAGATAATTGAATTTACCTGCTGTTCTGGGAGAAGGAGTCCAATCTGGGCAGTGAGTAAAGGGCAGACTATAAGGGGCACAAGAAGAGGGACATGGGGAAGAGCAGAGGCCTTTACAGCCGAGAGTGAGGATCTGCTCGACAAGCCTTGATTAACTAGGATGCTCAGAGAAGATGTAATCAAAGGACTTTTTGGTGAACTGAAGGTTAACCAGGAAACCTTGTCTATATCGGCCTTTGTCGTTTGCTATCATTCATCAATGTGAGAGTCCATTTTTCTACTTTCAGTGAATGCAACTGATTGTCTTTTTATGATAGAACATCTTGCTTGCTTAGAAGTCAAAAGGAGAATGCCTAAGAAGGGAGTTAAGCATGGAGGTATATGCCTAGAGTTTTATTATAAGTCACTCTAGAAGATCGTTTGTACGTTTTCCTTCCTACATGTTTTCATACCTTTGAACTCATTCCTCTCTATAATAGCTTTAAGTGCTGGGAGGGGCAAGGAACATGACTTCCACTTTGTAGATGGAGAAACAGGCCAAGAAAAGTAGGATCTTAGAATACACTGAGGTCTACGCAGAGGCAAGTCTAGACCCTGTGCTGCTCCCAGCCCAGGCTCTGTCGGATAGACAGTGTTGTTTCGTGCCTGGACCAGGAGGTGAGAGTTTTTCTTAATAGGCAAAGGACTCAGAGAAGAGAGTTAGGTGGGCTTCCCATGCTGCCATTCTGACTGAGGTTTTTTTTTTTTTTCTTTTATGTTTACTAGCTATGAGACCTTGGGCAAGAGAACTAAGCTTTTTAAACTTCAGTTTGCATATCTAAGGCCAGGCATGGTGTCTCCTGCCTGTAATCCCAGTACTCTGGGAAGCCAAGGTGGGCGGATCACCTGAGATCAGAAGTTCGAGACCAGCCTGCCTAACATGGTGAAACTCCATCTCTGCTAAAAATACAACAATTAGCCGGGCGTGGTGGCATGAGCCTCCTAGCATCTCTCTCCAATGCCACTTGCAACTGTCTTTGTAGTGTGTATGTGTGTATTTTGTTTCTAAGATAAAACATCTCTAGGTAATATTTCAACAAATGAAAGAAATAAAGCCTTTTAGAAGGCTCCTGATGCTGTCACAAATGTGATAATCATTGCACTCTTCAAGAAACCAATTGGCAGAGCTCTGTATGCAAGTTATCTGCTGACAATTGGCTGTAAGCTGTACAAGCCCTGTAGATGAGAGCTTCTCTTTTCCTGGAAACTCCACCAGGAAGCCGTGCCATAGACCCCAAAGACATCCAGGTCAAGCTGCAGGGAAGAGGCAGGGTTCAGTAGGCATAGAAGGCTGTCTAAGCTGGGCCCGTGCTCCCATCACAGGCAGTTTAGTGGAGAACCTGGGCTGGATGTTGACAGAACTGAGATGTTAGCTCAGCTACCCACTAGCTAAATCAGGAGCGTTAGCAGCTTAACTCTCTGAGCCTTGGTTTCTTCACCTGTTAAAGAGATGATGATACATCCTTCCTATCCTAAAAGCAGGACTTCAAAGTTGCACAACAGCAGTGACACCACTCACTCAGAAATGGGACTGTAAGGTTGTTGAAGGTTTAAACAAGATGATGCACATGAAGGTGCCCAGCACAGAAAGTGGAGCTCAACAGGCACACAACACCAATACTTTCACTCCTTCCCTTCCAAGGAACCTACAAAGGCTGCCCTGCAATAAGGAGTCACAATGCTGCTGCTGCCATAGTGTTGACAGTCATCACAATAAAAATACTAATAACATGTGTTGCCCATTCATTATGATGCAAGCATTGTGCTAACTACTTTACATGCAATATACCAGTTAATTCTCCCAACAACTCTAAGATTACCCCCCATTTTATACATGTGCAAACTTTTTTTTTTTTTGGAGACAGAGTCTCTTTCTGTTGCCCAGGCTGGAGTGCAGTGGCGTGATTTCAGCTCAACGCAACCTCCTCTCCCGGGTTCAAATGATTCTCCTGCCTCAGCCTCCCGAGTAGCTGGGAGAGGACAGGGGATTCTGAGACCCAAGCAATGAAGGAATTATCAATATTGAGATGCCAAAGAGATCTCAGCATTGTGAGAGGACTCGGCATTCTCTTCAGTCAGTGGGAAATGAGAGAGGCAGGGACCAGCCTGGAGAAAGTGAGGGAAGCCAAGAATGCCATCGAGACTGAGGAATGCTGCCTCCTATTCCCTTTAAAATACCTCCAATGAGGTATGTCATTTGGCAGGAGTGTCAGGAGATGCTGGGGGACCGGGGCAGGGCCAGGTTATCAGCTTGAAATGGGTGGAGTAGGCACTTGGATCCCGGCCACCACCCTTGGAGGGGTCTTAGTCTTCTTTTTTCCATTGCCCAGCCAGTATTGTGAATCCTACTCAGGGGAGAGGGGTGTGTGTGTGTGTGTGTGTGTGCGTGCGTGTGTGTGTGTGTGTGTATGTGTGAAATCCTCCATGCCATATTTAGGGTGGGGGCCTGTGACGGAGCATTCTGAAGTTGCTTCAGAAGAAAGGAGCAGAATAGATGAGGATGAGAGGAGACCGAAGGCTCAGATCACAGGCTGAGCTTTGGGACTGCTGGGGGCCAACAGAAACTTCTCTTTTCATTCTGAACTTCTCTCCTGAGAATCCCCAAGGGGAGACCTGGGAGGAGGGTGATTGTTGGTGTTTAGGAGTTGCGGAGATGTCCCATAAAATCATGGCAGAAACCCTTACTCTTATATCCCTGGCTTTATTATCCAGCCTCTCACAAATGCCAAGGTTGCAAAGCTATCTATCTCTCTTAAACAAAACAAAGTTATGAACACTTGAAAGCCCAGGTATTCCCTGGAACTCGGGTCAGTCTTTGGCACAGCCGCACTGACCCAGCCTGACTCTGGCTAATGATTCTCCCAATGTCTGGACTCTCTGTTCCATTCTACCTGCCTGATAGAGCAGAATATTCACCTTGAGAAGGATTCTGCTGGCTGAACCGGGGAACCCAGCCCTCGCTTGGTCTCAACAGCACCTTCCAAACACCAAGGGTTGTATGCATTTGAGCTCTCGTGTACGGCCACGTTTAACTTTCTTTGCCATGAGCGCCCAGCTTCTCATGAACACCTGTTCATCCTTTCTCCCTTAGAGATGTCCCAGTTTAAAACTTGTCATTTCAAGATGGAGAGATAAAGGGATTCACCAAGGGTTACACAGCTCAGGCAGTGACAGTCAGGACCGCAAGTCAGTTTCTTTTGGTACTTTGGAAAATCTTGGGTGCGCTGGCCAGCAGAACCCTCCTTGAGCCAGTTATCTACCCTGTCTTACCTAAGGGTGGTCCTGTCTCCCATTCCAGATAGCATAATATCATGTATACGAGAGCCTTAGAGAACATAGTGTCTCATTTATGCAGGCCATTTACTTATTGCGATTGGGCTTCTCCCAGAGCTGTGGGACTGGAAATACTATGGGCTGCATACCCTGTAGGCTGTGGCCAGGAGCTGTCCTCCTGGAGCTCATCAGCTTGATGAAGTGAAATTATTCTATAATCATGATAATGACTGTGACTTGAGCACCTGCTATGTGCCAGGTACTTCATATAGTTTCTTGTTTAAGCTATCATATGAGGATGAATAGCTACATTTTCAGGAGGGAAGTGAGGCTGCGAAGTTGATGCTGGTACCGTACCGGTAGAACCTTAAAGCCGTCTCTGGATTTGAGCTGTTGCTGTTGCCAGGCTGGAGTGCAGTGGTGCGATCTCGGCTCACCACAACCTCTGCCTCCGGGGTTCTAGCGATTCTCCTGCCCCAGGCTCCCGAGTAGCTGGGATTACAGGCATGTGCCACCATGCCCGGCTAATTTTGTATTTTTAGTAGAGATGGGGCTTCTTCATGTTGGTCAGGCTGGTCTCCAACTCCAGACCTCAGGTGATCCGCCCGCCTCGGCCTGCCAAAGTGCTGGGTAATTACAGGCATGAGCCACCGCACCCGGCCCGGGACTTCATTTTGAGGGGGCCTGACCGTTAACCTCCGAGAGATCTCTCAGTTGGCAAAGCATGTCTGGAAGGAAGTCTGGTTCATCACAGCAGGGACTGACATTCCTGTAGTAAGAGAGATTTTGTGCCCTTGTGCTGACTACCACAATACCATGATTGCTCAGTCATAGAAGTTGCCAGGAGAAGAAAGAGATTAGAAGCAATGGTAAGGTGAACCCCTGAGTCACTACTCTTAGACTTCAGGAATATTTGTAATTTTTTTTGGAGACAGAGTATCACTCCGTCACCCAGGCTGGGGTTACAGGCACAAGCTATTGCACCTGGCCTGTATTTTTAAAAAATCTGCAACAAATTTACTATCCTACTTGCATTTTATTTAAAATAATTCACTCATGTATTTTTAAAAACATAAATCATCTCAAACTGGTTTGCATTCCCTGGTTCCCTTCTGGGTAGGCAGTAGGAGGGTAATAATACCATTAAACATTGGCCATGAGTGATGATGGGAGCAGACGGTAGGGGTGTCATTTCCTTGATCTCCTCCTGGGGAAGAATGATCTGACCCCATCTTTACTGGTGTGTTTTGGCTGGAGAGGTAAGAATATTTTAAATTGCGTGATATATCTCTTGCATGCATTTGATGTTTGTGTGTGTCTTATACCTTGCTATTATTTTATCTCCTGATGACAATGATGATGTTGGTCTTAATGACAACTAGCATTTATTGGGCTATTATTGTATGCCAGACAGGGTATTAAACACTTTACATATATTATTTAAATTAATCATCCCTCAACCAACCCTGTGGCATAAACACTCTGAGCCCAGTTTTCTAGGTAAGAAACAGGCCCAGAAGAGATAATTCACTTCTTCAGGGTGGTAGCTAGACATGGTAGAACTGGGACTTGAACCAGAGTTTGTTTGATTCCAGAGAGCGTGCTCTTCACTACCTTACTGTGCAGCTTAATATTGAGTGCATGTGTGTGTTCTGGCTGTGGACAGTGTTTCTAAGCCTGTTGGATTACCCGCTGGTGCTAAAAGGGGTAACAAAAGAGCTTTCCAAGCCACTCTGGCTGAGAATTGAGTTGCAGGGATAAGGGACAAGGTAGACCTGTGTGCTCCCTGTGGGACTTGAGAGAGGGACTGCAGGATCCCAGTAAGAGACAAGGGCACCATGCAGCTTCCTAGTAGCATCACATTTATTAGGTAGGATAAGAAATGTTCCCTCAGCCATAGAGATGTCTCAGCATTTCCTCCTGACCCAGTCCAGGGTTTCCTCTTCTGCAGAGTGGATATTTAGCCACACATGAGGTGTCAGTCATTTGCCAGGTCACTGGTGGGACACTGGCTTTTGGAGATCTAAAAACCACCTGTCCTCCATCCCAGGTGACTCCCGTTGTTCTGTTGCTCAGCCCAGGAGAATTCCCTGGTGTCTTTCTCCATCCTATATTTATGTGGGGTCCTGTATCATTAGTTCATTCACCCTCCCATCTTGTAGTGAGTGAGGCCGAACTCTGAGGATCTTTCCCCACAGCCTTGTCAACCACAGCTACCCTTGAACCATATCCTGGACCTATCAATGGGGCTGGTTGTTTTCCTTTCAGCCAGGATTTGCTCACCTGCTTTCCCTTTTCCCTCTTCCCTGAATCTGTGTATCTTCCAGAAACTCTGGTTCTGGATCAGCTTTTTGTTTTGTTGACAAAGGAGAAAGAGCAAGAGAGAGAGCTAGAGAGAGAGAGAGAGAGAGCCTTCAAGCTCCTCTCTGGGAGTACACATCTCCTTGAGGGAAAGAACACACAGTGCCGGCCTTTGGAATTGGCAGCCAGTGTGCTGTTCTCCGTCTGATAAGAGGTACTGTAAATAAAACTGTACACCATGGCCTGTTGTAAAATGCCCTGCGTCTGTACTCATTGTTCTGACAGCTTATGCTTTTTTTGGGTCTGCTGTTTTGGTACACTCTGTACTTCCTTATGTAAGCAGGCGTGCAGATCTCATCAGAACATTCAAGATGTTTATTTTAAAATCTCAAGGAATTTTGAAAAAAAGGACACACCACTCAACATTAGATGCTGGCAAACATTAGGTGTTTTTTCAGTGGTTCTTTTTTTTCTCCCTTCTTATTATTAGCATGGGGGTGGGAGAGGCTTTGGAGAGGGAGGGATTTGAATTTTTTTTTTCTTCCCTCATTGGCTTCTGCCTTATTTCCTTCAGAGAGACACCACCCCATATCTGATTGCATTCAGTGTCTTCTGCTTCCTTCCTGGATGCCGGGACCCCCTCAGCCTCATTTCTGGTTAGGGCAGGTAGGGAGGGAGGTTCTTTGACAAGGGGGAGAGGGCAGCTGCAGGGAGCTTGTCATGGCTTCCACTGGATTTCAGCTTTATTGTCATTGGGATCCTGGGCATTTAGAGAAAGCTTTATGTTTTTGAAAGTGCCCTGCTGGCTGTTCCCTCCTTTGATTCCTGTGAGTTGGGGTGATCCTTGGCACAGAGGGAGAGCTGCTCCCACACACGGAGGCCTCAGTCCCGCCTCTGGCATGTGCGTCCTGTCTTTCCACCGAACTTTAACTGGCTTTGAACCTTCCTCCTTCCTTTATCCCCAACCTTCTGGAGGTGTCGGGAAGTCAGGGAAAAAGGGGAGAAGAGTAGGAGTCTGGAGAACCCAAAATGGTCAGGGAGCTCCCTACAGGGTGGTGCTTAGAACATCCCGAAGCCCTCATCTGCAGGGTACCTGGGAGACTGGTAGGGGCAAGGATGTCCGCCTGTCTCTTTCACAACTGGGTACCTGGAATCTCAGATAAACTCAGTGCCTGGGGTAGGGAGTAGTCACTCGGCAGATCACTGCCTGGGGGGCAGGAGGCTCACTGACTGTAGCGGAGGGAAGGGTTGTTTGTTGGCTGCCACAGTGAGCATTGGACTGGGTTGGGAGCAGACATGCTGATGAGAGGGAGATCTCACACCAGAAGAAGCAGACAGCCCCACTTCCTAACCTTTCCTCCCTTTTCCTCTCAACTACCTGAGACCTAGCCAGAGACCATGTCCTTGAGTTTTAAATAGGGGGTAGTAGAGAACGGAGTGTGCAGAATAAGGACTCTGCCACCCCCTAGGGGACAGACAGCTTGGCAGTGCCCTGAGTGGCCATTGCGCCCTTCCCAGGTGAGTTCTGCACCCAGGAACCTGCCTGGGACTTTCTTTGTTTAACAAGCATTTAGTGGGCACAGACTGTATGCCAGGCATGGCGCAGGGTATCAGGGATATGGTAAAGCCCAAGACAGGTGGGAACCTGCTCTCACAGAGCTTACAGTCCACTGGGAAGATGGAAGAGAGCTCCAAATACAGGACAGTTGAATGGGGCTCCAGGGGCTTGTCCAGAGAAGATTTCAGAGCCAGGTTGGTGAATAGCTGCTGATACTGACATATTGGTTCGATGGCAGATTTTTCTGCTCCCCTCAACAAAACAATCACTCATCTTTAAATTAGAGGAACAAGGTGGGGTGTGCATGTGTGCGTTCATGTATGTGCACGTGTGGTACTGTGTGTCTTTATGAATGTGAGACTCACTTTACACAAGATAAATGGCCCCCAAATAACTGTACATCCAATTCCAGTAAAATCAGTCATACTTTAATTGCATGAAGGGAGCTCTTTCTTTAAAGGAAAAGTGACTGGAGAAGATGGTAGCTGCGACTTACTGGTTCTGTATATCTACCCACCAGCTGTAGGATGGAGCACTTTCCCCACCTTGTCGCAACTCTCCAAGGGACCTCCCCTTACTGCTTCCATTTTACAGCTGAGGCAACAGGCTCCCTGAGACTGGCAGCTTGCTGAGGGTCACAGCTGGCGACTAGCTTGCCTGGGATTTGACCTCTGATCTGTCTGACCCAAATGTTGAGTTCTTAACCACACTGCACTGCCTCCTGAGGTATAAATGGCACCAAGGACCTCTGCTATCCACAGAATGTTTTGTGATTGACAAGGAGTTTTGTATTCACTTATGTCTATTATCCTGTTTGCTCCTCACAGCAGCCTCAGGGAGGCAGACAGATAGGCTTATGCCCATTTTACAGATTGGGAAATCAGTTCATCAAGGTGTGATGACTAGTGTGATGCCCACAGCTGTGAGTGGCCAAGTTAGGCGTGGGATCTCGTGCCTGCACCTCTAGATCCTGCTATTTTTCTCGGTTTGCTTGGATCTGTGATTGCTGTGGTTAGCAAGGGTCTAGCGCACTTTATCTTCTGCTATTCTCCCTCTGCTATTTAATTTCTTTCCCGCAATCTATCCCTTAACTTCCCCCAGCCCCGCATCTCCCACCTCCATGTCACTCCATCCCGTGCAGCTGGCCTCCTTGCTCCTCTTGCCTTGCCTGGCGAGGGTGTTCTCACGTGGTGGCCTTGCTCTATGCAGATGTCAGTGCATCAGCAAGGGCCTCCCTGACTACGCTGTGTAAAAGAACAGCCCCTGGCACTCTCTGTTTATCTTTACTCAATGCTTTGTTGTTGTTATTGTTGTTGTTTTGAGACAGGGTTTCACTCCTGTTTCCCAGGCTGGAGTGCAATGGTGTGATCTCAGCTCACTGCAACCTCTGCCTTCCGGGCTCAAGCTATTCTCCTGCCTCAGCTTCCTGAGTAGCTGGGATTTTAAATCAGCCACCATGCCTGGCCAATTTTTGTATTTTTAGTAGAGATGGGGTTTCACCATGTTGGCCAGCTTAGTCTTGAACTCCTGAGCTCAAGTGATCTACCCATCCCGGCCTCCCAAAGTGCTGGGATTACAGGCGTGAGCCATTGTGTCCGGCCCTCTTCATTTAATTTATTTCTCTTTTTATCACTTATCACCACCTGGCCTGTTTTGTATTTACTCGCTCTTTAAAAATCTGCCCTCCCATCTTGAACATAAACTCCCTGAGGGCAGGGATTTCGTCTCTTTTGTTTATTTCCTGTAATCCACCTCTCGGCATATAGCTACTGGACATTCAAAAACCAGCCCCCGTGTGTAGGAAGGATATGGCAAGTCATGGCCATCCCAGAGCTGTGTCCCTGGAGTTCTCCCTACTCCAGGTTGAGCCCCAGGAAATTTTGTGGGTGTAAATGCTGCTGCTAGGTCCATGCGCACCCGCTGTGTTCAGCTGGCGTGACCTTCTTCCCTCCCACTTCGCCCCCTCCCATTGATGCTTTATAAATGTATTAGTGGCTGCATGATGTCACCGTAATGCATTTTGGGAATAGCCATGTGGTTTATACACACTTGAGTTGCTTTGAATGCAAACCTGACATCATACTGAAGGCAGCAGTGAACAACATATGCACAGTAAACAGGCAGAGACTGTCTTATTGATTAACAGATGAGGCCTCTATTATCGATCAAAGCTTGGCGAGGAAATTTATCACTTTTAATTTCAGGGCTGCCAAATATTTCTGCCTCTGAGCCAGCCATTACAGAGACCATTTAAAGGCACAAGCCTCCTCAGGAGAGAGGATTTTGTCTGTCTCGCTCGGCTCCGCTCACGTGTCCATGGAACTGCCTGTCTTTGCTCTCACCCTGGAGAGCTGGGGGGGAAGTCAGAGCCTGTCCGGGTGGGCGTGGGAGTACTGGGGCTTCGTGAGTGGGGGCTAGCAATGGGAGCTGACGTTTGTGTTATCCACGTGTAAGGAGGGACCTGGCCCAGAGTCACTGAGGACAGGGGCTTTCACATGCTCAGCTCAGTGTCGTGACTTCAGCGAGGTGGGGGTGGAGTGGCGGGACTTTGAAGGCAAGCAGATGTGGTCAGGCTTGGGCCGAGGCAGCCGCCTTTACTGATCATGTGTGCTTATCTGTCTTCATCTTCCTCTGCACTTGTCTGATGGTACACATCCGGCCCTTTATTTCCTACCTGGCCTCCTTCCTTTCTCTCTGCTTCTCAGTCATTAAAGCGAGAAGCTCCTCTAGCCCACAGTGATGGCTGTTTTCTAAGAACCCTCCGCGCCACATCCCTTGGAAGCCTGTGGCATGGTGGGCTTCTCGCCGATTGGAGTGCCCTCCCCTTCCCAGCTGGTGCTTCCCTCCTCGGGCCTTTGCTTCCCCTTTCTCCTTTAGGGAGCTGTGAGAGCGGATAGAACCCAAGGAAGAAATACAATTAAAATCAGATTCCTTACAGATCCACAGAAAATCATTGATGGCTGATGATTTGGGACTGGGGGCAGTTTCTAATTGTGAGGGAGCTGTGACTTCATCCAGCCGCAGCTTTCCCATCCAGGCCCACTCTGCTCTTGGAGGTGCTTTCTGCATTTCCAGTGTAAATGGATGAAAGGTAGTCTTGGCTGCTACCCCTGTGAACACATGTCATGACTGCTTTGCTGTCACTGGGGGCTAGAAGTTTTCTTGGCTCTTTCTTCAAAGCTCTCTTAAGCCGTGTACCAGGTGCTTGGCCTGAGGATGCCCTGTGGCGTGAAGGGACACCCAGAGGTCACCATGGGATTCTCCCTGCCTCCAGGTGAAATTCAACCCCAGCCACCTAAGGCAAATGACAATATTTATTTTTAAAGCTCTTCAGTAAAAGTGAGTTCATATCTTCCATGGGGTACTTTATCACCCACTTATCCAGCCAGTCGACTCACATTTATTGAGCACCTACTAGAGTATATCCTGCTCATCAGTAGAAGATAGGTGTCAGTGAGATAGAGAAAGTCGATACCCCCAGAGGACCCCACATTCTAGACCTCCTCTAGGGTCCTCATATTCTTCACTGCAAGAAGCATTCATTGGTATTGAAGTCTGTGCTGGAACAGCTTGTATTTGGAGTTACATTCCTTCAGTATGTGCTGATTCTCCAAGGCAGAGGTTTTCAAATTTCTAGAAAAGTAGTGGAGTCATTTTTCCAACCCCAAAGCCCTGATGTGTAAAATAGGTAAATTGAATTTTCATTCAGAGATGGGAGCTCAGACCCCACCCATGGAGTCTTATCCACAAAACATCTTTGCAGATGGAACCCCAGGGAGGCCGAAGGGTACGGGGATTACTCTGAAATCAGGCTCTGAAATCAGGCTGCCTGTGTTTGAATTCACCTTTACTATGTCAACCACTGTGTGGCATTGGGCAAAGTGCTTAACCTCTCTGAGCTTGAATTTACTCATCTGCTACCTGGAGGTAATGCTAGCATGTACTATAAATGGTGGTTGTTGGGACAAACCATACATACTAAGCATTTAGTGTCATGCCTGGCATATAGTCAAGCCTCAGGAAATCTGAGGTGATTTGAAACAGCACTGTGGGCTACAAATTTGTGTAACAAGTAGTTCTGGCTCGTACGAGGCTCCAATACAAAACTAAAACACAGGCATATTTAAAGAAGAGCTAAGATGACCAGACACAGTGGCTCACACCTGGAATCCCCCAGCACTTTGGGAGACCAAGGTGGGAGGATCGCTTGAGCCCAGGAGCTCAAGACCAACCTGGGAAACACAGTGAGACCTCATCTCTTTAAAATAAATAAATAAATAAAATAAAATAAAATAAACAAAAAAACAGAATTAGTCAGGCATGGTGGCGTGCACCTGTTGTCCCAGCTACTCAGGAGGCTGAGGTGGGAGGATCGCTTGAAACTAGGAGGTTGAGGCTGCCATTAAGCTATGACTGCACCACTGTACTCCAGCCTTGGTGACAGACAGAGACCCTATCTCAAAAACAATGACAACAACAACAAAGCGCTAAGACGTGTTGAAAGGAACAGAGTGCAGTGGCAGATTGGAAAGGACAGAAGAGTAAGGGACTTGAGTGCTTGATGTCCACAAACTGTGGCCTTGAAAATGAAGTGGGATTCGAACAGATGGAAGAATGGGACTGAGCATTGCTCAGGCACAGAGACTCTGGGAAGGTAAGTGGTGCCCAGAGAGGGCCGGTGAGGACAGCTTACCTATGGAGGTGGGTGGCTAACTGGGACAGGTTATGGAAGGCCTTGAAGCCAAGTAGAGGAATTTAGAATCAGTACACATTGGGAGGCGTTGTATCTTCTTGAGTAAGAACGTGTGAGGAATCAGGTGGCTGTAGAGGAACCTGCATCTGTTGAGTAGATTGCGGGTGGCTGGTGGTGTGGAAACCACCTTGCGTCTTACAGTGTTCTGAGTGTGACGCAGCAAGGGCCTGAATGGGGTGGTGATTGCAGTGGAATCACTGCACCCAACGCAGTGGAAGAATGCATCTACCAGACATCTTGAAGGAAAAATGCCAAGACTTGTGACAGCTGACCCCTGGATCAGATAATATAGTAGAGCCATGAAGACTATTAGCCAGTGATAAAAAGTACTGTTTCATCTTGACATGGTGGCATTATCACTTTAAGCCTTCTAAATAACAGTTCTGAGAAAGTTTATTAAATTGAGTTGCACTGAATTAATTTTATTTATTCCACAAATATGTATAGTAATAGGTTTCCAGTGTGTGTCAGGCAGATGCAGCTGTGCACAAGACGACACAGTCCCTCCTCCAGGGAGCTTACGGTGTGGTGAGAGAGAAAGACAGGGCCATAGGCATTTAAAATGGAGCACATAAAGGGCCGAGAGCTGGAACATATCAGGTGCTATGGGAGCATAAAGGAGCATTGCCTCACCTACAGTTGGGGGCCCGGGTATTGAAGTTGATGTATGAATGACGAACAGGAGCTCCAACTGCACCATAGCAGCCAGAGAAGCATGGGAGAATGTCAGAGGCAGAGGACATGCAGAAGAATATGCACAGGCCTAGCAATGGGAAGAACACGGTTCCTCCAGGCAGCCCGCGTGGTTCAGTGTAGCTGGAGAAAAGAGAGCAAGAGTGAGGTGTGAGAGACGAAGCAGGAAAGAGGAGCACACCCAGAAATGCTTTGTGAGTCACAGTAAGGAGTTTGGACCTTGTTCTCCAGGCACAGGGGAGCCATTCAGGGGTTTTAAATGGTCAGATGCAGGTGGCAGTTGGGGGACAGACGATGAGTTTAGTTTTGGACACACTGAGTCAGAGGTCCCCATGGACATCCAGGTTGAGGTATGTCAGCAATTCTTACATTCCCATAAAGTACAGTTTAGGCAACAGGGCACATTTCCCTGTGTTGGTATCATTTTTCTCCTGTCCCCCCCATCACCTGGAGCTAGGTCTTCAGATCCTCCTTCTTCTTGAGGTATCTAACTTGGAACCCATTTCCGTTTATCTTGGTTGTTCTGATTTTGTTTCTCCTTCTCTCTAGAAGAGCCCTAGACAAGGGCATTCAGAATTCAGTTGGGTGAATGCTCACCTCTTGGAGGAGGGTCTGAGCCATGGATGATCCCTCACTCAGGATTTTTGCGGGTGTCCAGTCCCCTTCCCTAGTGTCTACCTGCACAGTTGTGGCCCAGGACCTCCCCGCTCACCAGTGGACTATTGCTCTAGTGGTAACTGCCTCTCCTTTCTTTCAGCGGGTGCCAAAGCCTTTGTCTGTGATCAGTGCGGTGCACAGTTTTCGAAGGAGGATGCCCTGGAGACACACAGGCAGACCCATACTGGTGAGTTGACTTGGATTCCTGTTCTCCAGGTTTTCCACAGTGTTGGTAGCACATGGACATGAACTGTCTGGGTGGCAACCTCTTTTTAGCAAATGTGACATCCAGTAATTTCCTGGGCGAGCTGTGAGTAGGATGGGCTTCTGCCACGTTCAGCTACTCTTGTCTGTGTGGCTGGCCCAGCAGAAGTTTACAAGTATGACATGGCCCCATGAGAATGGCTGTCCTAGATTAGGCCAAGATCTGTCTCTAACCAGCCACTGAGAGCTCATGTTCTTGGAGGTATCTAGTATGCTCTTGTTGAGGCCTTAGTCTGTGTTGTTATCAAAACATCTTCTTCCCTTGGTCAGGAAATCTCTCACACCCATCTGATGAAACTGAAACCCTCGTGTGGCCACAGTTGGCTGGTCCTCCCTCTGCGAGAGCTGAGACATTGTCTAAAATCAGCGTGTACGCAGGATGCATTTGAACAATATTAACTCACGATGATAGAGCTTTATTTGATTTCAAAGGGATTGATTTCACCGCACCAAAGTCATCTGATCATTGTGATCAGAGTCGTTGTCATCACATCATCACAGCAGCTCACACTTAACACTCACAGTGAGGCAGGCACTGTTCTCAGTGCTTTATGTCAGGGGTCCCCAACCCTGGGATCATGGACTGGTGTCTGTGGTGGTCTGTTAGGAACCAGGCTGCATGGCAAGAGGCAAGCGGTGGGCAGGCAAGTGAAACTTCATCTGTATTTACTGCTGTTCCTCATTGCTCGTATTACCACCTGAGCTCCTCCTCATGTCAGAGCAGCAGCAGCAGCAGCAGCATTAGATTCTCATAGGAGCACAAATCCTATTGTGAACTGTGCATGCAAGGGATCAAGGTTGCATGCTCCTTATGAGAATCTAATGCCTGATGATCTGTCACTGTCTCTTGTCAACCCCAGATGGGACCATCTAGTTGCAGGAAAACAAGCTCAGGGCTCCCACTAATTCTACATTATGTGAGTTGTATAATTAGTTCATTATATATTATAATGTAATAATAGAAATAAAGTACACAATAAATGTAATGTGCTTAAATCATCCCAGGACCACCCTCCTGTACTCCGCTGTATGTGAAAAGGTTGTCTTCCATAAAACTGGTCCCTGGTGCCTAAAAGGTTGGGGACCACTGCTTTACGTGATCCCATCTGGCCAATCTCTCAGTAACCCTGTAAGGTAAGGTTGGAAGCTACTCTTATGTCATAGATGAGGAAACTGAGGCTGAAAGGAGGGAAAGTGACTTGCTGGAGTTGGTAGTGGGGACAGGCGTGGTAGAGTCTTATAGTTCAGAGCTGAGACTGCATGGGTTTAATCCTGACTCTGCCACTTCCTATTTGTGGGGCCATGGATAAATTATTTAAACTCTCTTAATTTAGATTTCTCATCTGTTAGAAAAGTGGAGTAATATTAGTGTCTACCTCATAGCATTAGGGTTGTTGTGGGGATGAAATAAGGTATTTTATTTGAAGTATTTCATGGAGTGTTTGGCTCATAGTAAGCACTCAATAAATAGTAGTAGGTATATTTAATGTAATAGATATTTATTGAGTTTCTACAAGGTGCTGGCACTGTTTAGGCATTTAAGATGTAGTAATGCATGAGACAGACGACATTGCTGCCTCTCATGGAACTGAGCTTCTAGCTGGGAGACAGAATCAGCAAATAAATATACGATATCATGTCTGCTTATACATATTAAGTGCTACTGGAAAAGGATAAGGAGTAGAGAATAATAGGGAGAAAAGAAATATTGTGGATATTTAGGGAGAAATGTTGTGGATAAAATGGTTAGGGAAGGCCTCTCCAAGAAGGTGGTATCTGGGCAGAGTCTTAAAAAGTGAAGGAGTGAGCCACTCAAAAATTTCTGGGAAGAATGTCTAAGCAAAGGGAGTGAGCATTTGCAGAAGCCCTGAGGCTGGATCAAGCCTGACAAGTTTAAGGACCCACACGCAGAGCAGTGGTGGCCAGAGAGCTGGGAGTGACGTGTAGAGAGTGGTGAGGGATGAGGACAGGATCTGTCAAGTCTCTCAGCCCTGGTAAAAGATTTGGGTTTTACTCTGCATGTGCTGAGTCCTTTGGAGGGTGACAAAATATTTGCAAATCATATATTTGATGAGGAACTTATAGCTAGAAATAGAAAGAGGTCTTATAATTCAAAAAACATAAACAAATAATCAAATTAAATAATGGGCAAAGGTTCTGAACAGACATGTCTCCAAAGATAGACAAATAGCCAATGAGCACATGAAAAAGATGCTCAACTGCATTCACCATCAGAGAGATGCAAATCAAAACCACAGTGAGATACTGCTTCACACCCACTACAATGTGGCTACAATAAAAAATACAGATAGTTACAAGTGTTATCAAAGATGTGGAAAAACCAGAACTCTCATGGGAGTGTAAAATGGTGTAGCCACTTTGGAAAACATTCTGGCAATTCCTCAAGAGGTTAGCTGAGGCAGGCAGATCATGAGGTCAGGAGATCGAGACCATCCTGGCCAACATGGTGAAACCCCGTCTCTACTAAAAAAATAGAAAAATTAGCTGGGCGTGGTGGCATGTGCTTGTAATCTCAGCTACTTGGGAGGCTGAGGCAGGAGAATCACTTGAACCAGGGAGTCGGAAGTTGCAGTGAGCTGAGATTGAGCCACTGCACTCCAGCCTGGCGTCAGAGTGAGACCCCGTCTCAAAAAAAAAAAAAAAAGGTTAAACACAGAATTATCATACGATGCAGCAGTTCTTCTTTTAGGTATACAGCCAAGAGAAGTGAGAATATATGTTCACACAAGAACCTGTACGTGAATGTTTATAGCAGCATTATTCATAATAGCCAAAAAATGGAAACAACCCAATGTCTATCAACTGGTGAATGGATAAACAAAGTGTGGTATATTCATACCATGGTATACTATTTGGCCTTAAAAAGGAATGAAGTACTGATACATACTACAACACAGATGAACTTGAACATGCTCCATGAAAGAAGCCAGATGCAAAATGATTCTGTTCATGTAAAATATCTAGAATAGGCAAATCTATAGAGACAGAAAGTAAATTAGTAGGTGCCAGGGGCTGGGGAAGTTGCGAGGAAATTGAGAGCGACTGCCGATGGAGCTGGAGTTTCTTCATGGAGTGATGAAAATGTTCTAAAATTGATTGTGGTGATGACTGCACAGCTTCGAATACTGAGGCTCCTCGACTTACAATGGGACTGTGTCCTGATAAACCCATCATAAGTAGAAAAGATAATAAACTGAAAATGCATTTAATCCAACTAACCTACTGAACATCATAGCTTAGCCTAGCCTACCTTAAATGTGCTCAGAACACTTACATTAGCCAACAGTTGGGTAAAATCATCTAATATAAAACCTATTTTATAATAAAATTGTTGAAGATCTCATGGAATTTATTATATCCTGTACATGACTTCAAAACTGTGATGGTTTCCCACAATTATAAACTTGAAAAATCCTAAGTCGGGGACCATTCTGTGTATTAGTTGAACTGTACACTTTAAAAGACATGAATTTTATATTAAATGGTATGTGTATTAGGTCTCTGAAAAGCGGCATGGGTGTGTACATGTATATAAATGAGCTCTGCCAGTGTCAGTAAGAGTCACTGGCATCACTCATGCCACCTCTCTCTCATACACACACACACACACACACACACACACATATATATACACACATGTGTATACATACACACACAAACAGAGTGACGTGCCATGTATTAAGCCGTTCTTGCATTGCTGTAAAGAAATGCATGAGACTGGGTAATTTACAAAGAGGTTTAATTGGCTCACAGTTCTGCAGGCTTTCCAGGAAGCATGATGCTGGCATCTGCTCAGGCTCTGGGGAGGCCTCAGGAAGCTTACAATCATGGTGGAAGGCAAAGGGGGTGCAGGCATGTCACGTGGCCAGAGCAGGAGCTAGAGAGAGAGAGTTGGGTGAGGGAGAAGCAGCTGCACACTTTTAAATGACCAGTTATCTAAGAGAACTCACTCATTGTCATGAGAATAGCACCAAGAGGTTGGTGCTAAACCATTCAGGAGAAATCCACCCCCATGATCCAATCACCTCCCACCAGGCCTCACCTCCAGCATTGGGGATTACAGTTCAACATGAGATTTGGACAGGACAAATATCCAAACTATATTACACCATATAATAATAACATTTTGGTCAACAATGGATTGCATATATGACAGTGGTCTCATAAGATTATAATACCGTATTTTTACTGTGCCTTTTCTACATTTAGATGTGTTTAGATATGTAAATACTTACCACTGTGTTATAATTGCCTGCAGTGTTTAGTACAGTAGCATGCTGTAAAGGTTTGAAGTCTAGGAACAATTGGCTGTCCCATATAGCCTAGGTGTGTAGAAGGCCGTACCATCTAGGCTTATGTAAGTGTGCTCTAGGATGTAGCCTAGAAGCTACCCACTAGGAAGTGGAGAGCTGGAACTTGACCCAACTCACGTGCTCTTTCCACGACTCCCCAGCTGCCTGCACATTGACTGAGTGTTGTCCGTGGGCTAAAAGGCTCAGGATCATTTAGCTCACTGCCTTGTCATGGGCAGGGCTCTTTTGGCTCGCTGTGCCCTATTTAAGACAAAATTGTCTAATGAAACATTTCTCAGAACATATCCTTATCACTAAGTGACATTTGACTATACACACATGCATGCACGCACATATACACACACACGCATACGTAGCTTTACTGAGATATAATACATATACACACACAGATGTGCATTTATAGGGAAGGGGGAAAAGTAGTCCATTGGAGGGTTTTGACTGGGAGAATGACATGACTTGATTTATGTGTTTAAAAGATTATTCTGGCTCTTGTGTTGCGGACTGACCATAGAGAGTGTTGTCATGTAACAAACCACTCCAATAGTAGCTTAAAACAATAAAGTGTTATTGTCTCTGACAGTTCTTTGGATAACTGGGCTCAGCTGGGTGGTTTTCACTTGGGGTCTCATGTGGTTTCCATCAGGTAATGGCTGGAGCTGGTGTCATCTGAAGACTCGACTGGGCTGGATGTCCAAGATGGCTCCTTCACTCAATTATCTGAGTCTCAGTGTTCCTTTGCATGGCTTCTCTCTTCAGCAGAGTAACCTGGACTTGCTGTGTGACAGCTCAGGTTTCCAGGAGTCAGGACACAGGAACTGCCAGCCCTCTTAAAAGCTAGGCTGGAAGTACACAGCATTACTTCTACCATATTTCATCAATCAGATAGTCACAGGTCAGCCCCAGATAGAAGGCGGTGGAAGGCTGGACTCTCCTTCTCAGTAGGGAAGTGACAGAAACCTATAGGGAAGGAGGAATTGATGGCAGTCATCTTTGGAAACAAGCTACCACAGGGGACTAAAGTGGAAGAAGGAAGAACACCAGTCAGCTGCTGTTAAGATTATTGTCATCAGTATTTCAGCGTTCTTGTCCTTGCCTTTTCTGAGTGGAAAACATGCCTCCTGACTGGCATCTTGAGCTTTGGTCTGGAGGGGCCTTGCCCTGTCATGATGGGAGGGGAGCTTTACAGGTGAGCTGTCATTCCAGTCAGCATCTCCCTAGCTCAGTTATAGAGAAAGTGACCTGGCTAGGTTATTTTGCCCAGGGTTCCAGAGGTGGTTGTCATGAAAGCAAGGGGAGAACCGGGTCTCCCAGGGTCCCAGCCATTTTCTTATTGCTAGACCGCATGTAACTGAGAATCCCACTCTGAGAGTTCTAATCTGGGGGAATGAGCTGTGAGCCAGCTTTGCCAAGCAGCTTAATTCTGTCCATCCAGATTAAATTTGCAGCAGCAGGGAGCCAGCTGCCCTCTCAGCCAGGGGCAGGGGAGTAAGCTGAGTCCCCGAGGGATGAGCAGCTGTGGAGGCTGTTCCTAGGCGGACCCCAGACATATGGAGCACCCCCTGTGTGCCTGGCACCTGCTGGGGATATGATGGTGACCAACTCAGGCACATGCCCTGTTCTTGAAATAAGCTGAAGGTCTGAATGTGGTGGTCTGGGCCTTTTGTTTTTTCCCCAGAGATCTTGTGGATGGGGCTCCTCAGCTGGAGGAGGGAGAGGTCAGCTACCGAGTGCCCCCTGCTGATGTTGAGGTAAAATGTGGCTTGCTCAATAGGCCACATGTGGTGTGCTCAATAAAGATTGAGTAAACTGAGCTCTTGAAAGGATGGGGAATGGAGAAAATGAATCCAAATTAGGGGTGAGAGACCAAGGTGGATGCTTTGAGAAGGGCTCCCTGCCAGCCTTAGTGTGAGCTGTGGGCGAGCTCCCCCAGCAGGGAAGAGCCACTTCCTTGTGTGGGGCAGGTGTCGTGCTCAGTGCCGAGGGGAGATACAACAGCAGTTTTACCCTCAGGATAGGGCTGGCAAAGAGGGGTCCTGTGTGACCATGGTGACTCTTTCCGACATGTGGCAGAGCTCATTCATCACTCACAGCGCTACTTCCTGCTGAACTCAGGTGGATTTTTAGTTCCCCTAATAATCAATGAGAGAATACAGTCTGAAATCTATTTGCCCTCTCTGTTCCAGGAAAGGGGTCCCAGGAGGAAGGGAGTTGCCTGATGACAGGGAGCGCTGAAAATGTCACTAAAGCTATTGGAGTGGGAAAAGCCAGGTGGGAGACCAGGTACCGTTGGGAAGCCAACGGGAGAGTAGGTAGGGAAGAGCTCTGAAAAAGAGAAGGAATGGAGACCCTGGGACAGTAAAAATACTGCCAGTGCCACTTGATATTTTTGCTACCTTAGTTTATAAAACAATTTCCTTGATTACACCCATTTAACAGATGAGACCATGGAGGCCTAGACACTACCCACTAGGAAGTAGAGAACTGGAACTTGACCCAACTCCAACTCAAGTGTTCTTTCTACTACTCCCTGGCTGCCTCCGCACTGACTGAGTGTTGTCCAGTAGTCTGTAGGCTGATTGGTTCCGGGTGATCCTGTTTAGAGGTCATTGAGTTCATGGCCCTGCCTGGGAAGAGCTCTTTTGGAACCCTGTGCTCCATTGCACTAAGAAGCCGCAACACCCTGATGTGTACATCCTCCTCCTGGAGTAGGATACAGTTTGCCTGAATCAGATCAGTTTCATATCCAAGGCTGCCATGTGGGAGTTCATGGAGCTCACGTGTGGCTTTGCATAGGGCAGGTGGTTATGGTGTTGTACAGGTATTCTTGAAACTGGAAAATGAATTTAATGGAAACTATTTCCAATTCCAGCCTATCCAAGAGAATGGCATGTTCACATCTCACCCTTTTGACCCTATTTGACCTGGATTTCTGTCCTGGTGTGTGTGACCCCTCCTTGCCCCCTGCCCTCAAGATCTTGACGGGCTCAAGCTGGTGTTCTAGGAGGCCACGCTTATGGTTGGGCTGGGCTCAGGCTTTGTTGTCACATTCAGTTTTCTGTTTTGGTACAACGAAGGCTTTGAGGAGATAAACAGAGATCATTTTACACCTTTTATATTATGACAAATACATATTGCAAAACACTGCTGCTTCCAAAATGTTTGGGTTGCAGAGCAGTGAGGAATTAACAGCTAGGCAGTTCCCGAGATGCTTGTACTTCATTTACACATCAGAATTTTTTTTACACTGTTCAGTAAAATAAAAGTGAGAAAACACACATACGTGCACGTGCACACCCCCATGCACACCCAGTGCACCACCTGGCTTCTATATCAGGAATGTCTTAAATTAGTAAGTAGTTCTTTAAGTCCAGATAAACTGATAAATACCATTAATGGCTTAATTTATTCTCTGGGTTTGAAATTTGACACACGGACACTATCTTGGCTCAGGAAACACAAGTGGTTTTGTGCCAGAGGTTTTAATGACCGATCAGTAATATAAATTGCTGCATCACTGAGCAGAAATAGCTTCTCCATGTCATTTGATCTGGAAACTTCTCTGGCCAGGCAGCAGTTAATAAATTTAAAAATAATTACCCTCTTTATTCAAAGTCAAACTAATTAGGAGTGGGTTTTACAAATCATAATGTTGTTCAAGCCACTGTACATCCCCATTTGGGACTTGAACAGGCCTGGGGGCAACAGACAGGATCCGGTGGTGTTAATTAGAGGGCAGCGAGATAACTTGGCTGCTGAGCTCCAGGGTAGGAGGCCGGGCAGTCTTCAGCATGCCCTCGGGAGAAAATGGGAGGTCTGAGCAAAGAGGCCATGAGGGTGACCTGTAGGAACCTTCAACTCTTTCAGTCCATCTGTAGGGGACCCAGAGCAGCCACCTATTGGTAATGTGAACATGGGGGAGTTGGGGCCAGGGCTGGTCTGTGTGGGCCTGGCCAGAGAGACTGAGGGAGTCAGGGAGCAGGAAAGGGGGATGGGCAAATGACTGCCTGGGGACAAGAGACCTGCCTGAAGGCAGGGAAGTGGATGGGATGATCTCTAGAGGACATTACTTCCTAGGAAAGTTTGAGCCCTAACAGAGTGGTGCAGGTTTGTCATGCAGATTGCAGGGAAGAGGAACCCCATGAAGCCTAAAGTCAGAGTGTCAAGTGCAGGGTATTTGGTGCACAGTGACCCAGAACTTGGGATCTGGTGTCAGACTATCTAGATTCCAATTCCAGCCCCATCACAGATTGGATAATCTCAATATAGGCCTCGCATGGAGTAAGTGCTCAGGAAATGGAGGTGCCAGTTTCTCTCATCGCATCATCCTGGTCTTCCTCAGAGGCTTCTGAGAACATGGATTTCCCCCACTGGATAGGTTGACGGGGCCAAGTCAGTGAGGATGGTGTTGGAGGAATAGGAACAGTATACACCTGCTTTGCAAGGCCATGGTGAGGTCTTCCAGGATCCCTGACTATGTCCTCCGGCCAAGAGGACATTTGCAATGTGCCCACTGAGTTAACAGCCACTGGGGCCCTCTCAGTGCAGTTGAAAGAAGTGAGGGCAGATTGAAGCTCCACACTTTGAGCAATCTCAGGGAGCAGATTTGGTAGATCTTAAGGCCCTGAGGTCTGGAATGCCCAAAGCTTCCCAAAGGAACCATTCCCTGTTGGTGTCTAAACAGGTGATGTGTAAACCCAGGCCAGACAGGCCGCAAAACTGGAATCGAGACTAAGCAGGTGTACCAGCCTCCAGGAGCACCAGGCCTGTGCCCTTCCACGTCTTAAGAGGAGGCTTCAGTGACTGGTGCCCTCAAAGGCTCAGGAATTTTGGGTTCCTGGTAGGGTCCTGAACCATGTCTGCTATCACCAGGAACCTGGGTATTCCCTATCTCTTGACTTCTTCAAATAGAACCTTCCACCTCATCCTACCTTTTCGCCAGTAAGAAAAAAGAGGCAAGGTCATTCCTAGGTTTAGAAGTTCTGAGGCTGGGAAGCTTAAGGGCACCCTCTGCAGGCCCAGGGTACTAGGTTGAACTAGACCCTAGACTTACCCTGGAGGAATTCAGCTCTCTCCTCCAGCCCTCAACCTGCCCTGCAAGGTCTGCCAGGTTAGTGACTCAAGTTTGCTGTGAGAGTAGCCTGTGTAGCTGGCTTATCCTGTAGTTCCTTCATTTCCTCATTCTCTGAGTTTTTAAGTACCTACTGTATGCTAGGTGCTTTGTGGACTTAATACATAATAGTGAACAGAAATTGGGCCCTGCCTTCCTGAAGGTTACGGTGTTATGAAGGAAATGAGCATGTAGGTTGAACTTGCCTTAGGTACAGATAATTCAATAGCTGTACTCTTTTGGATACTTTTGAGTTATTATTTTTATTAAGTCTTCACTATAGTCCAAAAATATAGACCTTTTTTCCTCCCTAATCTTTGCCAGAGAAAACTGAGTCCCAGAAAGGTTAAGGAAGACCAATCTGGGGCAGGACTTGAATGTGTGCCTTGGGCTTCTGTACCCCAGAGCCCACATTTTAGCATTGTCTTCCCTCCCTGTGGGGGCCTGGGCATCAGCTCTCATGTGCGGATCAATGGATCAAAGCCCCTATTTGAAAAAGGGGGTCAGTTAAGAACACACAATCCAAACTAGAATTAGGGCCCACGAGTTCAGCCCAAGGTTCTCTCCACTGTGACTACAAAATAAGTACTTTCTTTTACTGGCCTAGAAAAGGTTGCTTAGTTTCCACATTACTGCGTCACAGGGGAAGCCACTCAACCAGATGCAAATGTTGAGATGCTGGTTCTCATCCACTGTGTTGTCGGCTGCAAGAGTCTTGCAGTCCAGAAACGGCATACCTCTGGCGGCTGAGGGTCCATGCTGTGGACTCTGCCCTTCCCTTCTAGCAGGGAGTGGGCATTGGAGGGAACCCCACCCAAAGGGTCCTCTTCGTTTCAGTGTGAAGGAGTCTAGGAGGCATATACTCTGTCTTCCCCCCACTCTCTGTTTCTCTCTCTTTGTCTCTCTCTCTCTCTTTGCACTGTGTGGCCTCCCCCTTTGGAGGTGCAGAACTGTCTCTCCAACCTTGGTGTTGGCTGCCTGCTTGCACTGGCCCCTCTCTCCTGATATGTTAATAATATTTGGAGGAAGCTTCAGAGACAGTCCCTGGCTCTGAACTTCAGAGTAGAAAATGAAGTCCTTGTTTGGAGAATTTTCTGTAGTGGGTGATCATGGTGGGGGCAGGGGGTGGGGTGGGAGTAGCAGGCAAGACAGAGGATTTATTTTATTTTAATTATTATTTTTGAGACAGAGTCTCGCTCTGTCGCCCAGGCTGGAGTGCAGAAGGCAGAGGATTTAAAAGGGTGAGCAGCAACGCTCCTTCCCTCAGGATAGCTGCTGGCCTTGCCCCCTCCTGCCCTGAGCTTGGCACGAGGGACAGTGCTGGGCACCAAGGAGTCCTGTAATGATAGGAAAACTGGCAACTGTTCTAGTTCCTGCTCTCAAGAACAGCCTCCCAGTGGCTGGTCCCAGAGGAGCTGGGAGGGGGCCAGATGATGACAAATAACTTAATCTACCTAAACTTTACATGAAAAAAAAAAAAAATCCAAACGAACCTCAAACCTCTGTCCAAGGTGGAGGGTATCGGGGAGGACAGGACAGTGAGTCATCAGAGGGACAGGCAGACTCCATGTGGTTTGCTGTGACCTCCCCATTGAAAACATAATAGCATTTGACTTTTATAAATATCAGAGGTGATTTGTATAGCATTTCACATTCTGTGCCAAGGAATTTAACATGAGAAAGCTCAGGCTGAAGAACGGCCGCGGAACGTCATAGGCACTTTGGGAGGAGGGTCATGTGCTGCTGTTTGTACAGTCAGTGCCCCAGCATAGATTTACTCTTGACCTAATTTCATGCTGTTACTATAAAGGCATGTTTGATGCCTAATATAGAGTTTTATTTTCCAAGCACAGGGGCTCTCGGCTGTGCTGGAGCTGCTTGCTGTAGAGTAGGGAGGAACAACCCAGCCGTCTCCTGCTGGCCCAGACCAGCTATTCTTTCTCTCCATTGTTCACCCTAGTGGCTCCCAGGGCCCCTCTGGCCACCTTCTGGAGGGGCCCCCGATACTCTTTTTTAAATTAATAAATTTCATTTTTTTAAGAGCAGCTTTAGGTTATAGCAAAATGGAATGGAGAGTATAGAGTTCCCACTGTACCCCCGTCCTCACACGCAAGTGCACAGCCTCCCCCACCATCAACATCCCACGCCACATGGGTGGTACATTTGTTACAATTGGTGAGTCTACGCTGGCACATCATTGTCACCCAGGGCCCACAGTTCACATGAGGGTTCACTCCTGGTGGTGTACAGTCTGTGGATTTGGACAGACATGTAAGGACACGCATTCACCATTTTTGTATCATACAGAATAGCCGCTTCACTGCCCTGAAAGTCCTTTGTGCTCTGCCCTTTCATCACCCCAGCACATTTTATATGAAGCATCACTGCCCTGGACAGTGATTTGAGGGGATCAGTGGTGTTTGGCTCTTTTGGGATTGGAGAAGGAGAATTTAAGCAAGGCAGGTTTGGATTAGAAAGGGCTGAAGCTCATTTCCTCCACAGACATCTTGAGTGTTTCTCGATGCCAGACATGGATGCTGGGTCCTGGGATAGGGATTTTGGACATGTATGCTGGGACCTGGGACCGGGATGCCAGACACGGATGCTGGGCCCCGGGACGGGGATGCCGGACATGGATGCCGGGCCCCGGGACGGGGATGACGGACATGGATGCCGCTGGGCCCAGGGACGGGGATGCCGGACATGGATGCCGCTGGGCCCAGGGACGGGGATGCCGGACATGGATGCCGCTGGGCCCCGGGATGGGGATGCCGGACATGGATGCCGCTGGGCCCCGGGACGGGGCTGCTGGACATGGATGCCGCTGGGCCCCGGGACGGGGATGCTGGACATGGATGCTGGGCCCCGGGATGGGGATGCCAGCCATGGATGCCGCTGGGCAGTGGGCAGGACACAGACCTTGCCCTTCCCCGGCCTCCCACCCTAGTGGAAATGTGATTGCAGATTACCATTGGGGATGTGGAGGCAGCATGGTGTTTGGAAGCAATAATGAATTAGGAGAAGGAGAACTAGGTTCTTATCCTGGCTCTGCTATGGACTTGCTTCATATGGGACAAATGGCTTCGTTTCCTTGCTTCTCTCAAAGGTAGTGTGTAGGAATTGGGCAAGAAAAGTACTGTTTGGGGGGTTCTGTGGTTCCAAGGACAGCCTAAGATTCTGATCTTGCATTGATGGTCTGTATTTTTCTCAACCTTAGTTTTTCACATTTGTAAACTACGATTAATAATCATAATGGTTGCTGTAAGAACTACATAAAACCATACATGTGGGGCCGGGCACGGTGGCTCACACCTGTAATCCCAGCACTTTGGGAGGCCGAGGTGGGCGGATCATGAGGTCAGGAGATCAAGACCATCCTGGCTAACATGGTGAAACCCTGTCTCTACTAAAAATACAAAAAATTAGCCGGGCTTGGTGGCGGGCACCTGTAGTCCCAGCTACTTGGGAGGCTGAGGCAGGAGAATGGTGTGAACCCGGGAGGCGGAGCTTGCAGTGAGAAGAGATCACGCCACTGCACTCCAGCCTGGGGGACAGAGCGAGACTCCGTCTCAAAAAAAAAAAAAGAAAAAAAGAAAAAAAAAATCATACATGTGAAGCCCTGAGCCCTGGGAAGGAGGACTGATGTATGCATAAGTGGTAGCTGCTTGCTACTGTTATTTTTAGAGGCCTGCAGTTTCTGTCCCTCACCAGTAGACAAGAATTCCTCCACTTTATTTAGTAGCTTATTCAGTAACAGTGTATTAAATACCTACTGTGTCTGAAGAAGGGATTAAAGATGAAGATCTTTTGCCTCTTAAAAACTGTTCTAGAAATTGGAGGGGAAGGATAGAGTCTGATCTTTGAGGACTATTATTCAGAACGTGGTCTGTGCCCAGCACTGTGGCTTTTTATGTATGGTCCAATATAGTCATCAGGACACCACTAAGGGGGGCTTCACTGTCTGCATCACTGATGAGGAATCACAGGCCCAGAGAGGCTTAAATAATATGACTCATCCAGTGGCAGGACTGGGATTCCAGGTTGGTGTTTTCTTGGGGTGATCTGGCAGGACTCACCGTCCTCACTGGTCTGAGTTGCCCCTTCACTCTCAGAATTGTCCCCACATCCGAGTCCTGAATAATCAACCTCAGTTCTTGATCTCAGGTTTCCACTCGTCTCCCCTCGTGCCCATGCTCAGCCCCTCAAGCTTCTCCTTTATCCCTCTCTCTCCCACTGTCCACTCCTGTGTTTCCTCTCTGACTTCTCACCCTTCTCCTTAGTGACGCCATGGCTGCCTGATGACAGAAAGGAGTTAATAAAAACCAATGTGTAACTGAAACTTGAAAGGCCATAAATTGCCTTGTTTTTTCTAGGATGTTGGTAGCATTTTGATTTAATAGTTGGACAAACACAAGGGCCTATTTTATTCAGAGTTTACAGGCCTCAAGGCTGTTATTCCTCCAAAGTTAATAGCATTGAAATTGCAGGGTTTGCTATAATTTGCCTATCGCTTTCTGCTCCACCATTGATGTTTACTGTCAGCGGGATGGAATCTCAATCCGACTCACTTAGATAACATGTCTGTTAAACATTTAGATAATTGTACCATCATTAACTTGTCACATTATTTTAGAGATTCAAAACAGAGGCAGGGTAAGTAGAGGTACCCAAAGGGAGTGGAGGTGGGAGGAGGGGGAGGAGGAGGAGGAGGAAGAGACAACCTCTTCTGAGTTAGACAGCCAGGAGAGGAGAAAGTTCATTGCACACCTTGGCATCTCATTGGAGGTGTCTAAGTTAAGGAGGTACGTGCCACCAAGCCGGGCCCAGGGTTGCTCCCTGAGGAATCCGGGGACCAGTGTCTCAACCACCGACCGCCGTGGCAGTAGGGCCTGTTATCAGCAGGCCCCTGAGACAGTGTGGCAAATGCTCAGAAACCCTTGGCGTTTCATCCCCGACTTTGGCCTTTATGTACCAAAGTTTCTAAGCTTTCCTTAGGGATGCTGATTGCAACACTATTTGTAATTGCAAAGCAATGAGAATGACCTAAATATCCAAAAGTAAGGAATCTGTCAATGATGGTATGGAAAGATGTCCATGATGTTTTGCATGATAAAAGCTGATTAGAGAAATCAGGTTATATAGTGTGGTCCCATTTCATATAAAATACTAAAGCCACCCTATAAGACTCTGTAATGCTCTATACCTGTTAACAATGATTATCTTTAGAAGTGGGATTATAGGGCAAAGGTGTTCTACTTTCTGCTTTATCTATTTTTGAGTAATAATAATGATGATTTACAAGCACATATCACTTACATAATTTTAAAAATTAAAGTCACTTTATAAATAAGAAAAATATCACCTTCAAGTCTCATTCTGTGTATGGAAGGAGGACTTCTAAAAAGAAAAGGCTGCAAGTACAAATAAATGAGTTTTGGGAGCGCTCATGGACATCAGTATCTCAGCCACACTGGCAGGTGCCTCAGTTTCCCACTGTTAGAACAGATAAATGCCAGATGGAGAATGCAGCACAGGGGAATGGGCCTGTGCCAGCACTCAGAGGTCAGGGCTGCTGTCTTGTTCACTATGGGCCTGACGGAGGAAGTGAGTAAGAAGAGAGCTTTTTCTTACACCGACATAAGGACTGAGGTCACACCTGGAGGGGGTGACAGAGGCCACAAATAAGAATGAGCTCAGCTGGAAGTGGGAGTGACTCCCCATATGGGAGACTTGGGGATCAATTAAATATCAACAGTAGTGGGGCACTGAGCTTGGAATACAAAACTGCCCTCGAGAAATAACGGGGTGTTTGCTCCCTGTTCCCATGGTACCACGAGGTCACAGAGGTGACTACAGTGCTGTCCATCTGGCTTTGGACACTGTTATCTCCTGCATTCCCAGGGCCTTCTGTGTGACCTGGGCGAGAGAACTGTCACTATTGCCTCTCTCCAATCTGTGTGTGCCCCAGTGACACAGGCAATAGGAAAAATGTTTCCCCAACTGTACCGTAAATAATGCAGATATTTGGGCGTGGGAGAAACAAATAATATCAATATTTTATAGACTGTAGGCTAAATAATGTATATATTTAGAAAAGCGGCTTAAATATTTCATATGCTGCAGTGAAGATTCCTGCTTAGAGGCATAATTTGGGCTGGTGAGGGCTGTGGGTTAAGGATGCAGTCCTGCGGAGCCCCGGGGTGAGGGGGCAGAGGGGAATGCAGTAAAAGTGTGTGTGTGAGATTGGAGTGTGGCAAGGACAGGCAGGTATCACTTATTTGGAACCCAAGTAGTTGGAAGTCTCAGATTTTTTTTAACTGTCCTGTGCTCTTTTTGTTTTTAATGTGGGAGAGAGACAAATGACAACCTAATAACAAGAATTTATTTTCAAAAAGTAACTTCCAACCCAAGAGAATTGAAAATGTGTCCACATAAAAACTTACTCATGAACATTCATAGCAGTGTTGTTCACAATAGCCAAAAGGTGGAAACTACCCAATTGCCTATCAGCTGATGCATGGATATACAAAATGTGGTATATCCATACCATGGACTATAATTTGGCCATAAAAAGAGTAAAATATTGATGCATGTTACAGCATGGATGAACTTTGGAAATCCCGTGCTAAGTGAAACAAGCAAGACATGAAAGGCCATGAATTAGATGATTCCATTTATGTGAAAATGTTCAGAACAGAGAGCTCTAGACAGTTAGTAGATTAGTGGATGCCACAGGCTTGGGGAAAATGAGAAGTGACTACTAATGGGTATGTGGTTCCTTTTTGGAGTGATGAAGATATTCTGGAATTAGATAGTGGTGGTGATGGTATTCAGCTTTATGAATACATTAAAAACCAATAAAAGGGCCGGGCACAGTGGCTCATGCTTTGGGAGGTTGAGGCAGAAGGATCACTTGAGCCCAGGAGCTTGAGGCTGCAGTGAGCTTTGATGGCACCACTGTACTCCAGGCTGGGTAACAGAGCAAGACCCTGCCTGTTAAAAACAACCCCCCCGCCCCCCTGCAAAAACAACAACAACAAAAACATTAAAAGGGTGGAATTTTATGGTACATGAATTATATTTCAATTAAAATAAAAAACAACTTCCAGGTATGTTGTTGGTTCTTACAGACTTAACCCAACCTCCTATACCTGCGGCATCACAGGACTGCAGGTAACGCTTTGCATCATAGTGACCATTCAGACAGTGCAGGAGACTGTGGCACCTTTAGAATCATTCTATTCACAGAAGGCAGCAGGGAGTAGGGGTGGCTCTGGGATGCCTCCTTGCCCTCCCCATTCCTCCATTTTCAGAAACAGGAAGGAAGGATCAGGTCTGAACTCTGATCTGGTGAAGTAGTGAGTCCGACATCTGCAAAGTCAGGAGGAGACGGGGTAGTTGCGTCTGTGTAGATTTCTAGAAGAAAAGCCAGCCATCATCTGGCCTGGGAGGAGTCACTCTTGTCAAAAGCAAGACACGGATGGTATTGACCCAGGCACCCCATTTTAAGAAAAATCATACCTGTAATACGGCTTCAGTGTGGGGAAATTAGAAAATACTTACAAACAAAAGAAATATGTTCTCTGTGTCCCACTATCTTTTTTTTTTTTTTTCTGAGACACAGTCTTGCTTTGTTTTCTAGGCTGGAGTGCCATGGCACGATCTCGGCTCACTGCCACCTCTACCTTCCGGGTTCAAGCGATTCTCCTGCCTCAGCCTTCACAGGCATGCACCACCATGCCCGGCTAATTTTTGTATTTTTTAGTAGAGATGGGGTTTCACCATGTTGGCCAGGCTGGCCTCAAACTCCTGACCTCAGGTGATCCACCCACCTCACCCTCTTAAAGTGCTGGGATTACAGGTGTGAGCCACCACACCCGGTCTCATTTTTCTTTTATTCACAAATGGGGCTATGATATTCAGTGCATACTGTTTTGTAATCTGTGATTTGCCTACCAACAGACCTATGTCTTGATGATCATTTTAATGGTTTCCCAGTGTTCTCCCTACACCCATTCGTTTTTTTCTCCCCATGATCTCTGATGTTCCTTACTTGTGCACCAGGGACCAGACCCTGTATCCAGAGGACCTTCCAGGGGCTCCAGGCAGGAGAAGTGGCTAACAGAGATGCAGCTCATTACCACCTCTCACCTATTGCTGCTTCTGTCAACAAGATAAACTGGGCCCGCCAAGCAGTTTTGCAGTAGCTGTTTACTCGACCATCCCAGGCAAGCTTGAGATGCTGGGAACATATCCAGTCCCCACATTCAGTCTTCTTAGAAACTGTTTCCCTTTTGGTTTTCTCTAGGCTTGCAAGTGGTCACTCGCCCTGAGCTGGATTTGGGCAGGTAATTTACTTCCGCTACTAATTTAACGAATGGCACTGCCCTGAGGTCGGGCAGACTGAGGAAAATATAGGCATCAATTCATTTGCCACGTTAAAACCCAGAGTTAAGTAACAAGTTAAGCATCTCCATACATTAAGTATCCCAGGCCCAACTAGGGAAGATTTCCTGGAGCTGATGAGCCCCAACCAGGCATTAGGAAAAAGGCATTTGAAAAAAAAATTTCGGCCGGGCGCGGTGGCTTATGCCTGTAATCCCAGCACTTTGGGAGGCCGAGGTGGGCGGATCACGAGGTCAGGAGATCGAGACCATCCTGGCTAACGTGGTGAAACCCCGTCTCTACTAAAAATACAAAAAAATTAGCCGGGCGTAGTGGTGGGCGCCTGTAGTCCCAGCTACTCAGGAGGCTGAGGCAGGAGAATGACGTGAACCCGGGAGGTGGAGCTTGCAGTGAGCCGAGATCGCGCCACTGCACTCCAGCCTGGGTGACAGAGTGAGACTCCGTCTCAAAAAAAAAAAAAAAAAATTTCTTCTCTGAACCTTAGGAGAAGTTAGCTAACAGAGAGATTGTAGGTTTGGGTCAGACGCAATGTTCCCTGCCCCCAGTAGGAGAAGATCCATTACAGATTGGAAATGACTTTGTCTCTTAAGTGTGCATTGTCAGATGGGACGCACGTTCCCCTCAACCAAACAAATATAAAATGCTTCCAGCCTCTGCCTCGGATTTTCTATTACTGTTTCACAGGACTCCAGAGAGTTTTAAGATAGCAATTTGATTAAGCTTATGGGGAAGATCCCATCAGATAACATTCTTTTTCTGCAGGTAGAGATAATGTGTTCAAGTATTAAGTATGTTTTAAAGGTAATTATCTTTTCCATATTCATTTTAGTTACAGGAATTGACAAGGGGGAGACTCTGCATCTGAAAGCTGCCCCTTGGGCCCTAGAGTCACTCTGACTGCTCTCCTCTGGGGAACACACTTGAGGCTTTTGACAAATGAATGAGCACCAAGGGTTTTTCTATTTTGAAATGGCTCGGGATCCCCTGTCTCCAGACAAGTGGTCTAGAGGGCAAGGTCTTGGCCACTGACCTCATCTGGCTCCCTAGCTTAGATTCCTTGTTCTGGGACACCCACTGGGCCCCAAATCTTAAGCTCCTGGATGTCAAGAGGGAGCCTGGCTGCTACTCAGAAAGAGGACTTGTCTCATCTAGTACCAAGTCATGGTGCCATATCGCCAACCTTTCAAAAGTAGAGTCTGGAATTGCCATTTACATATACTGAGCCCAGTGTTGGGGTGTTTTCACATCGGGAGACACTAATTAGGGGTCCTAGAATTCTAAAATCTGTAGACTCCTAGACTGCAGAACTGTTGCAAGGGGCTTTAGGGAGCATGATGCTGAGCTTCAGAGGGGTTCTGGGATTTGTCTGGGATCACACAGCAGGCTAGAGAGAGACACTGTGGGCTAGAACCCAGGAATCCCTGGTCTTAGACCACTGCTTCTGTCCCTCTACCCACAACTCTGTGCCATCTCCAGAAAAGCTCCTCTTTCCCTTTCCTGGAAATCCCCAGAGTAGGAGATTCTGCCCCCAGGCAGCCCTCCTTGGCCGTCTGTGAGTCAGGGTCTGCACCAGGGCTCTGTATGGGCCTGAGGAGCCCCCATAGCAAGCCTGATGCTGATGGCCTGGAGTTCCTCAAACCTCACTTTGCCTGCTAGCTGTGCTGTTCTAAGCATTCTGTACATTTTTACAAAATAGAAAAATTAGGGCTCAGCCCGCTTTCAGAAAGCTAACTATTGCTAGGGAGGAAAACATACATATCTAAAAAGATAAGTAATAAAACAAGGCAATTGGATGTGATATACCTGCACTAAGAATTGAGGAGTGATGTTTTTAGGTTCCCCATCCCTTTGTCTGCCCAAAATCCAGTCTGCTGTGGCTAGACACCTATGGCTTCTGCACACAGCATTTCCCCCATGTTACTTCTCTGTCTGATCTCTCAGGTGCCCTTGGTTTGACAGCTGCAGCTTGTTGGTCTGAAGGCAAGTGACACTGGGAAAGGACCCTAGTGAGAGGTTTATCACATAAGACCCCAGGATGGCGGCATGCTCTGTTTTTGAACGACTGCCTCATTCCTGTAAGACAAAGGTGGCAATGGAGGGTGGATGCAGAGTTGATGGCTGCAGCCCAAGTTTTGGTGCTTGGCCTCATGTGTTACATCCTAGGTAAGGATGTCTCTGCCATCTTAACACCCATACCTGCTCTTGCGTCTCTCTCTCTTATCCTTCAAAGCATCATCATTGTCTTACCCCAGCTACACAGTGAAATCATTTAGAGGAACTTTATGAAAAAAATGTATTAATAGCAAGCAAAGGTTCCCACCTCAACCCGGATGAGTCAGAACCTCCTGCATGGGGCTCAGACATGGATGTATTTTCAAGCTCCCCAGGAGATTCCTATGGATAACCAGGGTTTTGAATTTCCAGATGGGATAAGATTAGACTCTGCTGCGTGGCCCAGAAGGTTCCTCACAATCAGAGTCACAGGCCTCATCTTTTGTCACCCCCTATGATGCGTGTACACTGAGCCACTTAGAATTTCCCAGACTCTCCTGGCTGTTTTTCTCCTCCATGCATCTTCCACTAACCCCCACACTCTCATGTGTCTTGTTTGCCTGATACACACACACAACACACACACACACACACACACACACACACACACACATATTGAGGCAGAGTTTCACTTTGTCACCCAGGCTGTAGTGCAGTGGCAAGATCTCAGCTCACTGCAACCTCCGCCTCCTGGGTTCAAGCGATTCTCCTGCCTCGGCCTCCTGAGTAGCTGGGATTACAGGCATGCGACACCACACCCAGATAATTTTTGTATTTTTAGTAGAGACAGGGTTTCACTATGTTGACCAGGCTGGTCTCGAACTCCTGACCTCAAGTGATCCTCCTGCCTTGGCCTCCCAAAGTGCTGGGATTACAGGCGTGTGCCACCATGCCCAGCTAATTTTTGTATTTTTATTAGAGATGGAGTTTCACTCTGTTGGCCCGGCTTGTCCCGAACTCCTGACCTCAGGTGATCCACCCACTTCGGCCTCCCAAAGTGTTGGGATTACGGGTGTGAACCACCACGCCTGGCCTTGCCTGCCTGGTATTAATAGAGTCTTCTCAGCTCATTTGTCTTCTCTATGACACCCTTTTCACAGTTGACCCTCCTTCTGGTCTCCAGCACCATAGATGTACACCACTTGCCCTTAGCTATCTTGCCACTGCACGAGTTAGGGTGAAGATTGAACCACCTTGGGGACTTGGGCCTTTCTACTGTGTTAGTTCAAATAATCATTCAATAAATGCTTATTGCATGATTAATCAAAAACAGAAAAGGGAGCTTCCTGATTAGAAGCAGGAATGAAGAATCTGTTCTTGTCTGGCTTCAGATTTTTGCTCTTCACTTGCCAGGTGAAGGACCTTGGAAGAGTCACTCATCCTTTGCAAGTCTCAGATTCCTTGTCTGAAAAATTAGGACACCATACCTGCCCTTTATACCTCAAAAAGGGATGTGAGGACCAAAATGGTCTTAGAACAGGGTAGGGTCTTTGCAAGCAGTAAAGCATGATTCAGATGTAAGGTGATGTCATTGTGATGTTTCCTCTTGCTGTGGTTTCCTGTCATGGGCTCTGGCTTCAGGGTGCCCTGCAATGCCAATGCACCCCAGTCTGTGCCCTCTGCACAGCCTCCCATCCCAGCTTTTCTGGGCCCTTTTCTTCCGTTGGCTTCTTTTATCTTGCACCTACCTTGCTTTCTCCCTGCACGTACCACCACCACAAATGCTGTACAAGAGCAAGTTAACCACTATTGTTTGGAATGATAGAGAAAATAATGAGGGAAACAGACTGGTCCATTCAGTGATTAAGTATTCAGTAATTAAGTATTCAGTGTTAGGTGGTGGGCAGAAGTTAGGAAGAAAGGTATCTTAAGGTTTTTGATTCGGCGTCATCCGAATGGGTCAATGAGACAGATTCCACAGGCAAACCATTCCAGATCCATAACCTCTAGAGTAGAAAGTTTCAGAAGGAAGAGATTCCCCAAACTGTGTAATTCCCTTGTAAATCTCATTCATTCAATGGGATTTGAGAACCAACCACTTGTGCAGGTGCCCGCATCCGAAGATAACTTGCCCCCAGGAGACAGCAGATAAGAAGAGGGCAGAGACAAAGGAGGTCTTTTTGCGACTTGCATCATGGATGCAGAAAAGGTGGATAACCCAACTCTGGTGGGGTGAGTGGGCAGGGAAGGTTTGGAAGCAGGAGGAGGAGACACTCAAAGCTGCTTTGGGGTGCACTTATTTTGTGTGCTGGAGAAGGATTTGCTGGCCATTTCTTGTGAAATAAACTTTTTTGTGTATGCATGTGTATGTAGGCTGTTACTAATCCCGTTCCTTTCTTGATCTACTGTTTTTCAGGTTAATGGTGTCTGGGATTTGTGGAGGGAGGAAGGATATAAAAGGGCAAAAACAGGAGACCCCGGTGCCTGGATTCAGAGCCTTCACATTCCGGAGATCCCCAGAGGCCCCTCTCCCCAGACCCTTCAGCTCCAGAAAGCCATTGTGCTCCCTCCTGGCCTCTGACCCTGAGGCTCTGGGAAGCAGCAGGTTGTTGACACTTGGACAATCATTTCTTGCAAGGCAACTGCCTCCCTGGGGGGCTCTCCTCTGCCTTAGGGTGGTGACTATTCCCCCAACCAGGGTTAAGGAAGAGAAAAATTAACTGTTGGTCAGAGCAGGAGGCAAGGATAGAGAATCCTCAATTTCAGGCCCCCAGGCATGTTCACCCCTCTCTCACTTGCCACTTCAGGAGTACACCACAGCCCAGGGATAAGCTTTAGGAAAATGGGTTCGAGAGAGGCATTTCTGATCAGAGTTCCTTCTGGCATCCTGCTGTGGGTCTCATGTTTGTTGAGGGGACCCCATATTTCTTCATGAAGGATATCTGTATGTCTGCTACAGTCTCAGGAATGCAGCCACAGGAACAAAGAAATTTCTAGCCCTGGTGCTGCTACTTATTAGGAGCAAGACTTCAGACAAGTTGCTTGTCCTTTCAGAAGCTTGGTTTCCTCATTGGTAGAAGAGGGTCAAAAAGCCACTTGCCCGGTGAGCCTGCTGAGAAGAGCAGATGAAGGAGGTGTACTCTGCACTCTGTGAAACATTGCAAATGTGCGGGTTGATCATTAATGTTTTCTCTTACAGCCAAAGCTAGTGTGTGTGTGTGTGTGTGTGTGTGTGTGTGCGTGCGCGCGCGTGCACAGTTTGTGAGTGTCGGGTTCCCAAGCATTTACTCTCCTCTCTCCTTTCTAGGACATTTCAGGAAGCATTATTCAAAAGCCGGTGGGGTGGGACAGAGGGACTATTAAAATTTTTAAGAATCACCTTGCATTTCTTTCACTTTGGTCTTAATAATAAATAACTCTAACCCTGCAGCCAGGAGCTGGGATGTTCTGTCCAAATTAGCACAAATCTCTGTCTGCAACAGCCGAGCATCCCCGTTCAGTGGGCGGGATCAGTACCATTTCCCCAGCAATGAGAAAAAGCCCTCTTGCTAAGCTACAGAAAAATCTCCCTTGTGCTTTAATTTTGGAAGAAGCGGATTAGTGTGGCCATATTTAACCTTTGACCCTGAAACAAAAGCATTATCAAAATTATTTACCAAGAGCGTCTGTCTTCTTCTCCTCACCCCCACTTCCCTGTTTGCCGGGGCTAGTTTAGAATCTTGGTAAACTTCCCAGAGCAAGAGCAAAATTTTGGAAGGCCATCATTACCTTAGAGACATCCCAGGCCTGGTGTTCACTGCCAGGGCTCTTGGGGTCTAAGGTGGGTTAAAGGACAGAGATGAGAATCTTATACCACAGTGGGGTTCAAAATTTGTGAGTTGGATGTAAAAACTCTTTCTCCTCTGAAACTAGCCTAGTTTCTGGCTGTCTTGGAGATTTAACTATTCAGATGATATGTTGATTTTTTTTTTGTTTTGTTTTAAAGATGGAGTCTCACTCTGTCGCCAGGCTGGAGTGCAGTGTCTTGATCTCGGCTCACTGCAACCTCCGCCTCCTGGGTTCAAGCGATTCTCCTGCCTCAGCCTCCCGAGTAGCTGGGATTATTACAGGTGTGCACCACCACCCCTAGCTAATTTTTCTATTTTTAGTAGAGACAGTGGTTTCACCATTTTGGCCAGGCTGGTCTCAAACTCCTGACCTCAGTTCATCCACCCTCCTTGGCCTCCCAGAGTGCTGGGATTACAGGCATGAGCCAAGTGAGTGACCTAAAAGTGCAGATTGATTTCTACCTTCTTCTCCTTCCAGGCAGAAATCCATAGACTTGGTGGTGTGGGGTGGAGGTATATCTAGACCTGAGCCATTTCTGTGGGTTTAAATCTCATCTTCCCTGTCATTAACTGTCACTGTGGCCTTGGACAAATTATTTGAACTCTGAGCCCCCCACCTACCTTCCTTATCTGTAAAATGGGCATAGCAATAATAGTGCCCGCCTCCTAGAGTTATTTTTGAGGATAGATAACAGGATACACATGAAGTGCTTACTGTGGGGTTTGGTGCTTACTAAGTGTTGAGCCAGTGCTAACTACTGTTACCACAGTTGTTACCATTGTCATCAGTATCATCCTTATTGATTCTTCGTCACTTCCCCAGGTCCTGGTTGGCTCCCTTCCCCCTCCCCCGCATTGGGGTGTTATTGGCGACCCGCCCCATTTCCTGCTTGTCCTCTGCCCTCACCTTCTTTGCAGTGATTTTCAGAGTCCCCGTTTGCGTTCGCAGTGGGGAGTTTGACTTCATTTCATACCAGGAAGGCCAGCTTGCAGTGGGGGATTGGGAGGGCAGAGCGCTTTATAAGCTCGCGATGAAAGCTGTAAAACGAGATGGTCAAGGATCTGGCCAGGCCTGGTTCGGGATTATGGCCGGCCCCTGGAATGCTGAGGGGGGCCTCTTTTAAGAAGCCAGTGTCTATTTACAGTGTATCTCTCATAAACCCCAACGCTGGGGCGAGGGCAGGGGGACTCGCCCTCCTGGCATGTGATTGATTATCTGGTATTTATGCCATTGAGGACTTGTCAGCGGTCTGGGGTCAAAGGGTCATCTCATGTGTCTTGCCGCCAGCCCACCTCCTTTTGTACAGTGTGGACCGGGCGAGCTGTGCACAAAACAGCTTTTTCTTTTCCTTGGGAAAGGGGGGATGGGGAGGGGGGAGTGTCAATGAAATTTTTTTTTCAGCCTTTTCTGAATAGTGTTCTTTAAATTCTAAAGAACTTTTAATTAAAAGTCGCAGGAAAATTCATCTTGAGAAGGTTTAACTTACCTTAACAGATACTTTTGTGTCCCAAGAAGCTGGGAGTGACTTTGAAAGAAAGAAAGAAAGAAAGTAAGGGGCTTTGTTGTGCCTCTCCCCCTCCCCCAGGCATTTTCAAAGTTTCCTGGAGTTCTTGTCCACTCCTGTCTGGTGTGGACCCTGCTTGGGAAAGCAGGAAGGGAAGAGGTCATTCTTCTCCTTTAACATAGCCACACAAATTTAGAAAGGGACTTGGGGATTCTCTGCTCCAATTTTCTCCTGTTATAGATGAAGAAACTGAGCCTTGACAGGTGAAAAGACTTCGCTATAGAGTCACACAGCTACACAGTTGCGGAGTCAGGCACTGGGCTCTGATTCTCTGTATTTCCTAGTGCTCCTTTGAGCATGCCAGGTTGCTTCCCGAAGCTGCTTTGGATGCCAAGTGAAGATAAATGTAATGATACCTTTGCTGTCGTTCAGTCCTGGATGTTTGAGACTTGGGAACCACCCTTAAATTCCTTGGGCTGGAAGCATCCCTGAGGGACCACCTGGCTTATCCCCCCATCCCCCATCGCCTGCCTCGGAGCAGGCAGTCCGTGCTCACGTGTGCCGGAGGAATTGCTGTGGGTCCCTTTTCTAAAAATCTGCAGAGGAAGTCTCTATGTTTTCTGCTTGGTAGAAAATGCCGGCACCCCTCCCTCAACCTTCATCACTGGATGGTCTGGACATCCTTCTGAACAGCTGACTTTGTTTCTTCCTTCTGTGGCTCAGGAGTGGCCCACCCATGGAAGCTTGTCTGTCTGTTCCCCCATCCCCCCGACCCCCTGTGTGCCCACAGGGGGCCATCCAGAGCTGTGACTGGCCAGGACACCTCAGTCCACTGTGCTGCTCCACCATGGCCTGGCTGCTGTAGGGAAACATTGTCCCTCTTAACTCTCACCCAGGCTTTTGGTGACGTGAGGCCTTGATGAAATGCTTTGTCCATCGCTTCCAACTCATTGAACCAAGGTGGACACTGGGCAGAGAAATCATTTGCCAAGAGATAGGTATTTGTAGGACTCGCATAAATTCACGTGTCCTGTATCCTGTTGTTTGTCTTCTCCATCCCACCACCTCCTCATTTAAAAAATGCAATACAAAGAATTTTCTTCTAAAGAATAGCTTTAGAAATCCTCATTCCTTTCCATTCCCTCCATTCCCATTCACATTAAATTAGCGAATGCTAATTTGGACTGATAGGGCACCACTGTGAAAAAGGTGTGAAGAAAGATCTGCTTCTTGCTCATGGGAGGAGACCCCAGCAGTAATTAGATTCTCACTGAAGTCACTGGGTGCCACAAACTGTGCCAGTGCTTACCTCAGACTGTGTTATTTGGTCCTCATATTAACTTTCCAAGATGAACATTCCTGTGTCCAGATGAGGAACATCAGGGCTAGACATAGGTAGCCTTCTCTGGGGTATAATTTGCTTTAAGCTAAGTAGTATTAAACATGTTAAACACGTCATCTCTTTGAATCCACATAAAATCCCTAAATCCCTGTGAGACAGGGATTGTTGTTATCCTGGTTTTAGATGAAACAGGCACAGAGGAGTTAAGTAACTTACCTGAGGTCACACAGCAGTAGTAAGTGGTGAAGTGGGGTTTGATCCACCATGAATGACTGCAGAGTTCACACTTGAACTACTTGCTGCTCCACCTCTTTTAAGTTGTAGAGCTTCCTGATGCTGGCGCTCATGTTTTGTTTTGTCTTTTCCTACTATTCTGACATAAATCTGCTGGGGAGACACTATATATAGACATATATAAATCAGCCAGAGACCAGCAAAAGGTCACTGTGTAATCAGATGCCAGCCTGGGTGGTGCGTGGAGAGGAATTTAGAGAAGGAATATGTTAACGAGGACACAGTATTTAGTCTCATGTCTGGACCCCCATAGTAAGGGGACAGTGCCTTACTCATCTTTCCATCTCTGGGACCTAACTCAGGGCCTGGTACACATTATATGTTCAATAAGTACTGATTAGATTACTGGGAAAGAGTTAGTAGGGGAGATGGGACTTGAAGTTTTTTGAAAATGATATTAATAACTGTGACAGTTATTTGTGAAGTTTTTTGAAAATGATATTAATAACTGTGATAGTTATTTGTGAAGTTTTTTGAAAATGATATTAATGGCATTACCTTTTATGGCATACTGGCCAGGTACTCAGCTAAGTTTATTATTTAGTTGTATTAACTCTCACAGCAGCCCTATGGCTATTATGATCCCTGGAGTAAACTTAGGCTGAAGAGAGATTCTATATCTTGCTGGAGGATTTAAAGTCTCAGGGTGGTTGGTGTTATTTGGGGGCTTTTTTTTGGCTTTTTTGTTGTTGTTGTTTTGAGACAGGGTCTTGCTCTGTCGCCCATCCTGGAGTGCAGTGGCGCAATTTTGGCTCACTGCAATCTCCGCCTCCCGGGTTCAAGCGATTCTCATACTTTAGCCTCGTGAGTAGCTGGGACTACAGGCATGCGCCACCACATCCGGCTAATTTTTATATTTTTAGTAGAGACGGAGTTTCGCCATGTTGGCCAGCCTGTGGTGGTTTGTTTGTTTGTTTGTTTTTTCTTGATTTTGAAATTATTTTTTTTCCTAAAGCAGAGAAGAAGGCACAAGTGAAGGAGAAAAGGCAGACGTGAGTGATGATGGCAGAAAGTCTGCTCAATTGGGGTGGAGGGATTTGGAAGCCAGAGAGAGGAGCTTATCTTTTTTTTTTTTTTCCTGCTTATAGGTGGAAGTTGCTTCTTTAATATAAAGATTTCTGGATCTATGAGGTTAACTGTGTCCAGTTAATTGAATTTATAATTCAGCACCAAAACGCTGAAAAGAATTGTCTTTTATGTCCCTTAATGAGTGCTATAAAAACAAGTGGTGAATCTAATTTTACGAATGTTCCTTTATGACTTACCTGATAACTAGTAGTTGTTCAACACAAAGGACACATAACTCAGTCTGGACCTACACTGGCTGCCTGCCGTAAAATAACTTGTTTTAGAAGTTGGCCTTCTTGCTTCTCTTGAGTGGCCCAGGGATTCACTTGTTCCCTTCTCTGCTCCCTCTTCTCATTGAGGATCAGGCTCGGGTTCTTCATTCTGGAGGATTGAGATGGGTTACCTTCCCTGCCAGTCCAGGATGACCAAGACCTCACATCTCATTGGCTCTTTCCAAAAAGGGGAAGGGAAAGATATGGCAGCTCATTCAGATGTCTCTCTGGTGCAGCATATTGCTTCTACCTAGAAGTTGCCTGGTGTGCTAGCAAGAAAAGAGAAATTAAGAGAAAGACTCCTTTTGTCTTTACCCTACAACGAGAGGTAAAGAGCTTTACAGCCGCAGCAGCCGCATTAGGTTAGACATTGGTGAGAACTTCCTGAGTTGCAAAGATGTTCCTAAGAGAGACTGATAACTGTCCATCTCTGGAGCTGCTTCAGTTGTGAGTGGGCACATATATAGATGCCCTTATCTTTTTATAGCTTTTGTCTTTTTTTATGTTTTGAAAGTTTAATTTGAATTATTTTGTGATTACAGATCTTACAGGTAGATGTTGGGTACAAAATTCAGGCATTCTCTGATGGCTATTTGAGAAAGGTTGGCTGTTCCCATCTGCAATAGTCAGGGGCAGGAGCCTGGACTCACAGGCCAGTACAGCACTCAGGGAGACAGCCTAGAAATGGAAGGGCTTTTGGAGGAGGGAAGCTCTTGAACAGAGCAGACAGGGTAGGGGTGTGGGAGCGTTGATGAAGGAAGGCCAAGATAAGGCTGTGGTTTCCATTTGTTACCACCTCTCCCGCTTATCTTGAGTGAGAACAGGCCCTACAGCTCTGAGCGAACCTTTCCATGGGGCTGTTGAGCTGTGAAGAGGACATATACGAGCTCTCCTATCCTCTCTTCCCAGTGCACCCTTTCCCTTGCACACACAGGCACCTGTAAAGGCTGCAGCTTTGGTCTATTGGATGGGTGGGGACAAATGCAGAAGTGTCCCTGTTCTGGGTGCTGATTACTTCCTAGCAGAGCTGGGGGGTGGACTGGCACATTTGTCCTTCATGATCTGAGTCTTACCTCTGCTGGCCTTGTGCTCAGACTGGCTGGTGGGCCATCTTCTGCCTTGTCCCACCCTTACTAGGCTGATAAATTGCTGTTCCAGTCAACAGGGCTCTGACCCAGCCCTTATCTTTGGTCAGAAGGAGGCTGGGTGACAAGGACAGGGGGAGGGGCTGCTGCACAAGCCCAGCCTTTGGACACTGGTAACCTTTTGTGGGGGAATGTACACCCAGCTGCTTTGGGGCCCAGAGGAACATTCTGGCAAGACAGTGCTATCAGCCTAAACTCATCACACCGGAGGCAGCCTGCAGCATATACACATTTCTCTTGACTTACAGGAGACTGGAGATGGAGGGAAATAAGAAGTCACCTCCCCTTACCCCCTATTCTCACTGAGTTGGCATGACACTAAAAGATCCCCTATTCCCTATCATTTTCAGAAGAACCAAGACGGCTTGCCACTCATTCATTCAACATTTATTGCATATCTACTATGTGCTTAAATGCTGGGAATAGAAAGATGACTAGACCCAGTCTCTTGATTCAAGGAATTCAGAGTTGAGAGGAAGACAGACACATAAACAGGCAATTATAATGCAGAATGCTGAGTGCAGCGATAGAGATATTTATTATACACAGGATACTGTGGTAGCCCAGAGGAAGGGTGCTCAGCAGATACCCAGGGGACAGATAAGGCTTCTAGAAAGGAAGACACCACAAGGTTTTCAAGAAGTAGAAAGTAGCCAGGATGAAGGGAGAGAAGGACAGAAGAAATGGAACTGTATGTGTTTAGAAACAGTGACACTGTGGCCTGAGTAGCTCAGCTGAGATAGAACGTGGTGGATACAGTTGGAGGCATAGGCAAGCCCAGGCCACAGAAACTTGTTAGGCTGTGTTTAGGAGCCTAGATTTTATCCACAGATGACAAGGAGTTCTTGGAAGCCTTTAAAAAGGAAGTTATGAGATCAGATACATTTTGGATAGGTCGCACTGGTGGTTCTGTGCAGGTGAGATCAGAGGGAGGTAAGCTGTGTTTAGGAGACTTTTGTGGCTATCCTGATGAGGGATGCTTACATGATAGAAAATGAGCTGGATTGGGGTATCTCAATCCTAATGTCAGGCAAGAGGACCTAGAGGCCTTCGGGGTGACGTCCAGGCATCTAGCTCGAGTGACCAAGAGGATGTTAGTGCTGACAGCTGAGATGGAGATCCAGGCCAAGCAGGTTTGAGAGGCGAAGATGTGGGTTTCAGGTTTGGATATTCAGGTTGAATATAAGATGTCTGCGGAACATCTAGGGAGCAGCTAGGTATATGGATTTTGTGCCCAGAAGAGAAGTCCAGGCTGGAGGCCTCCTGGCTTCCTGGTGGTCACTGAGACCGTGAGAGTAGAGTTCACCTGGACAGATGGCGGGGCATGAAGCGTCATGAGTTAAGGGCAGAACACCATGGTGGGGATGAGAGTTGGGGCAAAGGGCACTGCTCAGCAGAGAAGGGCCTCCTGCAGCCAGCTCCTTAGGCTCCCTGGAAGGTGAGGAAGGCAGGAAGCATGGGACCTCAGGTGCAGAGGGCTTCTCAGAGGCGGATTCTCAAGGTATGGCCTGGTGTGGGGATCCCTGCAGATAGATGGGTCTCTCCAGGGTGAGGAGCGCTCTCCTGGCCCAGCTCCTGGCATTCTCAAATCCCAGGGATCTCTTGTGAACAGGGCCCTGGCCCTGGGGTAGGAGAGAAGAGGCTGACAGGCTGAAGAATAATCTCAGAACTGGTGGGGACTTAGGGGATTGCAGATCCACCCTCTTGCTTCCAGGGGGATTGGATGGGCAGTCCTCCAGGCTGCTGTTGGAAATTTCTCAGAGAAGGACCTGCTGTGCTGCACGGACCTTCCTGGAAGTCCAACCCAGGTGAACCCTTCTTGCTGGTTCCATTGCTGCACGTACCATCCCTTTGCACATGTGTCTCTCTTTTCTGAGGTTCATCATGCTTGGTTCTGTCGCATTGTCTGGAGGGAATACAAGCACCCTGATTCCTTCCAAAGAAGAGGAGCTCAGGGCCCTGGGTCCTGCCCCACTGGGGCTTTACATTTCCTGAAACCCCTCTTCCACTTTCCCTGTCCCACACTGATCCTAGAATGAGCACTCCATTTGGGATGGGTGGCCGCTCTCCCTCTACACCCTCCTCCAGTGGCTTGGCACTTCGGGACCAGCTGCTGGAGTGATTGACATAAAGCCAATCTATAAATAAAGTCTTTTTCTTTTCTCATAAAGACTTTGTGGTTGAGTTTGCCTTCAAGGTCAAGATCAGACCTTTCTAAATAAACACATATCAAAGGATCATTAGCAAAGCAGCACTGTTAAATTGAGATATTAACTTCTGTCAACTGCTTGTTTCTTTTTTGTTCTGTAACTCATGACTGCAGTAGGTTTTTATTATTTTGTCCTCAGGCAGTAGCATCTGGCTTCTGTAGAGACTGTAAAAATTAAAAAGCAACACAAATCATTGCGAGAGAAAAGCAGTAAATTCAATGATAAGAATTTAAAATTAAAATGTTTCGGTGCTTTTATATTCTGCAAAACATGAAATGAGTGAGTTTGTTGCCTGTTGCCATAAACCTCACCCAGCTAATCGTCCGCTTGAGTTTTTTCCTGTCTCTTTTGCTCATCACCATCAATTCTGTCTTGGCACAAGGCGTAAAGTGAGAGCCGTGTGTGTGTGTGTGCATGTGCGTGTGCACGCCCATGTGCTGGCATGTGTATGCATGTACGTGCGTGTATATGTATAGCGGGGCTGGGGCAGAGTGGTGGATGCACTCACTGACCTCCACCTCATTAGAATGGGGGAGACAACAGTAGGGAGGCATCATGTGGGAACCAGGGTAGGGAAGGAAGAGTTGAAGATTATTACATCCCCATGGGTCAGAGTTCCCTTTTTTCATCACCCTTTCTAGTTAAATACAAAAACAAAACAAAAAGCCCCAACCAACCAACCAACAAACAGAACACTCCAGGTCACAGACATGAGCATAAACAGCAACCTGTAGCATCCAAGTTAAAATGTAAAAAAGAATTCCCTGAGCAAGTGTGTGATGCTGGATTAGGGGTCTGAGTGGGTGGCTGGGTCTTTCCCATTCCAGAGATGCCCAGCCTTTGGATGGGGTGCTGGGGAGTGGGATGGGAAGCATCTTAGGCTCCTTATTCCAATCAGAAGATTTAGGGTTTCTGTGTTGAGGTCACTCATTCTTACTGCAAAATCGAGTTGTGTCTCTGGGCCTAGCTATGTCCTGGGCTGTGAGGGAGATAAAAGTTGATTGGTTTTTTTTCTTGCTCTGGAGGAACTTTAAAAAAAGCTTAAAAAAAAAAAGTCTTTTAAACAGTCAGAGGACAATTTAAGACAAATGTGAGTAAGGATGTGATGGCATTGTATAAGCTGTTTGCAGACATTCTGGGAAGCGTGCAGAGTGGTGTGGGGTGAGTTCAAGGGGAGCTATTAGGCCTGAGTTGCCTTGAACTAATTCTCCAGTCTGTTGGGCTTGGGGTCTGGAAGCCTTGGAAAGCCTGGGGTGAACACTGTCAGGGTGAGCTCACCCCCATGTCTAAACCAGGCCACAGGACTGGGACAGTGAGGGGGAATGCTGTGGGTCCCTTTTCACATAGTCTGTCCCAGTTTGACTGCTGGACCCACAGGCATGAGGCCAGAGCTCTTTGTCCCAGACGAACTTCTCCAGCCTAGAGAGAGGTGAGGAAAGAGAGCCAGTCTTTGGCCTCCGTCAAAGGGAATGAAGGAAAGTGTGAAGATTAGTGGACGGAGGGGTCGAGTTAAGAGGGTATGACTAATAGGCTGGTCATTCAGATAGGAGAGCACATTGTTCTCTGGGCCCAGATGGTCCTTGGAATAAATCAGCTCAGGCAGAAGCAGACTTCCAGTACAAGGAAGTAGGAGCAACTGCTTGCCTGCTATTCTCTAATGACATAGCCCAGGCCCCTGGCCCTGAATAGCAGCCATTCAGGCCTCCACTGTGGTGTTGGAGTGGGGGATGTGTGTGTGCAATGCATGCATGTGAGTGTGTGAGCAATGCATGCATGTGAGTGTGTGTAAATATGTCATGTTCTAGCCTCCGATGCTTACAGAAGAGTGGATGAGTGTTTGTGTTGTAAGGAGCTGGTACAGGGAGATTTTTACCTTGGAGCCCTTCTCAACTTTAAATTCCAACCCTGAAAGCCGTGGAAGTACTGGAGTCATTTGATTAATGTCTCCTTCAGTAGATGGGAAGCTCTACCAGGGCAGGGACTGTGTCAGTCTGATTCATCAGTGTCTCCCCAGACCAGGTGCTGGTGGATGCTTGATAGACATAGATGGAAGAAAGTTGTAGCAACATTCTTATTTTTCTCCATTGCCTTGCAGTCACGGCCCCCGTTAATTAAGTAGTATATAAGTAAATGAATGTATCAGCTACTCCTCCCATGACTTCCCTCTAGGGACGGTCATGAGGACAGAGTGAGCTGGGGTAGGGATGCACACCACAGCAGTTACATAGAGTTTTGGGTGGTGCAGGTCCTTTATTTCTGTACTTGGGACACTCCACAGATAATGTGGCTTTGAAGCAGGACTTTCTGTCATAAAAGTTTTCCAGGTAGACAGCTTCCCTAGTTTCCCTGGTTGAAGACATGCAGGCATGTGCAGGTCGTAGAATACGTGTAAGCATCACGGTGATCCGTGGTGGTTTTTCTGGCATGATGGCCAACATTTCAGTGGAAGAGCCTACCCACTCCCCCCTCATGCCCTACAGTCTCCATTCAAAGGCTGTGCTAGTTCCTTTTCCCTTCAGAACCCATTCAGCTTCTTAGGAAGGAGGGTAGGGAAGAGCCAAGCAGCAATATCACTGAGTAAATAGGAATAATCAAACAGATACTCCCTGGAGAGAGTTTTCTTTCTATGAAGATCTTAATTAATATGAACGCTTTGTCCTGGTGTTCTGAGGCAGACTCTCTGTACCAACCGTGTGTGACTGCTGATCCAGCTCTGCCTAAATCAGATCACTGGGGTCTTTCATCCTTTGGGGAATAAGCTCCTTTGGAGAATCAAGCCAGATCTTGCCTGTTGGGAGATTAAATAAGTTGCCCTGTCTTAAAGTTTAAAATTAAGTGCATATTAAGCAAATGACAGTGGAGGCCACTGAAGACACCTTAGGCCTGGAAGCATTTCAGTTAGAGAATGTTTCAGGGACTCCACACACATTCATTCCCCTTCTCCACTCCACCCCACTGTCATGCCATCCTGACTTTCCACTCACTGTAAGGTGCTTCAGAAGACCCAAGACTCAGGCTGCCAGAGTGGCTGAGTTGGGTGACTTGGGGGTTGTTTCTCTCCCATTCATGTCTGAGATCATGAATGGTCCTCTGGGCCATTTCTTGAGTGTTTCATTTCCAAGGCCTGTCAGAGGGAGGCAGTCTTTAGCATTCTCTGACTGTGCTGGTATTACTGGGAAACAACAGTCTTCTCTTAAAAGGCAATTTCAGAAAACAACTGCAACTGAATGACTCAGGAAGAGAAAGGAAAGGGGAATAGGATGAGTGAAATGTATGGCCCAAGAGCTTTTGGAGTCTGGAAGAACAAAGGAGGAATAAAGGATGGGTACGTGGCAAGAGGAGACCCATGTTACAGAGTGTCCATGATCATGCAGTGACCATCCAGCTTGGCTCTGCTGTCGCCTGCAGAGAATACACTAATGAAACAAGTGAGTCTTGGGTGAGGGGTGGTGTGGAATCGTGCTTGGTGGAAGCATCTTTTGAATCACAGGGTCTTTCATGCTGATCCTTGAGGCACTGAAAACTTCACAGAACTTCCATCTGGGTTCAAATGGGGACATTTAGAAAGTTCTTCAAATTCACTCCTCTCAATGACTTTTGCCCGAAGACTCCAAGCCCACAATTACTTTAACCTGAATGAACAGAAAGTATCATCCATGCTGTTTAATTCTCAGTGGCCTCTTGGACTAGCCTGAAAGTCACAGCTCCCCCAACCCCCAAAATATAAGTTAAGAAAGAAGCCTGAAGGTGATGGAATAAACACTACGGCTTGTCTTTCTTATTTTTAGGGGCTCTTTGAGAGAGGGGGAATCAGGAAGTGTAGGAGTGAGCAAAGTGATTCTGGGCAGAAACCTGAATGGATATGACAAGGACGAGGGATCCTTTGTCCGGGAGCTGGTAAATCCCTGGGGGCTGCCTGTATTGTCACATTTGCTTGCGAGGACACCTGGCATTGTATCCACCACTGCCAGATCATCTCTAGATCCACAAGAACCAGGATCTTTGGCCAGGACTGAGAGCAACTCACATCTGACAAAAGCCTGTTCACCTCTTAAAAGAAGCCCCTTTTTATTTTCCTAGCAGGAGGGTGTTGGAGGTCATGATTTCTGAGCATGCTAGTGACATGGCTTTTGGCATTTCCATTAGCATCCCTGTTCTAGAGAATCCCCATATGCTGCGAAAATTGATCTCAAAACAGTATATCATATATATCACCGTCTGAGGAGGGACGAAAACCCACCAAGAGTGTGATTTGTGGGGGCCCATTGCTTGAGTGTAGAGGGCTCAGACTCTGAGGTCAGCTTATGTGCCTGAGGGCAGCTCACAGCAGGCCCTGCAGGGATAGCTGAGAGCCTGCCCTGGTCTTGGAGGAGAAAGAGATAGGGAGTGTGCACCAGGAGACATCTACATGTTCCACCAGTGCCCAGAAGTTGTTGTCAGGTTTGACTTCAGATCCCAAACTGTAGGTGCTCGTTGGCTGCAATCTCACAGCTTTGGCCACAGAGTGATAGCCGTTCTGCAGGCCTCTCTAGAGATCTGTGTCTTCAATTGTGAATGACTCCTCATCAGGAAGGGACATCTGGGTAGCACTGCACTGAGTACCACATGAATGAATACTTCCAGGTTGAGAGGAGAAACCAAACCCACAAAAGCCTATGCCCTGCTCCTAACACATGTGGATATGAGTGTACACCTAACAATCGCACGTATTAAAAGATATGGGAATATACGGACTCAGAAGCCTGCAACTCATAGGGAATTGGGGATGGTGAGTGGGTGGGTGGCTTGAGAGAGGAGAGTAAGCCAGCATGTTTACTTGAGTTGAAGTTGGTCAGAGTCAGATATTAATGGTGTAGGCTCTGAAAATTATGACTTGCCTGGAGCTCTGGCTCAAGCCCACAGAAGTATTAATAGATTATTTTTAATGTATTTATTTGTTTATTAATTCATTCGGTAAATATTTATTGAACACCCATTCTTACTTAGTAGTATATTAGGCTCTGGGAATACAGTGGTGAGCAAATCAGAACCCATGTCTTCATGGGTTTCATGCCTTCTAGGGAGGCACACAAGAAAATAAGCAAGTCATATACAGGATAAATATTGTTATATTGGAGGTATAAGGATGTTATTAGAGCACACGTGAGCAACCTCCAACTTGGATGGAGGCTTCCTGGAGGTGGTGTCATCTAAGCTGTCATCTGAAGGATGAGAAGAAGTTAAGACAATGAAGGAATGGGGGAGAAAGGGAAGAATGCCAGGCTGAGAGTCAAGGTAGGTAAATGTCCAGAGTAGGGAGAGAGTAAGACAAGTTCATGGAACTGAAAATGGGAGTGGGGAGGAGGGCTAAGATCTGAACTTGGAGAAGTAAATGGGCATTAAATGGTGAAAGGCCCTTGAAAACCATTTTAAGTAGTTTTTGCCTTTTTCTGGGGACAATAGGGAAGTAATGAAAGGATCTTAATCAGGGGAGGGACATCAGGTGATGTCATGGAAAAGTTACTTTGACTACTTGGTTTTGACTCAACTGGTGGGTTTAAGCTGAAGGCAGGGAGATTGGGATAATATTGCCATCATTTAGGCAAAGAATATGGTAGTCTGAACCAGTGTTGCTGTATGAGGGGGTGGATAAATAAATGCACAAAAAGATACTAGAAATCCGAAAACATTTGGTAATTGATCTCTTTCGAGAGGTGAGAGAGGAATCTAGGATAATGCCCACTTTTCTTGCTTGGGCAACTGAGTGATAGTGGAGTTCTTTACTGAAATGAAGAATACAAGAAAAAAGAGCTTTTTTTATTGTTATCGTTAGGATACTGAACAGTTTTCATATACAGTAGCAGGGTGTGCATGACATCCAAAGGTAGGGTGTGCCTAGGAGGCATGTGGGTATACAGACGTATCTGGAATTCAGAAGAGAGAGACCCACTGGATATGTCCATTTTGGAGTTGTCATCAACATATAAATGATCATTGAAGCCCTTGGAACTGGGTGAGTTTATATAACAAGAGAGTATAGAAAGAGAAGAGAGCTTGGAATAGAATCCAGAGGAACCCCAACATATTCCACCCCTCCAGAACAATCCCAATCCACGATGGAGATCGAGGAGTTGCTGGAAGAAATAGGAGGGACACCAGAAGAGTGTGGTGTCATGGAAGCTAAAGGAAGAGGTTTCAAAAAGAAAAAAGCAGTCAGTTTTAGATGGTGCTGAGAAGTCCCCTAAGAGGCAGACTAAAAAATGTCTGTTGCTCTTAGTGACATGGGAGTCGCTGGATATCAAAGGCAAACAGTTTTGGTGTCAGTGGAATGATAGAAGCAGGAGTGGGATTACAGTGGGTTGAGGAGTTAGTGAGCAATTGGGAGGTAGAGGCAACGTGGGTAGGCAGCTCTAGGAGTGGAGGAGGTGGTTAGTTAGACCGATCCAAGCTTAGGGTACAGCAGGCTGGTGAAATTGAAGGATCCCAGGCAGGGGAGTTCAGGAATTGGCCAGAAGTCAGTGGGGAGTTGGACGACGGGCCTTGAAGTGTGGGCCGAATATGAAAGAAGTAAGGAAAGGAAAGGCATTCTAGGGAGATTTTTGAAGATCAAATAATGGGTTTGGTGGGAGTAACTGGATGGGAGAATTTAAAAGGTGGGAATGAGGTTTGAATATAACACTGTAGAGATAGAGCTCTTCTTGGTGATGAAAGACATAGAGTGTTCTCTATAAGCACCTCCTAGAGGGGGCCTAAGTGCAGCTCATGGTACCTGTCTTAGTCTGTTTTGTGCTGCTGTAGCAGAATGCCTGAGAGTGGGTAATGTATACAGAACAAAAATGTATTTGGTTCACAGTTTTGAAGGCTAAGTCCAAGATCAGGGTGCCAGCGTCTTACAAGGGCCTTCTTGCTGCACCACTCCATGGTGGAAGGCGAGAGGGCAAGAGAGAGCAGAGCACAAGAGGGGACTAGATTCATTTTTTCCTAAGGAACCCACTCCCTTGAGAACGACATTAATCCACGCGTGAGGGCACAGCCCCCATGACCCAAACACCTCCCAAGAGGCCCCACCTCCCAACACTGCTGCATTAAGATCAAGTTTTCAACACAGGAACTTTGGGGGACACATTTAAACCATAGAAGTACCTAAGTTAAAACACCACAGCCCACTGATTTAAATATCTGTACCCCACACCCTTCTTCACCCAGCCACTGGATCAGTGTTCTAAGCAGCTACTGTTTCTCCATCCCCTAATCATGTGACACTGTGATAGACATTGTTCATATATTATCTCTAATCTGCCCAGCAACCTTGCATGGTGGGTACTATAACTCTAATACAGAAAGGAAACTAAGACCCAGAGATACTAAGTGATTTGCATATGATTATGTAGTTAGTAAATAAATGGAAGAGTCAGAATTTGAACCCAGGTGTGGTCTGACTTCAACACCGAGGCTCTTTGCTTTGTACTTCTCAGACTGTAAGCTTCTTGGGGCCAAGAAGTATTTTCTTATCATTGTGTAGCCTCAGGGTTTGATTCCTATACAGAATTGGGACTCAAGAAATTTGAGGTGCATGAGTGAGTCAGTAAGTGAGTAACTGAGTGAGGGGTACATAAAGTAACTCTCTAATGCTGTTCCCCAGGGGAAATAAAGCACCACCACCCAAAGAGAGAAATGAAGAGCACTGGACAGAAGAAAGGAAGAGCAGAAAGATTTGGCCATCAAGCGATGCTGGTGTTGGGTAGCTAGAACAGAGGTGTCTCTCTTCACTACTGTTTCTAACCAGGGTGCTGGACAGCCTGTGGTTGGCCTGAGAGAGTCAGCCCTAAGGCCTCCATCTGCCCCAGCATCAACCCCAGGCTCCAGAGCTGTCAGGCAGTGGCCCAAAAACTCCAGAGGAGGAGCTGAAAGGGGAGGTACCTAAGAAACAAAACCCACATGGGAGGAGAGAACCCCAAACCACGAAGTGACATTCTACTTCACGTTTCCTTTTAGTGTCGGCATCTGAGGCTGGGGTTTCTCTCCAGACCCTCCTTCAGAGTGCCCAGGGTTGGCGTGTCTGAATGTGTGAGAGTGTTGGGAGGGACCACGCTGCCCATGAGGAGCATGCACACCACCTGACATGACCTTGAACTCCAGCCAGATGCCTACCAGACACTCGTCTTCCTTCCCTGAAACTGATTTATAGAATCAGGAGAGCAACCTACTTGAAAGGAGGGTAGTTCCAGATGTGGGGGTAATGGGAAATGCTAGTGGGCAATGTGCTCTTTTATTTTACTATTTTTCTTTATCATATCATATTCCTCTCTCTCCCTCCCCAAATAGCAAGAAGGACAGTATCTTCCTTCCAGGCTTTAAAATCCCTTGCGTGCAGCCTGACGTTGCCTAAAAGCCTCTCCCTCAGGCCTACGGACTCCCTCTCATTGCTTGCCTATTCAGTAAGCCTATAAATTTACTGTCCCCTGTCCACCACCATCACCACCAGCCTGTTGTGGCAGGGAAGGTGGCCTGGTGAGCCCAGTGGACTCCAGCAGGACTGCAGCAAGGCGATACTGCTTTGTGCAGCAGCCGGAGCAGCGCTGTCCCTGAGGTCTGCAGGAAAGTCCTGGGGCCCAGGAAGACAGTGGCCCATCACCCCCAGTATTGCACATCAGGTATCCCCCACCTGTGTGCACCATGCACACCCCCACCATCCACCTCCTGGGCCCCATGTGCTGGGGGAAGGTGTGGTCAGCAGACAGGGGAGGATGTCATGCTGACGGAGCCCCTTAGAACAATAGGAGCTTCACAGGATCACAAAGCCTATCCCCCCTCATGTTACAGAAGAGTTGAAGTCCAGAGAAATCAAATTCATTTGTGCAATCCTTTATCCATCTATTCGTCCTTCTCTCCATCCAATAAATATTCATTGAACACCTGTCAGAACCAAGAGATAGAGTGCTGTATAAGAGAAGTGAGGTCGCAGCTCTCATGCAGCTTTCATTCTGACAGGTGGGGAAGACAGTAAACCTTGAACTTAAAGCAAGTCTCTAAGTCTTGTGGGTGTCACAGCTGAAGACTAAGGCTGGGCCTCCTGTAGTGTCCTTTGCAAGGCCCCATACTCCCTGCTTCCTGGGAGGCCAAGCATTTAGTTTGGCTCTCCATTGCAGATGGAGAAGTTTGAGGGAATAAATACCAGTTTGGACTAGATACTTCTGGGCGGCAGAAGGGTACAGGTAGTTTCAGACCAGGATTGGTTTTTAATTTTTTAATTTTGGTAAATTATATGTAATGCAAAATTTGCATTTTTAACCATTTTAAGAGGACAATTCAGTGGCATTAAATACATTAGCATTGTCATGCAACCATCAACACACACTGTATCTCCAGAACTCTTATCATCCCGTAAAACAGAAACTCCGTACCCATTAAACACCAACTCCCCATTCCTTCCCTGACTCCTAGACAGGGATTCTTAACTTTTTTGTGCCATTGGCTCCCTGGGCAGTCTGGCGAAACCCCTGAACTCTTCCTCAGAATCAGGTCTCTAAATGCAGAAAGTAAAATACATAGGATTGTCATGGAAACTTGAAATACAAATATCAAAATATTTTTTAAAAACCATTTGTAATATAGAAATATGTGTGATTCTTTGTTATCCCATTAACCAATAACATCAGGCTGTAATTGAATAACTACCATATTTTTGCGGGAGTGGCTTGCATAGATGATATTTTGAGATGACTGCAACATTTCTAGTGCAGTGTGAAAATACCTGTAAAGTCTACCGGTGACCAAGTAGTTACCAGTACTGCCCATATGACTTGCTGGTTGCTTATATTCCTAATGGAAGGAGCCACTGAATTTCAGTTGGAGGTTGGTGAAAATAAAGATGTCACTTTTTTCCCCTCTCTGAGTTCACCAATCTCCTGAATTCTGTCCCTGGACAGCTTAGGGGTTCCGTGGACTCCAGGTTAAGAAGCCGTGCCTAGACCTGAGCTCACTCCCCTTTTCTGCCTAGAGGGGCAGTGCACAGTGCACGGGGCTGGGAGCGTGTTGATACGTAGGATGTCGTGAGTGAAGCAGTCCCTTTGCAGGGCATCACAGGAGCCCAGCCAAGGGGAAAAGGTGCCCCCACTCTCCCCAGGCCGCCAGCCTGCTGTCTGAGGTGGGCGGGGCCGGTGCCCCCTAGAAGTGTGCCTTCTGGCAGCTTCCCCCGCCCCCTTCCACCCTCTTGTCCAAGGGCTCAATGCAGAAGGGAGCCATATGGTCCTTTGTGGACACATTTTCCCTAGTACAGTATCTTCCTGGTGTGAATGCAGGCCTGGCGGGCGCCCTGGTGTCAGCTGTCCCTCCCCTTCCCTGGCGCCCCATCCCCCATAGCCAGCCCAGAGAGTAGCAGGTTGTGGGGAGTCGGGGAGCCCTGCAGAGTCGGGGTGAGTAAGGAGTCTTTCAGTAACACCCACACACACACTCACACAGAAAACTGTGGAAGTGAAGTCAAACGTCTCAAAGTCAGATCCCTTTTTGGTATGAATTTGCTGTGTCTCATTCTGGGCACTAATTCCAATTTAATTGCGAGTGGCCTGAAGCCTCTTCAATAGGAGTAACAAATGGTTTGATTTTGTAAACTTCATCAGACTGCATTTTAAATGCGACACAGTAGCCCAACTCGAATGCCAATGAAGCACTGGAGTAGCTCTCTGTTTACTAATTATCCGTTTTTACTCCAAGCCACGCTGGCTGGCTTGTCTGATTAAATCGGATTTGTGGGATAGAGAACAGCTAGCAGAGTTTTCTCTATAGTAAACGAGATTGAAACTATGGGCCGCCTGGCTGCACACTGTAAATTATATTTCCTTTTAAAGGGGACGTGTCTCTTTTATTTCTCTGTCATCCCTCCTGCATATTAAACTTTACGGTACAGAAGTATACCCGGCTGCTTCTAAATCCAGCCTCTCACCCTCTACCTGGTAGCCCACTCTCACTTTCTGTGATTTCTGTCTCCTTCTCTGAAGGACTGGAAAGGAAATTCGTAGCTACGTTCTCTGCTCCTTTATCTTTTTAACCCTTTTCTTTTCTTCCTCTTTATTCTGGAATTGGCTTTTCATTATTCCATTATTTTCAAAGATACCTGTGATGACATGGATGCTTAGAAACTATATTGAGTTAGCTAAAAGAGAGTTCTGGCAACAGAATTTACCAGGACCTAACACAGACTGGGTTTTAGCTTTTTAGAAGGATGTGAAGATGGGTGGTATTGGGCCGGGGCAGGCAGGGGTTGGGCATGAATTGGTAATGATAGTTTGAATTGTGAAAAAAGAGTCAATTTCTGAAAAATCAAATGTGTTCCTTTGGTTCACCTGGAATGATGAAATCCCTTCCTCTGAACGCAGTGAAATCAGAATCACCTGATTTCTACCTGTGGCCCAGCGGAGAAGGCCGTGGGGCAGGTGTTGGAAGGGTGAACGTTGGTGGTCCCGCCCTCTCGGTTGAAGCCCAGGTTGGGGCAGTGGGTGTGTCCTCTTTCTACTCCCTGGCTGGTTCTGGGTCTGACGTAGAGCTCCTGGGCTCGATTTATTGTTTATTCCTCTGACCCTAGGAAGGCAAAACAACCTCTGTCCTTGGTCCTTCCTGTAATGTGCACGTGCATGTGCAACACACACATGCACACACATGCAGGTACATGAAACAAACGCAAGGAGCCCTGAATCAGGTGTAATCAGGCTGTGCGTACATTCTGCCGTTGCTAAGACCAACTCCATGAGCTCGACCTGCCCTGCCCTCATTCTTGGTATCTATGTATGCTCTGGGAGCTTTTTTATATTTTAATTTGCTTCTGAATGTCCTGCAGAATTAACAGTATCTGTCTGCACTTTTCCCTTTTTGGCTATTGTGTGCCGTACAGTACGGGAAGGCCGCATGGTGTCTCTGATATTGATAGCCTGGTTACCGTGGGAATGAATGGCCACCACACTCTCAGGCCCACAGCCCTCCTTTTAATTGTTGACAGTAAAAAGCATTTAAATGCTGCTTAATTTGTAATCATCTTCTGTGGGGGGGGGGCGGGAAGGAGAGGAGCCATTAAAATGTCAGTAAAATGAATACATCCTCTCCTTTTTTGTTATTTTGTTTTGCTTATTTATATGGGGTAGTTTTTCTTTTCATTGCCCAGTGTTTGGGAGATATTTAAATGGCGCTGAAACAATCAGTATTTCGTTTTATTTTGAATTTCTGTCTCGCCCAACCCCTGCTCCCCTCCCCACTCCATTCTGTCTCCCTGGGCCTTTGTCTTGCCTCTGTCTCTCTCTCTTTTCTGTCTGGGTCTCCTCCTGCCTCCTGCCTCTGCCTCCACCTCCCTATCTCTGGAATACATTGGGGTTTACTGGAAATTTTACATGAGAGCCTAGCTGAGGTTTTTGGGTTTTTTTCCCCCAGAGAACCTACTCCTGGGCTGCAGTTTCTCTGCAGGGGCCTCAGGATGACTTTGGGAATGTCTGAAACTAGAGAGAGTGACCATCTATAGAAAGCATCTTTTACATGTGAAGTATACTGGAGATGAAAGAGTCCTGGGGATAACTTATTGTTCAGACAAGGAAATTGGGTCTTACCTTCACGTGGAAACTCCGTGCCTCCCGTGAAGCTCTGGACACACAGCCAGAATGTAAATGCCTACTATGTGTTGGACACTGTGCTCTTGTAATGAAACTGCTAGATTCAGAGGGTCTGGTTCTCTGACTTGCTCTCTATATGGGCTTTCTTGGGGGTCTTCTCTATCATTCTGCTGCTGGGGGCTTGGGAGAGAAAGCTCCCCCTCCATATTCCCCACCCCAACTGCTCAGCCCTCACCTGGCACAGAGAGGCTTCAGGTACTCTCAGACCCAGCTACTCAATAATTGCCTCTGTGAGTGTTCAGCCAGTTCTAGGAGGTCTTAAGCTGCTAACTGGTAGTCCCCTAGAAAAGGGACCTAGAGGTTCTCTCAAGTCCTGTGAAATTTTCCCATCTTCCTAAAAATCCCCATCTCACAGTGCTGCTTGAGAAAGGTTGAACCTAGATTGGCACCCAGCAGGTGCCCAGTCAATGTTGGATCCTTTCTTTGCCTTGTCTGTGACTGTCCCTCTGTCAGCCTAAGAATGTGGTTCCTTTTAGTTAAAGAGATTCTCTTTAGCTAAAAGAAGGCTGTGAAGTCTGACTTTGAAAGAGAAAATGCTGACGTCCATCTCAGTGGGAGAAAGGACCATTCAACCTGCCAGCACCCTCTTCAATAGAATTGTTGAATATTAGAGTGGAGAAAAACCCTTTAAGGATCACTTATATCCCTCTTCATTTTACTGTTGAGGAAACTGAGGCCCAGAAAGGTCTAGTAACCCACCCAGGAGTGCACAGCGAGTTAGTCACTGAGCCAGGACTTGAGGCCAGGTTTTGTACTCTTGTTCCTGTTCAGTTGGGAGTCTGCAGTAAAAAGCCACGTGAGGGCAAGAGGATGGCTGGGATGTGAAGATCCTGGCCTGCCCTTTCATGCTCCGTCCCGATGTTCCCCCACCCGCTTTGGGGCTTCTTTTCCTGGAAGCCTCTAAGATCAGCTGAATTCGAGACCAAGGGACCCATATTTCTTGCAGTGCTCATGCAACCTTGCAGAGGGTTACAGGCAGAATACATGCCAGGGAATGGACTTAGGAAGAAACTGATTGTAGCTTTTGGTTTATTTGCTACCCACCTACCCCCAAATGCAGGAAGTAGGGAGCCCTTTGGCTTTAGGAACCCTGAGAGTAAACAGGTGCCTGTCTCTCTCCTTTGAACTTCATTTCTACAGAACAAGCAGTGTAGAGAAACCGAGGAAAACAGTTCTCTGCATCTTGGGAGAAGTTGTTGAGCACGGGGCCCTCAAGTCGGCACCCTGCCTACTTGCTCCATCCCACAGTCCATCATTCTCCCAGCCTGATCCCATCTCAGAGGCACCTCTCTGCCAGAACGGGCAGTCCCTGAGAGAGGCTTCCACATCAGATGCCCCACCCAGGGTTGGGCTGGGTTGGGTTGGGCTGGGCTAGGCTAGGCTTGCTCTGCAGAGCTGGGCTAGGTTAGGCTACTGCAAGCTGCCCTTCTCCTCTCTGGGTTGTTGAAGTTGGTCCGATTTTTCAATCGTGGGCCAATTAGTTTCACAAATGGGGGCCCCCGTGGTGCCAGGGCACATTTGTTCCGGGCCTGCGCACTGGCCAGGCCCCATTGTTCTGCCTCCCACCCCCATGTGGGCCCATTGTCCTCGCCCCCAGCGGGTGCTGCTTACTGCTGATTTATACGGGCAGGCGTCCTGCGGGCTCCAGGCTTCTCTGCCACAGCTGGCGGAGGTGCTTAAGGCCTTGGACCCCGTGACCTTTGCCCTAGTCCTGCTGTCATTTTGAAAGTTACAGACCAGAGGGCTGCATACCTCTCCGGATTTACTTTCCACCCCAACTCATCCCCGGCCCCACCCACTCTACTGCACATACGCATGCGCGCGCGCGCGCGCACACACACACACACACACACACACACACACACACACACACACACTCTCTCTCTCTCACACTCCCTTTCCTTCTTCCTCTGCTTGCTCTTGGAGAAGTTTTAATTCATTCTGGAATGTCTGGAAGGGTCCAGCCACTGGACTGGAAACCAAGAAGAAGGAGCTGCTGGGGCAGGTGGGAGGTACCAGCGGAGGATATTAGTCTCTGCTGATGTGCTTGGAAGCAGCTACTTCCCGGAATGTGGTTTTTAATCCTCGGATTCATTAGTTCCATATCTGATGCTGGGAGGAAGGGAGGAGGATGTTGCTGTCGGTGTGGCACTGCCAGGGAATCAGGACTTGATTTGGCTTCTTGCAACTTAACATGCCCCCTTCCTGCCAGAGGCCCCTGCACCCTAGAAAGGGCAACGCAGCGTAGGAGGTAGATTGAATGTGAAGGTGGTTTTGTAGCCCAGTACGAAAATGCAGATCTTGTCCCCTCTTAACCCGTTTATTCTCTCTCTCCTTGCAAACCAAACTTCTCTCCTCCTTTTTTTTTAAAACCTCCTTCCCTTTTTTTATCCACCCCTTTTCTTGTCCCCCTCCCTCATTTTCTCCCCCTCTTGGGCTGGTTTGTTGGAGTGATTGACAAAATTAGTAAATCCATTCATGTTACTTTTATTGTGCAGGTCTCAATAAATCCCCCATGTCCAGGGCGCACCTTAATGAGCTAGTGAGCTGACAAATTTGTTTACTGTAGCTGGAGGTGCCGAGTAATGAAATGCACTTGTGTCTGCAGCTCACTGCTAAACAAATACACGGTTTTCCGGGAGCCAGCTCTGCTAGCTGCTGCTGCCTGAGGACACAGCCACATTCCCCAAGAGACTGAAAGTTGTATGTGTGCATATGTTTTGAAAAATGTAATCACTCTCTCATCCATTGCTTAGTTTTAAAACAAATCTGAATCAGCTGCTCAAACTCCTCCCCTTTTTTGTTATGCAATGAAGATGCTTTTGCTCCCTTGACTGACGGTATTGAAACCGTAACATTCCCCTTTTCTCTTGTGGAAATGGAATGTCATACAGATGTATAGATGCCTTCCATGATTCTACGCAGATAAGAAAGGAAGGAAAAAGGGGCAGAGAGGGCTGGATAAAGAGACCTAAATTTGACAAGGACGAAATTGACAAGTGATGCTAAGGTTTTTGGCTCTTAGCTTGGTTTGGGAAGATGTAACTGAACGCCTCAGCAGTGGGTGACTCTATATGCAGGAGACAAACACCCATGCATGAGCTCAAAGCTAATTGAGTTTGAGACAAGTCTTCCAAGATGGTATCTTTGTGTATTCTACCCCAGTAAAAGGAACTGGGGAACTTGTCTCCCACTCACCAGCAGCTGATTGGAGTTTCCAGGGTTCGGTGGGCTGATTTGGCCTTCATTGCCCACATAGCTAGCCTTCTGAGGAACGCCAGGAGTACAGTAGTGCATCCCTAATGATCCTGAAACTCATGCCCAAGAGGAAAACCAGAGAACTAAAGAGAGGGCTCTTGGCCATTTGTCCAGTAGATTCCTTGAAAAGGAGGTGAGTCCTAAATGATAGCACAGGGGAAGTCAAAATGGAGGAGCCACTCAGATTCAAGGGCTGGACTTTGTTCCTTTCTGTCTATTCCTCACCCCACCCCAGCCTTCTCCATCCTTTTAAGATGCAGACAGAGCCTTCCTTCCTTGGGTGGGAGTCAGCCTGATGCTGCTTGCCTCTGCCTCTCTTTCTCTCTTGCCGAGTGGATGGTACAGCCCTGCTACCTTTTTCAGCAGCAACCTGGGGGCAAAGGGAGGAGAAGATGGGCGAAAGGAAAAGGCGTCAGTTTATATGATGGTTTGAGTGTGTGGTCACGAAGGTTGCCCATGCTGGAGATGGTGTCTTAGGAAAGAGTAATCCCCCAGGATGTCAGAGGGAGCAGAAAGACATATCTGAAGGATTTGGGGGCTGGGGGTGGAGGGAGGGGGAAGTTTCTAGTTTAAATCAAGGTTTTCACACCCTCCTAAATTTGATATTTTCTTTCTGTGGGGAGAAGAAGCTTTCGGGGTGGCAGGGGAGGCAGTCCTTCCTTTGTTGGGTGAGGTTGGGTAGGATTGGACGTGAGAAGCCCCTCCGGGGTACATGTGCATGCACGAGCACACACGGGCATGCACACACCCCAGCACATGCACACACAGCAGTCCCAGCCTGCTTACCAAAAAAAGCTGGAGTATATTTAGATCCCTCTGCTCCTTTGATTAAGAAACTGCTTATAGCAGGAGATAATAAGAGCTTTGCTCCAAGAAGGTGTAGCACCTGAACATCTTCTCCAGCTGTGTACCCCTCTGATCCTCTTCCTTCCCATCTATTAAAGAGATAATTGGTATGGAAATGGCACAGGTGTAAACATGAGGGGTTTTGTGTTTCATAATTTCAGACCCCGTCATCACCTGGGTGAAATACCCTAGGTCTGTGTCACCCCTTCTGCCTACTATTCCACCCTGGCCTGGCTTTCTCCCTTTCTCTCTCTTTCTTTCTTTCCCTCTCCCTTCCTTTCTTTCTTTCTTTCTTTCTTTCTTTCTTTCTTTCTTTCTTTCTTTCTTTCTTTCTTTCTTTTCTTTCTTTCTTTTCTTTCTTTCTTTTTCTTTCTTTCTTTCTTTTCTTTTCTTTCCTTCCTTCCTTCCTTCCTTCGTTCCTTCCTTCCTTCCTTCTCCTTTTTTTTTTTTTTGCTAAAATTAAGCTTGTTTTAAATTGGAAGACTTTGAGTCATACATGCCCTGTAGTCAAAACTGGCAGTGTTGCCACTGGGGGGTCTGGTGTGGGTCACCTTCTCTGGAGATAGAATTGATGCAAATGTGGTCCCAGATATTTGCATGGATCCTGCCCATATTACTAAGAGTCATGTTCCTTGAGTCTCGATAGCATCATCCTTTCTACATGCATCCCCTTTTCCTACTTCAGATTCCCTTTGAGCAGATACCCTGGGAGTCCAGGCTAAGACTGAGTCCCATTCATTCTTCAGAACAGCAGAGGTGCTAATTCCTTGACCTGAAAAATTATTTTCTTGGGTCAAAGCTGACTTATATATCTGATTTACATTGAAATGTACAGATTGATAGAAAACAATACATTTTTAGGATTTACATAATCAAAAACATTTGTCAGTTGCATCATAACAGGGCTATGAAGTTAGGGTTGGAAAGGGCAGGTTAGTTATGAATTCTCTTATCCTAGATGAAGAAACCAAGGTTAAGGACAACCACTGCCTGGACTAGGATCACAAATCCAAGAAGGGCTGTACCTCTGGGCCAGAATTGGGATCTTTGGACTGTTTCACTGTATAATATGGCAAAACTGATCCTTCTATGGTCTGGGTTTTTGCTTCCGAGCAACAGAGCTCAGACATGGAGTGACAACGAAGGAGTCCTGTCCAGCCCACCAGACAGACACGGGGGGCCTCAGTGAGATCCGCTGCCTGTGGGTCACTTGTCATTACTGATTTCCAAGGAGAGTCTTGTTGGATGCTCTTAGTAGTGGTTTCATTTGTGGACTGTAGTCTGAACTTTCCTCATCCCTAGCCCTCTGTCTGTACCATGACTCTCCTCATACCTCCTCCTCTACCCTTTGTGATTGTCTTACAACCCCTTATTTATTTTCTAATTCAACATGCAGTTATTAAGTGCCTACTCCATATCAGGCTGTGTACTGTGTGTTGGGGAATATAAAGATGAATACAATAGTTCCTACTTTGGAGGCTTATAATCTATTAGGCAGAGCTGAAAGTCCAAAATAAATGCAATACAGGGCTTTACGTGATACAACAGAGCTCAGAGGAAGATGGTGTTGTTGGCACTGAATCCTAAGTGGTGTAACTCCTCAAAGATGCCTTCTCTAGGGTCAGCTTCCCAGAAAGTAGCAGCCCAAAGACAACAAAACAGCTTAGGCATGTGTATTGTGCAGGGCTGCCATGACTCATGATCCAGGTCGTTCACTGCACAAGGGTGCCCAGCTGAGGAGGGAAGATCCCAAAACCCTGCCCTCTCTGTACTCACCATAAATATGCAGCCAGGTCTGTGGGGCTGGCCAGAGGAGGAGACGTGATTTTCTAATTCAGATGAAGGTGTTGTTTGGCCATCATTGGCTCTGTGACCACATTATAAAGTTTTTTCGTGTGGATATCTCATTCGATGTTCTTGATAACCACAGTGGCAGATAAGGAGCAAATGGATCTGGTGAAAAGAATGACTTGCTCGGGGCCACAAGGCAAGTATGTGGGAGAGCTGGGACCCCTGTGCTGCTTTTCCTTCCCCTGTGTCATGTGGACCATCTGACTTCTGAGGGTCTCGTTTATCCAGTCAGAGCACCTCCCCTCTCCCCAGTGGTACCAGGCCTGACGTCTCTCCATAGCAGAGGACGGAACCCAGGCGTTGAAGGGAGCAGAGCGTTCCAGTGCTGCCGGGCCCCCCTGCCCCGCCGCACATCTCACTGCAGCTAATGAATTGCTAATACAATTTTCTAGATAATTTTATTTCCATAGTCCCACATTTTAATGTGTTTCCAAAAGCTAGCATTTATTTGCTTAATCTCCCAGTGTAATAGAATCTGCCCTGACTCATCATACATGCGAACAATCAGCTAGGCTGAAACGCCAGCAAATTGTTTAATAACTCACATCTAGTCTCTAGATTTTTAACTCGCATGCACCAATAGCTTTTCTTGTGTCTCATCCACATCTCCCCCACTTTTCCATTTTTTTAAAAATACTTTTCTATCATCATAGCTGTTAGTTTCTAAGCAGAAAAATGGGGAAAGTGGATGCTGAGTCTCAGAGGCTCCCCTTTCTTCCCCTGGGAGCCTTGGTTGGTGGATACGTGACCAAGGAGCACCCCTGCACCTTGTGGAATGTCCCAGGAAGGGGAGAGAGACCACTGTAGGGACATCATAGTGTTTCCTTTCCAGCTGGTGACCATATGACTTCCAGCCTGTTGGCCAGTTGTGGAACTGGCCATCTGGGATTTTTTGCGTGCCACTCCTCCCTTGCTGTCCCACCTTTCTAGGATTTTCTCTCTCCCTTTGCCCTGGCAGCCTCTGCCCTGGTCTGGTCCCTACCCTCCTCCAGTGGCCCATCAGCCCTCTCGCTGCTTCTAACCGCTTGCTGCTGCTGTTGGTCCCCATGTGTGCCCAGAGTCACTGGCTTCAAACACAGGTCAGATCGTGCTAGCACCACTCGTCTTAGTCAAGTCAGGCTGCTATAACAAACTGCCACGGACTGGGTGGCTTATACACAGCAGACATGCATTTCTCACAGCTCTGGAGGCTGGGAAGTCTGTGATTGGGGTGCCAGCATGTTCAGGTTCTGGTGAGGGTCCTCCTCCTGGTTGCAGACTGCTGATTTCTCGGTGTCCTCACGTGGTGGAAGGGGCTAGCTAGCTCTCTGGGCCCTCTTTTACAAGGACACTCATTCCATTTTAATTACCTAATTATCTCTCCCAGGCCCCACTTCCTAATACCATCACCTTAGGGGTTAGGATTTCAAAAAAGGAATCAGAGGGGGACCCAGACATTAGGATCATAGCAACCCTCGGTCCTTTCATGGCACTGCATTGCCTGTAGAATAAAGTCCAACCTGTCCTGCCTGGCATATGCAGCCCTCTGATCTGACTCCCATCACCCTCCCAGCTTGTCTCCATCCCCAGGGCCTGACCTTGGCCCCATCTGCTCTGACATTTGCCAGTGGTGTCTCTCTCCTTAGCCTGGCACATGTGTCCCAACTTCTTGTCCTTTGCTTCTCAGATACTCAACTTTTAAAAGCCTAACTCAAAATCTCAGGAGCTCTTGGAGTCGCCCTGCCTTACCCTCTGGGTGGTTGTTAACTCAGCATCTCCCACTAGTCTGGGACCCAGTTTCTCTGCTCAGCCTTAGCCTGCCCCTGGTCACCTAGCACAGTGCCTGTACTTGGTAGTGGCTCAGTGAGTTGGCTGAATGGACATGAAGTGGGTTCAGGCCACCCTGAGAAGTAGGGACAGCATAGTGGGGCAGTATCGAGGGGCCTTGGAAAGGCCAAGGGGGCAGAGTGCTGCAGTCTGCCTTGCTGGGTGTATTGACACTCAGAGCACCTGTGGGTCTGGCTGTATAGGCTGAGATGTCCTATTGGGAATGCCATTCATGTTCCCTCTGCCCAGGTTCCTTCCATGCCGGGGATCTCAGAGGATGCATAAGGAGAAGCCTTGGCTCTTAAAGGGCATGGCTGGCCTCCAAAGCCTACTCAACCCTACTGATTTAAGGTAGCTGTTTGAACACCTGGCTTAATTTGGGCTCTCTGTGGGGTGGGGGTTAAGGGCAGAGAGGGAGTAGATGCTGGGGGCTCTCAAGTTGAAGGAGTGGGGGCCACCGGGCACAGAACGCATTGCAGATGCACTGTCCTCCTGTGTACGTCGGCCAAGCAGGGAGGGACATTGAAGACTCACTGTCAACTCTTGGCATTGCTTCTGTCCAGAAAGATACATCTCTCATTATGTCTCCCTCCAGCAAGTGAAGCTGAGTAGACTACTCAGCATTTCTGAGAGACCTTGGTGGCTCCCAGTGGGATTGGAAGGCCTCAGAGAGCTATGCCTTGTGACCCAGCCCCAGCTACTGCCCACTCCTGGCCAGGGGTTCTCTAGCCATTGCTGGAGCTGTACTAGAGGCAGGAGTCCTCTGTACCATCCTTACTGGGCCTCTTCCAGGGTAAGCCCAGACAGGCGGGCAGTCAGCTCCAGAGGTAGCATTGAGTCCAGCCCCGTGGTTTCTGAAAGACAAACCGAGATATTTTCAGATCCCAACTCTGCCTCTTTCTGTGTGATCTTAGGCAAGTTATTTAATCTCTCTTTTACACTGGTAAAAAGGGGGATAAGAATGCCTGCCTTGTAGGATTGCAAGTTTTAAATGAACTGACAACATAGATAAGGTACCTAGCATAACGCCTAGATTCGCTCCCCTTCCTTCCTGCTTTTTGTTGGCCAGGAGCAAAATCCTGTGCTGGCTGTTTTTCTCCTTCCCTGCTCAGCCTTCCTGACTGCTGGTGAGATGGGGCGTGGCTCCAGGTGCTTAGACTTCAGTGTCTGCAAAGGGAAGGGATATCAGGGTGGGTGTGAGGGGCACAGAAGTGTGGGGGACAGTGAGAGGTGGGCCTTGCCTGCCTACTAGTCCATCCTAACCCAGCCATGAGTGGGACGGAGGTGGTGAGGACCAGACCTCTCACTTGCTATCTCCATTGATGGCCAGGAAGGCAGGGAGGTTCTTCGTGCCATCCCTTCTCTTCCCCCTACCTTCCACCAGACACTTCCCGATTCCATGCTGAGCAGCCCATGGCTTCCAGCAGCCAAAGCTTTACCCCCTCCCCCCACCCACTCTGGACTGGACTGACAGATGCTAGGCCTACTTACGTTTCCTGCTTGTGCCTTCCCACACAGGGGACAGCGGTGTGGGGCCAAGTGCAGGTGATATTGCCCAGGCACCAGCACAGAGACACACAGATGGGCCTGCCGGGGAGCTCCTGTGCTCAGGAAAACAGAGCCCAAAAGGGTGGGCACTGAGCTGCCAGTTAGGACTCAGACACAAGGTCAGATACTTCCTCCTGTGGTGCTGCAGCTGGAAATTTCGGCCATGGCTCCAGAGCAGTGTCAGAAAGGGATTGGTAACAAACAGAAAATGGCAGCCTGTATGTGTGGGGTACTTTGGGGATGAACAGCCAGTTAGAATTAAATGAAAATCTCACATCACTCGCTAGCTTTCAATCCTTTGACAGTTGCCCATCGGGTTTAGGATGGAACTAAATCTCTTGACGTGGTTTGCAAGACCCTGCATGGCCTGGCCCTTGCCTTTCCCTTTAGCCTCCTCTTCTTCCCCAGCTGCACTGCACCATTCCTCTGTCTGATCCTCCCACCGGCCATGTTTCCTCCTGGCCCAGAGTGTTCACAGACACTATTCCATCTTCCGGATTCCGCCATTCACCTGGTGTTCTGGGTAACGTCGGTCATGAGAGCAGGGACTTTGCATGCTCTTCCTTGGTTATATCCCCAGTGCCAAAAAGACAGCCTTGCTTGTAGAAGGCATCAAATAATACTTGTTGAGTGAATGGACCTAAGATTCATGCTTTAGTGAGTGGAGAAGTAGTTAAAAAAAAAAAACAAAACAGGATCTGTAGCTAGTCTTGGGAAAGCATTAAAATCTAGGGTGTGTGAGTGTGAACCCCAGCCCTGCCACTTACGAACTCTATGGCAGGAGTCCCCAACCCCCGGGCCATGGTCTGTGAGGAGCTGGGCTGCACAGCAGGAGGCGAGCGAGTGAAACTGAGCTCCGCCTCCTGTCATATTAGTGGCGACATTAGATTCTCACAGGAGCATGAACCCTATTGGGAACTGTGCATTCAAGGGATCCAGGCTGCACACTCCTTATGAGAGTCTAATGATAAATGTAATGTGCTTGAATCATCCCAAAGCCATCCCCCAACCATACGTGGAAAAATTGCCTTCCATGAAACCAGTCCCTTGTGCCAAAAATGTTGGGGACCACTGCTCTGTGGGATTTTGGCCAAAGTACTTAATCTCTCTGTGCCTCAGTCTCCTTGTCTAAGGGATGAGGATAACAGAGGCTAGCTTTTTGAGTTTTGGATTTATATTAGTTATGTTAGAACAATGGCTGGCCCATAGTATCTTTGTTATTGTTTTTTCTCGCAGGGTCTACCTTGCCTCCCCCACTTTTTGCCCTGTACTCTGTGAAGTCCATCTGGTATATGCTGTCTTAGTACCTTGCCGCCTTTTACATACCACCCGACACAGTTGCCCACTACCCTTGCTGCTGCGATGTATTTGATCAATGTCTATCCTTTAGCTTTAGCTTCCAGAGCTCGGGAACGACGTCGATTTTGCCCATCACTGGGGCCACATACTGGGTGCTCAGTGTTGCATAGCCTGGGCCCACTCTGGATTTGCCCCTGAGCATGGGGATTTGGAGGTGTGAGTCCCGACACTGGCTCTCACTCCAGATGGGTAAAGAATGCACCTTGTATTCCCACCTTTCTGAGGCACCCCCTCTCCTGTCTCCCACAGGCACTGACATGGCCGTCTTCTGTCTGCTGTGTGGGAAGCGCTTCCAGGCGCAGAGCGCACTGCAGCAGCACATGGAGGTCCACGCGGGCGTGCGCAGCTACATCTGCAGTGAGTGCAACCGCACCTTCCCCAGCCACACGGCTCTCAAACGCCACCTGCGCTCACATACAGGTAGGTCAGTCCAGCTGATGGGTGGATCTGGGTCTCTGGGAGCCAGCGTCTATATTTACCTCCAAGGACGTAAAGTGGAGGTGGTGGGCTGAGTCAGCCTTCAGTCCTTCTGCTCAAGGCTTGGACGTGCAGAGGCTGCCCGTCGTGCAGGTAAATGTGGACAGTTCTCCCAGTCCCCTCCTGTGGACCGTCGGTTCAAAGTCTTTCCGTGTTCAACACAGGATGCTCATTAAAAAGGCAGGCTCTTGGGTCCCACTCTCAGAACCTTTTATTCCATGGGTCCAGGGTGGGGTCCCAGATTCAGCATTATTAATATGTATTCCCAAGGGATTCTCATGTAGGTAGACCCAAAATGAATTTTGAGAAAAACTGACCTGCTGGGTCTCTTAACATTGTCTGCCCTGCCTCCCACCACTCTTGATGCCCCGCCGCTCTATCCATACACATTTCTGAAGTCAGCTTCGGGCTTCTGAGGGCAAGTTGAAGCAGTGATCCTACTTTCCCCACAGTAACAAAGGCCTGTACTTGGACCTTAACCCTGTTTAGGGAAGACAAGGAGGGCATTTAAACGATGAGCAATGAAATATCACTGCTCAGCCAGTTCCAGGTGATGGGACAAGGGAGGGGGTACAAGGTAAGGAGGCTGGGCCAGGTGCTGAGGGGCTGGCCATTCCCTGCCACCAGCCTCTAGGGCTTGAGGGATGGGGACACTTGGTCCCTGATGGCCAAGAGGCATTTGCTTTCCTGCAGCAGCTCCCAGTTTTCCCTAACAGGGGAGTGGATGGCTTAAATTCCTTATTTTCTCTATGACAAAACTGGGGCTCTGCTGAAACTACCTGGTTAAAGGAATGCCCATTTCTGAGTCTGCCTTTGTGTGCTGTGTTTGTAGGGAGGGTTGGGGTCAGGTCTCTATCTGGGTATATAACAGAGCGTATACTTGTAAAAACCTCTGCATGCCACGTAAAGGAACAGTAGGCCCTCTCCTCATTTTGAGAGTCTTGTCACAGCTCAGAGATTGAGTATGCAGACCAGGTCTTGCATGGGTGGCAGGCTCTGCTAAATAAGGGAAGAGCTTTACTTCTCATGGACTGAGCTGGCCTGGCCAGCCAGCAGCAGGTATCCTCATTAAGGAGCCTTCCTGGCTGTCACTTCTGGATGCCATTTTGTTCAGGGGAGCACATTGTCTTAGCATCACCAGATTTGCACAGAACTACTTAAAATTTCTGGGACAGGACGGAGGTAGGGCCCAGAGGGGTGGGCTCAATAAAAAGGGCCCAGGAGAGTGGGATGTTGACAAGGACTTTCTCTACAGCGATTGCGTAAGCATTTCCCCTGCAGCTATATGCACCTTCCTATGAACGCCTCCCTCAACAGTTCCCCAGGTTCATTCGGTCTTATGAAAGATGGCTAGATACCTTTCAGCCACTTCTGAGCATGCCACTGGGTCCAATCAGTTGGCTTCATGTGACTTGAATGATCTCAGTCCTGCTAAATCCACCCAGGATGTGCCCTGCTCTGACCATGCCACCTTCTCAGAGCTCAGATATGAAAATGTCACATGCTCTTGTGTCAGTCATGGCTCAGATCCACGGGGAGGGGCTGTTTCCAGAGTTAGGGAGAAGCCCTTGCTTATTCTAGGAAACACGGAGCATGTGTGCTGCCTATGCACACACAGAGAAACACCCATCAATTTTCACACCAGCGAGGCACTGCGCACACAAGCCATATACAGGCTGTGCACACCCCACACACAATGCCTCATTAATATTCCGTTGTTCTTGGCCCATTTGCTGCTGGGGCCGGGTGTTTAGCATCAGCAGCTGTGTTTGGTAGGTTAGTCCAGCCGTGCTCTTGGCATTGATGGATCCCTGATTCACACGGCTCATCATATAATAAACTCTCAGCTGTGCTGAAGGGAGGGGCTGGAAGGGAGGGGCCTGAGGAGCCAGCAGGATGGGGCTGGGGTGGGGAGGACGACAGACACTGGGCTTGGCCAGTGCCAGAGAAAGCACCAAGTAAGGACAGATTGGGGGGGGCGGGGTCACAGGTGCACTGGGCAGGCTGGAGGGGGCTCTAATTAGTCTCGTTTGTCCTGCACTTAATGTCAAGCTCATTAAAGAGGCTACAGAGTTAATCAACATACCACAAATTGGATTTTGAGTTCTGCAGCCAGTTTTGTGTACATTATGGCCACACTGACACAATCAGCTCTCAGGGTGAAGATTTCACGCCAGGTGCACACCGTGCTTCCAAATCGGGATGGGGATACGTGTGTGTTGGTGACTTTTTCTTTCTTTTTTTTTTGTTGTTGTTTGTTTTTCCTTCTAAGTTCTTTTTATTCTTTTCCCTGGGCAGACTCAAGAATTTCCTATTTAAACTCATTTAACATGTGCTCCACTTCATAATTAAATTCCTAAAAATCGGATCAAACAAACTCCTCTGTCTTAACCCTTTGTTTTTTAAATTGTTAGGGACCCCTCTGGAGGGGAAAGGCACAGGCAGCCGCCCCCTTCCCCCCCACCGCCGCCTTCACCCCCACCCGGCTGGGTGGCTGCCGATGTACGTTTTAATTACCGGCTCCAGCTGAAGTCTCACGTGGCCTTGGCTTTATTTATTTATTTATACCTTAATGAGGATACTGAATCTTTGATTAAAGTCGTAATCGTTGCCGATTCAGTAAGGAGGGGGAGTTGGATGTCAGACCAGACAGGGCTGTGAGTGCAGACACACGGAGAGAGTGGGTTCGGGTGCACACACAGACTGGCCCTTACTGTGTTAGACACACAACTAATTAGTACCAGGGTCTGCACAGGCCTCCACTCCCTTGAGTTTGATGGGGCTGGGGGCCAGGCAGTCCGCATGGCTCTGGCAGTGAGGATGGGCAGGTAGCAATTTCCCCAACTGAGAACCCTGGGCCTTGGCCCATCCCCAGATCTGCAGGTGAGGGACTCGCTGGCCGAGCCTCTGAGCCAGTGCAACACCCCATAGATTGGGGTGAACTGGTGTCAAGGCACGATGCCACTCTTTGAGCTTCTCTCATCTGATTCCCTGATGGAAGTGCCCCTCTCATGGCATGGGTGCTTCTTGCAAATCTTCCACCCATGAGAAAGTCACTGATCAGACCCCAGCATCCGCTCCCCTCAGAGCCCTAAAAACCCCTCAGAGCCATCAGAACAGATGAGAATTTATGTGGGTACAGGGGCCTAACTTTGGGAGGGGGGAGCTTTGGTTAGTGGCCCGAGGAGGGGAGAGACAGGAGAGAGTAAAATATCATTTTAAAAAGGAAGTGAAGGCACAGGCATGCGAGTCTATAACGAGAAGGACAATTTATGCCCAGGCACGAGCGCAGTTTGACATGGGGATAATGCAAAAACGTAGGTCATTGTGGATGACTTAAACCTTCAGCAGCTGAAGAAAATGTATGAAATGCAGAGGACATTACACGGTTGGCAGCCCCGCACATCTGCAGAGGGACAAGTGAAATACAGTGGGCCATTCTTTACCATAAACTGTGGTTGTTGGAGATGCAGCCCAGAGAAATTGTAATTACAGTGACAAGACGAATCAGCGATATTTAAATATTCATGAACAAAGTCTGGGGTGATCAATCTATCTTTATTGTCTGCGCCTTCACTCCTGTAATAAATAAGTAGCTGGAGTCCTCACCTTTCATCCCCCAAGCCCCCCACTTTGGATATGAAAGGCAAGATGGTTATTCTCCACACCCCAACCTCTCATGCTCTGGAGATTTAAGAGTGGGATCCTCAAAAAAGAAAAGGCAGTTCTCTCCAAGTTTCATAGACCCACCATTTCCTGGGTCTGTTCTGGATCCTCCCTGTGCGATACACTGAGGCTACAAGGATGGGTGAGGCTTGCTTCTTATCCTGGTGGTGCTTCCATGCTGGAGGTATGGTGGGCAAGCCAGTAGATACAGCATAGTGTGTCAGCAAGCTGACAAGTATATGGTACCCTGACTCTAGAGCCAGACCCAAACCTGAATCCCAACTCAGCTCCTTACTTGCCGTTTCACCTTAGGGATGATGTGGAAGCATCTCATTTTTTTCTCAACTGTAAAATGAGACTAATATCTTTCTTTAAGTTTGTTGCCATGATCATCTGATGCGATCACATCACACATCTGAGTGCTCAGGAAATGTAGCCCATTTTAATGCGAAAGTGGCATAAAAATGATACCACACTAATAACAGAACAAAATTCTGGGCATTTCTTCTCTTTGGGGACACAGAAGAAAGTGTGATTCATTCTGCCTGGGGAACTAAAGGGAAGCGTCCACGCGGGGGTATCATATGAGCTGGGCTTTGAAGGATGATTAGGAGTTCACCAGGGAGAAAAGAAGAAATCGAGCAGAGGAAACAGCTATGTAAGACTGTGGAGGAAGGAAATTGGGGACTGTAGAAGGTGTTTGGGGGACAATGTGAAGTTCCTCAAATTGGAGAGATTTCTTTGAAGGTTGGGGAGTCAGGCTGGAGTGACTTTCACCCTTAACCTAAAGGAAGGGGAGAAGAGGTCATCTGAGAAGCAAGATGGTGAGGTCTCATGTATCCACAAGGGGGCTTGCTTTCTGGGGACTGCTGTCCATCCCTGAACCAAATGGGCTCTCTTTCCCAGGACTGGCCCTTGCCCCACAGATGATCATGGGGCCACAGTAAAGTATGGTCATGTGTGAAGACAGGTATTGCTTGTTTATTCAATGGAGGTGTGGCCGTGGATCCTTAAGTTGTCTTTGGAGGTGGTGAATACAGGCCGTCGCATCCTTCTCATGCACAGAATGTGCCCTACTGTCCCCTGAAGAGGGGGCAGGGAGAGGCAAAGGCCTGATCCAGCCCCTTGTCTCCACAGGCGACCACCCCTACGAGTGTGAGTTCTGTGGCAGCTGCTTCCGGGATGAGAGCACACTCAAGAGCCACAAACGCATCCACACGGGTGAGAAACCCTACGAGTGCAATGGCTGTGGCAAGAAGTTCAGCCTCAAGCATCAGCTGGAGACGCACTATAGGGTGCACACAGGTACCGAAGGCCAGGGAGGGGCCTGAGCTGGCTCTGGGACCTGGGCGGAGGTGGGAAGCAGATAGTCTCCTAGAGAAGCCTAAGTGAGGATGATCCCAGGCTGAATCAAAGAGTAGAAGAGGTTCTATTAAGAGCTGGTATGGTGGCCTGAGGACCACCACACCCCAGTCAAGGTGGCCTGAGGGCCATCAGTCAAGGCCAAGGCAGACATTACTAATCAATCCCAGCACACTTTCCAGTGAGCCCCCATCAGCCCTCCAGGCAGCTATACCAGTAGTTCAGAGGTGACATGCAAAATGATGTCTGTATATGAGTCCTGAATTAGGGGTAAGTTGGTCCAATTAGCTGAAAGTGAAGGTTAGGGTAATTTCATGTTACTCAAGGGTTAGAGTAAGAATTAGGATACATTGAATTAGGTTGTTATGAAGGTTGGGAAGTTGTAAAGTTAGATTGTGTTTGGTTCTGAGATTAGAAGAGCAGATATATTTAATAATCCCTATATGCATATGATGTTTTACCACTTCAGAGTGCCTTCACATTTTTTTTTTTTAGACGGAGTTTCGCTCTTATTGGCCAGGCCGGAGTGCAGTGGCACGATCTCAGTTCACTGCAATCTCTGCCTCCTGGGTTCAAGCGATTCTCCTGCCTCAGCCTCCCAATTACCTGGGATTACAGGTGTGTGCCACCACGCCCAGCTAATTTTGTATTTTTTTTAGTAGAGACAGGGTTTTGCCATGTTGGTCAGGCTGGTCTCGAACTCCTGACCTCAAGTGATTCACCCGCCTCGGCCTCCAAAGTGCTGGGATTACAGGCGTGAGCCACCGTGCCCATCCACATTATTTTTTGTATTGGAAAAAGAAATGTGGGCCACTGTTTTCCCTGAGGTCAAAAGACAAAACAAGTGAAGGGTCTTCCACAGTTTCCCAAGTTGGGGGCAGTGAAGTCCTGGAGCTTGCTTGTGAAAGCTAATTTTTCACATTTCTTCACAACTTCAAGTTCAGTGACACCACCTTAGTTGCTTAAAATTGGCCACTGTAGGAGTATTCACATCATAGCAATCAGCAGATGCTACAAACCAGGGCTTTTTGGAAAGCCAGTCATGAAACATTTACCACCAGCACACTGCTGGTTGTGGGGAAGGTTGATTTACAGAAGGGTGAGAGGTGGTGGAAGCTGGAAAACAAAGACGCCCCCTCTGATCAGGGGAGACAGCTGTCCTGTCCAGAGGAAGGGGGAGAGGTGGCTTCAGGCAGGTCCTGCTGGCTTAGAGGAGAGTACGTTGCCCTTGGAGGGGAAGGGTGGACAGAAGGAGCAGTAAGCAGAGCTATGTGTTGTCAGAGCTCGTTTTTCGTGTCCCAGTTTGAGCCCACAAGGAGAGGGTTGGGTGTCCGTTGATGACAACTATAGTGGCCCAGAGGATTTCCCAGAGCCCTGGGGTTTCCTTAGCCCCTTGTCAGGGATGTGACCTGGCAGGTGGATCATTAACTGTATTGGCAGTGACTATTGTAAATAGCTGGTCGATAGTTAGATCACTTTGGCTGTTCATTACTTCATTATTTGCTGGGGCCTGTGCGCGGGGGAGTATTGATAGCGAGATGGCTGGCCAGTTAATTACTGTATTGAAACAAGGTTCCCTTACATCCTCTGCTCAGCTCTAGGGGACTCTATGGAAGGAAAGTTGGGGTATAGAACGCTAGGGTGTGGCTGTGCACTCCCAGGTTCTTTATCCCTCCCATCCCACCCCACCCCCAATTCCAGCCTCAGGAGGGAGGCAGGGTCCAGGGCAAGGTCTTAGCGGTTTTAGCAGGATAGGCCGGGTGGGGGAGCTCATGCCTATAATCCCAGGACTTTGGGAGGCCGAGGCAGGCAGATCACTTGAAGTCAGGAGTTCAAGTCCAGCCCGGCCAACATGGTGAAACCCTGTCTGTACTAAAAATACAAAAATTAGCCGGGCATGGTGGCGGCACCTGTGATCCCAGCTACTTGGGAGGCTGAGGCAGGACAATCACTTGAACCCGGGAGGCAGAGGTTGCAGTGAGCTGAGATTGCACCACTGCATTCCAGCCTGGGTAACAGAGTGAGACTCCATCTCAAAAAAAAAAAAAAAAAAAAAAAAAAGGCCGGGCGCGGTGGCTCACGCCTGTAATCCCAGCACTTTGGGAGGCCGAGGCGGGTGGATCTTGAGGTCAGGAGATCGAGACCATCCTGGCTAACAAGGTGAAACCCCGTCTCTACTAAAAATACAAAAAATTAGCCGGGCGCGGTGGCAGGCGCCTGTAGTCCCAGCTACTCGGGAGGCTGAGGCAGGAGAATGGCGTGAACCCGGGAAGCGGAGCTTGCAGTGAGCCGAGATTGCGCCACTGCAGTCCGCAGTCTGGCCTGGGCGACACAGCGAGACTCCGTCTCAAAAAAAAAAAAAAAAAAGAGAGCTTTAGCAGGATAGGTGTCCCCAGGTGCAGCATATTTGAAGGACTGGGTTCCCTCAATTTCCCCCCACCCCTGCTCCCCACCATCTGTAGCCCTGAAAGGTCTCGATCCACCTGCTCTCTGGACGGAACTGTGGCTTGAAGAGCCATTCCTGAGGACTTTGGGGCCTTTCTCTTTCTAGACACCCATTTTCTTAATTAGAAAGGGAAAAGACTGTGGCCTTGGGAGAGTTAAGAATAGTAAGACAAGGAGCTGGGCAATCCAGTAGTCAACTAGCTACATGTAGCTATTTAAATTAGTTACAATGAAATAAAATTAGAAAACTGTAGAGCTGCAGTCGCACCAGCCTCATTCATAGCCATGTGTGACTGGTGGCTGCCGTCTTGGGTGGTGCCTTCATTGTCCCAGAAAGTTCTGTTGGAGCAAGCCCAGCTGGAGGAACCCAGCTTCCCTGGCACGCCTGAGGGTGACATGGTGCCCTCACCGCCTTCTGTCTGTCCTCACTTTCTCCTGCCCTGTCCCTCCGCCCTCAGGTGAGAAGCCCTTTGAGTGTAAGCTCTGCCACCAGCGCTCCCGGGACTACTCGGCCATGATCAAGCACCTGAGAACGCACAACGGCGCCTCGCCCTACCAGTGCACCATCTGCACAGAGTACTGCCCCAGCCTCTCCTCCATGCAGAAGCACATGAAGGGCCACAAGCCCGAGGAGATCCCGCCCGACTGGAGGATAGAGAAGACGTACCTCTACCTGTGCTATGTGTGAAGGGAGGCCCGCGGCGGTGGAGCCGAGCGGGGAGCCAGGAAAGAAGAGTTGGAGTGAGATGAAGGAAGGACTATGACAAATAAAAAAGGAAAAGAAAAAAAAAAACAGAAGGAAAAGGAAACCTGGTAGCTTTTTGGCCTTGGATTCTCTCTGGGCTCCAGATGACCTGGATGCCAAGCCACTGCCCCTCCTCTGGGGGCCTCCACCCTCCTCTCCCGGCTGGAGGTTTGCCTGATTTTCTGGGATGGGGTTGGGTATTTTGTTCACTCAAATGGTGGCACATTTTTCTCCTTCCTTCACCCAGACCTTCTTTTATGTGTCCAGAAATGGAGGCTAGAAAGCAGGTGAGAGGTCCTCTGGTCAGAGCCACACGGTCTGTGCCGGCCTTCCTCCACCAAGACCCCCAGGAGATGAAGGGAGGGAGGAGGTGAGCCAGAAGGGCGCTCCCCTGCTGATGGGTCTGGGCTGGGTCACTAGCTGCTCAAAATGGCAGCTCTAGTTTGCTGGCGGCTGACTGGGGAGGAGAAGGGCTCTGTTTCTCTTCCCACCACTCAGCCCACCTGCTGCTTTCCTCTGCTTTGCCACATCTGGGTGTCCCCCGGTGGTCTCTGAGAGCCTCAGGACCCCTGCCCCTCCTCCAGCTCTTTGTTCCCAGCCTCCCCTTGACTCCTGTCCTCCAAGTCCCAGGGGAGTCCCAGCCCCTCAGGGACCTGGCGGTGTCTCCATCCTTCTCCGGTTCCCTAGTGGGATAGCTGCCTCTGACTTCAGGGTCCCTCCTACCCTCAGCCTTCTGAGAACACAAAACAAATCCAATACCCCACCCTAGTCCAGCACCATCGTGAGCAAGATTCCTGCTGCGCTGCTTCCAAAATGGAAAAGCATCACAACTAAATACCTAATATCCTACCAAACAAACCACAGTCCCTACGTAGCCCTACTTCAGTCCCAGGAGAAGGAATCCATGAATGGGCTGAGGTTCCGAGGGTAGGTTGTGGATGTCTTTCTCTAGAGGGGTCCCACACCTGGAAAAGAGGACACCCAGCCCGTGGGATGAGGGAAGCTGGGCAAGGGAGAAAGTTGTTGAGTCACACTGGGGACCCCAGATGTAGTGAGCTCAGCAAGAAAAGCCAGGTCCAGAGAGAGTCGCACAGAATTCCTGACTCACAGCGCCCCTCGGTCCACAGTGGAGAGGAGGAGGAGGAGGAGCAGAAGGAGGGGGAGGAGCTGCAGGAGGAGGAGGATTTGAAAGCGCTTTGGCCTTGTGTTATGTTTTGCTTCTTTTCTGTGTCCCCTGTTAGCACATTGTACTTGAATTACCTCAGTTTTTTGTGACCTCATGAGCTTTCTTAACCTCTGTATCTCTTTTTCGGTTGGGGCTTGGAGGAATGGGGAGGGTGTTCTTTTCTGTTTCTTGTGTAAATTAATAGTTGTTTTTATAGACTTCAGCTGGTCAAGACCCTCCCCGTGCCCCTGGAGACCAGCCTCCCAGCTGGCAGGAACTGTGCAGGAGGAGTTGATACTCAGGATCTGAATGTGAGGGCCGAGGAGGGCGAAGAGCGTGGGTGGGGAGGGGATGTTGCTTTGGGGTCTCATGGTCCCCAGAGGGCACTAGGGAGTCACTTTTGGCTCCGCTGGTGCATGAAGTCACCTGTGGCCACCATCCGTTCCGCCTAAAACACTCTGGAGAGAATCCCACCTTTCTTACAATTTGCTGGGCCATTGAGGTTTGAGGGCCTGTGTTTGGATCCTTGCAACTGTGTGGTCTCACCTCTGTGCGTGCATTCTCATTGCCAGAATTGGTCTATTTTCACGGCTGGTCTTTGGGGAGGGGGGCGGGATCCAGCCTTTGTTTTGTTGTGTTGGGGTGGGGGTGTTGTTTTTCTAAAAGCTACCTCTTATGTTTGTCCAGTTGTTCTTTTGTTCCTTTCCCGCCTCCCATTCTGCTGCTCTTCCTCCCTCTTTTCCCCAACCTCCCCCGACCCTCCTGAATTTTGGAAAGCACATTTGCAATATTCGTGTTTGCTTTGGGACGGACCCTCCGTTTCATCTCATGCTTTATGTGTAAGAGTTTTTTATTATTATTTTTTCTTTCCTTTCTCTCTCTGAGAAAGTTGTGGCTGCGTTTTGATCTTAGGTTTTACAAAGTGGTTTAGGGAAGCGGTTTTGGGGAGAAGGATCACGAGGAATGTAGGGAAGCCGGAGGGATGGGTGCTGCTGCGACGACCCCCCCGTCCCTCGGCCCCAGCCCTCCTGCCCTCCCCTTCAATCTCATCCACCAAATCTGAAGGCCTTAAAATTGTGTGTTGGGAGGATGTGAATTGGGAGGACGGTGTCACTAGACTGTGGATTAGGGATGGTAAAGTAGGGAGGATGCTATTTTGCAACTATAGTAACGACTTAGTGTTTTGGAAAGGAAAAGAAGTTAAACTTGAAATACGTGACTAGAACAGTTGTCATGTTTATAATGTGAAAAGGGTGAAATCATTTGGGGGAGGGGCCGTCTGTAAGAAATCATTATGCACTATGGCTTCCTCCTCTGGTCTGGGAAGAAGCGGGGACTGGCTGGCCCTCAGGGGATCTGTAAATCCCAGAAAACAGTATTTTTAACAGCAAGATGTCATTCAACATTGGTGGGGAAGGAAGAGAAAAAAATCAAACTATTCCATAGAACTAGCTGGCCCCCTCACTCCCATGCCCTTCCCACTCAGCCTGGGCCCCTCCCCGCTCCATTCATAAAAGCTGAGAGGGTTGAGCTAATCTTCACAAATTGTAATATTTTTGTAGTATCTGTTAGTTCCTTCGTCAGTTCTGCAGAACCTTGCCCTTTCCTTTTGTAATGTGAATAGGAAGACAAAAGACAAAAAAAAATCCACCACCACCAAAATATCCCTTTGTACATGTATGTGCGTGTGCGCGTGTGCTTTGTGTGTGTGGTTGTGTGTTAAATCATGCAGTATTGTCGTAATCTGGTGTTGCAGCAATGGATGGTACTAAATCAGCACCTGGATGCCCCACCCAACCCCGTGGGCCCTGCAGACCCCAGTAGGGAGGTATGGGGAGAGCTCAGGGGAGTGTGGTTTCTGAGGGCTACTGTCTGGGGACACCTCTGAACTTACTGTACCTTCCTCTCCCCATGAAGACACCTGAATAGAGTCTAACATGCCTCTTCTCCAACTTCCTACCTACAACAACAGAACAGTTCTAATGTTGCACGGCCTAGTGGCCAGGGGGCAAGCTAAGAGGCTGTCTGGAGGCTTTATATGTGTCTGGAGTTAAGGGGAGAGGAGGAGGGTAGACAGGGGTCTCTCCCCAGGTGGGATCTGAATATCTGTCCTCCCCTCTTCTTCATGCCACCTGACTCCTTCGGCCCCCTGGCTGCCTTTAGCTGTGGTACTGCTGACAACCCTGCTTGCTACTGCCTTATCCAGCACAGTGAAAAACTTCTCCAGCCTGGCAAGGCCACGTTGGTTAATAGTCCCTTTCCCATGTCCAGCTCCTACAAATATGTCCCTTAATGCATTTGGTGACATTTACACCTCATGTGCTCTTTCCCTATTCACTCCTTCACTCATTCAAAGCATTAAAATCCTATGTATATATAGGATAGACAAATATATAGATATATAGATATATATATATATAGCAAGAGATTGATATAAAATAGTAAATATCATTGCTGCTTTGGGCTGCTTTGGAGGAGGAGGCCATGAATATGGGGAAGGCAGATCTGGGGTGCAGGGGTAGGTAGGGAGGCTGGGGGACCCAGTGATTCAGTACAATCCAAGGGATGCAACGCGGGCTTGTTTAATCTTTGTGCCTGAACAGTTTTTCCATGTTGAGAAAAAAAAGAAAAAAAAACTGCTGCAATTTTTCACAAGTGTATGGTACCTTTCTGGATGCTATTGGTACAATTGCTGTGGATGGAAGAGGGCCATTGAGCTTACCTCCCTATAGGGGAGAGAGCAGAGGTGGGGCAGCCTTTCGACTCTGTCCATGACGGCTGGCAGGGTCAGGGTAGTTTCTGGGCCTGCTTCCCGGCAAGCCGAGCTAGGGTGAAAACTGGGGGCGCACCAGGATGTGAGACAGAAAAGCAGAAGATGAGACTCTGTTCATTCACTTTTCCTAGGCCCATCCTGTGGTCATCTTTCCCCCTCCCATCATACCTCCTCCTTCCTGGAGCCTCTGCCGGCTTGGCTGTAATGGTGGCACTTACCTGGATATTTCAGTGGGAGGATGAAAGGCGAGACTCACCCTACGCGGTGGGACAGATGGGGAGAGGAAAAAGGCAGAGATGGCCAGGAGAGGGGTGCAGGACAAACCAGAGAGGTTGGGTCAGGGGAAAAGGGTGGGGAGAAAGAGGGGTGCAGGCCCTGCAGGCCGGTTAGCCAGCAGCTGCGGCCTCCCCGGGCCCTTGGCATCCAACTTCGCAGACAGGGTACCAGCCTCCTGGTGTGTATCATAGGATTTGTTCACATAGTGTTATGCATGATCTTCGTAAGGTTAAGAAGCCGTGGTGGTGCACCATGACATCCAACCCGTATATATAAAGATAAATATATATATATATGTATGTAAATTATAGCACTGAGGGCCCTGCTGCCCTGCTGGACCAAGCAAAACTAAGCCTTTTGGTTTGGGTATTATGTTTCGTTTTGTTATTTGTTTGTTTTTGTGGCTTGTCTTATGTCGTGATAGCACAAGTGCCAGTCGGATTGCTCTGTATTACAGAATAGTGTTTTTAATTCATCAATGTTCTAGTTAATGTCTACCTCAGCACCTCCTCTTAGCCTAATTTTAGGAGGTTGCCCAATTTTGTTTCTTCAATTTTACTGGTTACTTTTTTGTACAAATCAATCTCTTTCTCTCTTTCTCTCCTCCCCACCTCTCACCCTTGCCCTCTCCATCTCCCTCTCCCGCCCTCCCCTCCTCCCTCTGGCTCCCCGTCTCATTTCTGTCCACTCCATTCTCTCTCCCTCTCTCCTGCCTCCTGCTGCCCCCTCCCCAGCCCACTTCCCCGAGTTGTGCTTGCCGCTCCTTATCTGTTCTAGTTCCGAAGCAGTTTCACTCGAAGTTGTGCAGTCCTGGTTGCAGCTTTCCGCATCTGCCTTCGTTTCGTGTAGATTGACGCGTTTCTTTGTAATTTCAGTGTTTCTGACAAGATTTAAAAAAAAAAAAAAAGGAAAAAAAAAGAAAAAATGAATTTACTGCTGCAGGTTTTTTTCTCTCTCCATGTGTCACTAAGTGAAGTTTGTGCCTTCTATAGCAAAGAGAATATTTTTTACATCCTACTAACAGTAGATTTTTTTGTAGTGAACATTTTTTGTATTTTTATTTATAAGTCTCATAAGAAAAATAGCAATGTTCAGTTGTATACCTTGAATCTGCAGTTAGAAGAGAATAAAGTTAATTCAGTTGTCTCTCGCTTGAAGCGTCCCACCTTTTTATTGAAGTACTTGGTTTTGTTTTGTTTTTTTTTTTTGTTTTTTTTGCCTTTTCTTGTGTGGGGAACATGGTAGAGGAATTAAGATTTTTGTGTGGGGACTGGGAAAAAGAAAGCTCTGTATTACACATATTTAGACTTATCTATGTGTCACTTTTATGCCACATTTACAAGGCACAGATGCACTGAATAACATTTTTCTAATACTTTTTAGTTAAAAAATGTTAAATACGTTAATATCGTATGATCCTTGGTACAATGTGCTAGGTAGGCACTTGTTCACTTATTCAGCAAGACCACCATGTACCAGTTACTGTTGTCGGCGCTGGGAATTACAGCAAAGGACAAACAGACAAACCCTGGCCGCCCTGGGGCTACCATGCTAGCGGGCCGCTGAGTCGGAATCCGTGGCTGTGTTAGGATAACTTGCTCAGGATTGCACGGCTGGTGAGCAGCAGTCAGAACTCCATCCACCTCTCCTGATACCAGGCCAGGTTCCTTTACTCCAGAGTTCTCAAAGCAGGGGTCTCACGTCTTCTTTAGTCTTTAGAGAGACATTTTCAACTGACTCCTTAGTGGCTAAGCAAGCTTCAGAAATTTCTCAACAAGAAGCTTCCACACAATCAAAGGTCCCTGCCTGCGTCTGTAGCAGCCAAGAGCTGTTAAGAAAGGAGATTGGAGCAGGTGGCCTTGTGCAGGGGAGGGGATGGGTGGGAGGTGGCCGTGCAAGCTCTGCATTGTCATGGACGGAATAAAGGATTTCCACAACACTCAATGGGTACGATTCCCTCCCTGTCTCATCTCCCTGTGTCTGGGCCAAGCCCTCTTCTCTGGCCCTTTCCCCGTTCCTCTTATCGGGGATAGAAGCATCGCCCTATCTTTAGCTGTAAAACCAAAGCCACTCAATCCTAGACGTGGTGCTTCAGCACCTCTGCCTGAGGCCGTCCTCACTGCCTGTCTCTGACCAAAATAACCCCTCTCCTCCTCAAGACCCAGGGGACACAGCCATGATTGTCGTGCTGGGTCACTCCGGTAGGGTAAACCCACACCGAGCATCAGGCCTGGCCTCCAGCATCACCAGGAGTCGCAGGGAGCCATCACCCCACGCGCCACCGCCACCCACCTGGGGAGCCAAACAAGGCCTGGCCTGCCAGGGGTGGCACTGGGAGGGTTACCTTTCAGCCCTGTTCTCCTGGGGCCAAGACCCGGGTCTGTCTGACCCTGGGGTTGCTGAGCAGAAACCGCCTGGAGCTACCCCTACCACCGGACAATCTTCCCAGGAGGAGGAACAGGTGCAGCCTGGGGGCCTCCAGCCCCTAGAAGTTGCTTCTCTGTCTTTGCTTTCTCCTCTCCCTCTTTGCCGTCTGCTGTGCTTTCTTGACCCCTCCTGCCCCTCATCTTTTTCCTCTCTCCCAATCTTTTTTCTCTCCTTTCCACTCCTCCCCTCTCTTCCTCATCTGTGGTCTTTTCTCCTTTCTTTTTGCTTTTGTTTCTCTGTCCCACCTTATTTTCCCTCTCCACATATTTCTCATCTGGGAAACCAGTCCTTAACCAAATTCTGTGTTTTGATTTTGAGCAGTTGCCACCATTCCCCCAAGCCGTCCTGATCCTGGCTTTTCTTGGGCCCCTGCCTATTTCCTCACCCCCACACTCTACTCCAACTCCCCGACACACACACACAGACACACACACACAGCCTCCTCGCCCCTCCCCCAGCTCCCCTCCCCTCCCTCAGGCCTCAGCTTTCTCTTGACAGATGGGAGGGCAGTGAGCACTCCCTCTTTAAAACAACATTTAATCGCCGTTTTCTGTTCTTGGACATCAAAGCTGGGGCTTAGGCGCTGTGCTGGGGTCGCGGCGGCGCGGGCGCTGGGGGAGAGGAGGTGAGTGAATAGGGGCTGGGCTGAATGGGCTTTGTGTGACCGCCAGCTCTGCCAGCTTTACATGCTCTTTGACCCAGATATGATCTCATGGAGAGAAAGGGGCCCTGGCCAGGCCAGCCTGAGAATGCTCCCTCCGTGGCCTGACTCAACCCCTCTCCTCCCTGCCTGGGGCAGGCGGCCCCACTGCCGCCCCCTGCCAGCCCCGGCTGCCACTGCCCTCTGCCCCAACCCTGGCAATTGTGGGCAGCCTCCTCCAGAACACACTCACCAGGAGGGCACATTGCTGGGGTCAGAAGAGGGGACAGGCACCGAGGCAGGGGCTGGGAGGATGCCGCCGTGGGGCTGCAGGGTGTTCTCCAGGGACCTTAAGCGGGAGCTCCCCGCATGCCCTGTAGTCCTGGCTGGGTTCAAGGAGGCGTTTGGGTCATTTCAGCCTTAGCAGCTCTCCTCCCAGTCGCTCTGAGGAACTCCTCTCCTGACCAAAGTGGAGAGCTGAGGCCCGGCGCCAGCAGAGGTTTGCTGAAGACTCAGGCAAGTTGCAGCCCGTGAGAAGAGGCATAAGGGAAGCCAAGGCCAAGGCCGCCTCCCTCCACTCAGCACGGCCAGGCCTTCCCATGTGGGAGCCCCTCACGCCCCTGGCACCAGGAAGGGAGGGGATTGGGGATCTGAAGATGACTGGCCTCAGTGCCCTGCTTCAGCCCAGACCCTCTGTCACTTCCATCCTCTGCTTTGCTTGCTGCCCAGAGCGATTTTCCAAAAATGCAAATAGCATCATGTCGCTCCCTAGATGAGAGTCCCTGGTGACTCCTCAGTACTCTGAGGATGGAATTCAAACTCCTTAACAAAGTTCCAAGACACCCTGAGTGACAGAGCCCCTGCTCAGCACCCAACTTCGTCTTAAGATCACTCTTGAGCCCCTCGGCCAACCCCTACTCTGCTCCAGCCGATGGGACCACGGGTGTTCTGGGCCACACCGAGCTCCATTCCCCTGTGGGCCTGTGCGTGTGCTGTTTCCTCTTCTGAGAGCTACGCAAACACACACACCCCTTCTGTCTGGCTCTCTCAACTTCTCCTTTTTCACTTTTCAGCTCAAACCTTCTCTCAGGAAGCCTTCCCTGGACCCCTGAAGCTAAATTAGGCATAGAGTCTCTATAGTACCATTTAGTCACCTGTTTCCTTAACTGTCACCATTACCAGACTGTCAGTTCCTTGAGGTCAGGAATTGTGTGTTATCTATCTTTGTGTTTCCAGAGCTTCATGCTGCCTGGCACATGATAGGCACCCGGTAAATCTTTGTTGTATAAATAGATGAAAGAAAGAGAGGGAGAAGGAGGGAAACAGAGAGGTAATTAGCACTCCAGGGCTCATGTTGCAGTTGTCAGGGGCACGTGAGAGCAGGGAAGGAGGAACATCACATGCCCGCTCGGGCACCTCCCCAGGACACGTGTACACACACGCAGAGGCCCAGTGGGGGGGGGGGAGCTCCTGCATCCCCACACCTGTGCTCATGTCGATTCATAGACCACCTGACCCGTGTCTGCCGCATGCCAGAGGAAGGAGCAGGAGGCAACAGGGCAGTGGTGCTTCATAGTTGGGAGCTGCCTGGGTGTTGCTGGGCAGGATGCGGGGCAGGAGAGGGGCTGGGGGGTTGCATATGTAGACACCTGGTCCTTGGCCCATGGGGGCAGGTCCATCCCCCAGCTCTCTGTGTGGTTTCAGGCCCAGCCCCGCCGCCATCCCCACTTCCACTCGTGGGCTGGCAGGAGGGCAGGCTCCTCTCCAGGCTGCGTTTTCTGCACCCAGGGGGTGCCTCAGTGAAAGTGAACTCGCTCATTTAAACCTGACTCTGCCGCCCTGCAGCCCCCTGCAGCGCTAATTACCCTGTAGTTCTAAACTGATTGCTGTACACTAAGCTTAAGCCCTCCTTTATTTATTTACTGACTACATTAATAGCAAAGCCACGCTGCGTTCAGCCGCTCCCAACTGTACACCGGCTGGCTGCACCCGTTCCCTCATGTCTTCCCAGGGAGGCAGGGTGGAGAGATGCAGCCTGGCACAAGGCCCCCTTACCCACCACCCTGACTGAATCTCCAGGGCCAGACAACATGAGAAATCACTGACTTCATCCATACCTACTCTGGGACCCGATGGGGCTCCTCTTATTCTGACTCTATGACAGAGTGGGAACATACAACACACAACAGCTCACCAAGCAGAGGGGTCTGCTATTCACAGCACACTCAGAATGCTGCCTTTCAGCCTTCACTTGTGGGATGAGACGCTGAGCGCTGGCCTCATTTTACAGATGGGTAAACTGAGGCTGTGGCTCCATAGCTGGTAGGTGGTATCTCAGGCATGCTGTCCATCGCGGAGATGGCCGCCCCACTTGTCCCCACCCAGCCAGCTTTGACAATTTCTGTTGTGTGTTCCCATAACTTCTACCCCTTGCCACGAGAAAGGAAGCCCTTCCCTATGTGGAACTGAAACTGCTTTTTTGCTCTCAGCTTTTCTGCCTCATTCACCTGCTTGTCCAGAATTTGCTGGCAACTTTGGGAATACAGCCTTTCCTTCATTCTCAGCCTTTACCAAGCAGGTCTAAGTCAGACCTTCGATGCCAATCCCCACTTCCCTCCAGCACTCACACATCCAGGGATGTCTGGGGAGAGGAGGCCCGCTCCGGGCTCCGGTGTGGTCAAGCCCTGCTGGTTCTCCCATTCTGGGGTACAGAGGTGCTCATAAACACTGTCCTTGCCTGCATCTCTGAGTGCCCTCAAATCCCCTGAGGCAGAGCTGGGCCCTGGCCTTGGGGCACAGCAGCTCTCTGAAGACCAGATGGGCCCCATCAGGGTGCAGCATACGGACCCACGGAACCAAGCACCCAGGCTCTACTCTGATGCCAAATAGCTTGGTGGCTGCCGTGCGGTGCACCCTAGAGGAAGAGGGGCAGCTGAGATTTGGCAGAATCTGGGATTCAGTCGAGGGGACCTGGGTTTGAGGCCAGCTCTGCTGTGCACCGCGTGACCTTCACTGTATCTCAAAGGCTCCCGAAGGCCTCACTTCCTCAACCCTAAGACTGGGGTCAGCAAATACCTAGCCCACCCATCCTCAGGACAATTGTGAAGCCAACTAGAGTAACGACGTGAATCAGCTTTCTAAACACCACGATGCTATAAACGTGAGTTATCAATGGGGACAGGCTCTGGCTGGTCTGGAAGGGGAGCTGGGGTCCTAGACATTTATTTCCAGAACAGGAGCCCACGGAGCCAGGGACCCAGGAGCCTGGGATTCTGGAGTAGTGAGGCTGCTGCCGGCATCTCCGGGACTCTGTCTCCACCTAGTGGGCACTGACTGCAGGTGCTTCTGCTGCTAAGGCCGCCTGGAAAGCAACTGGGGTTGCACATCCCCTTAAAAGCTGCCTTGGGGCCGGGCGCGGTGGCTCACGCCTGTAATCCCAGCACTTTGGGAGGCCGAGGCGGGTGGATCACCTGAAGTCGGGAGTTTGAGACCAGCCTGGCCAACATGGAGAAACCCCATCTCTACTAAAAATAAAAATAAATTAGCCGGGTGTGGTGGTGCATGCCTGTAATCCCAGCTACTCGGGAGGCTGAGGCAGGAGAATCGCTTGAACCCGGGAGATGGAGGTTGCGGTGAGCCGAGATGGCGCCATTGCATTCCAGCCTGGGCGACAAGAGCGAAACTCCATCTCAAAACAAACAAACAAACAAACAAACAAAAAGCTGCCTTGGTTCCTTTGGGTCCCCTGCTATCCCAGGTCAGGGTAGGGCTGAGTAAGGAGGGAATGTGGTTCAGATTTGTGCCAGAGAAGAAACGCTTTAAACTACTCGGGGTTGGGGGACGGTGTTCCGCTGGGCCTTTCCAGAAGTCTTCCTAAGTCAATAGTTCTTTCTTGACTTTTCTTCTCCCATCCACCAACTGGCCATATCAAATCCAACTCCTCCCATCCCTAAAAAGCTGAGTGGGAAGCTGCTGTCAGTCAGCCCTAACCCCAGGGATACGCGAGGCCTCATCTTGCACTGAGGGAAGATCAACCTCAGATGGAATTCAGCTTCTCGGAAGCTTTGTGACTGGGAAAGAAGCAGGCAGGCCTCGAAGGGTTTGCAGAAGGAGCCCAGAGTGCCCCTAGGGCTGGGTCACTGAGACCCTGGGACGTGACAGTAAAAGGCTACAGGGCAATGGGACAAACTCTTACTTCCTGAGGTCCTGAACCTTCCGAAAGCCTAGAAAACCCATAATGGAGGGTCGCTGAAGTCAGCTCCTGCCTTTAAATCCAACTGCCCTTTTTAAATTTTATTTTTATTTTTTATCTTCAGCTTTTAAGTTCAGGGGTACATGTGCCGGATGTGCAGGTTTGTTCCATAGGCAAACATGCGCCTTGGTGGTTTGCGGCACAGATCATCCCATCACCTAGTTACTAAGCCCAGCATTCCTTAGCTATTCTTCCTCATGCTCTCCCTTTCACCCCCAACCCAACACAGGCCCCGGTGTGTGTTGTTCCCCTCCACGTGTCCATGTGTTCTCATTGTTCAGCTCCCACTTATAAGTGAGAACATGCGGTGTTTGGTTTTTTGTCGAACTGCCCTTTTAATGCAGTGAGTGAGACTGGTGCCTGTCCTAAACCCTCCACACCCCACTTTCAGCTCTCAGAACCAGTTCACCAGCCAACCCCTGCACTTGGCCTACAGATGATTTGACTGGAAGTGATCTTAGGACAGGTCATCTTTTCACTCTCCTTGCCTCTGTGCGCTTCCAGCCATCTCAAATGGATGCAACTAAATGGTTTGGAAAACCCCTCCAACACGAAACTTCTAGGATTCTAGGACTCTAGGACTCTACTATAGAGCCAACTATAAAGATCCTCAGAAAAACACATACCCCTGGCTCCCTATCACCTGTCAGCACTTTTTAAAGCAGCAGCATTTCACTTTGTTTTCCCCTCCACGCCGACCAGTGTGGTCTTCAGCATAGAGTGAGCTTCTAGTGACACGAGCTGGAGGGAAAGAGGAAGTGCATCAGGACGGCTCGTCCAATGGACAAGGTAAGGGAAAGATCTTCCCTAATAACTCTCCATTTGGGAAGGAGGGAGTCACAAATGGCAGGGGAGGTGGGGACACTGGCCCTCACCAGCTCAACTTGAGGAATACTCACCTTACTCTCAGAAATCTGTCGATTACCATTCCTCCTTCACCCCCATCCCAAGCATGGGTACTTGACCTTTTCCTGAATTCTCCACAGCTGACACCAGCTGAATGCTTTTCCTGAATTCTCTGGCACAGCTGAGACCAGCCTGGGATATTTAAATTAGATTTCTCTGAAGTCTCAAGGATGGCAAAAGAAAACAAGCACCAATGAAACTGAGTACCCCCCCTGTTTCTAAGAGAAAAAAAGTTAATTTTTACAGTTATGATTATTTTCTCTTTTCTCTTTTCTCCTATTCCCTGCTTCCTACTTAGCTCTTTAGAAATGATTATAACCTTTACCTTCCCTTCACCAGACACTCCCTTCTGGGCAAGCTTATCTGACTGTGTGCTTACTTAGCAGCTCCAGAGCTGAGCTCTCTCCTACCAGGAGCTTGCGTCGAGAGACAGCAGTCAATTATTTACAACCTGAAGGGTGCCCATTACAAAACTCTTTCCCACCTGAAGAGTATCTCAAAATCATGGCCACTTTATAACCTAGCTCTGCCCACGATGGCACCAGCTCAACCACCTGGCAGATAACGCACAAACCACGTAGACCCCACACCTGCTCGCTCCCTCCCCTGTATGCCGTTCAAATTAAGTCCCCCTTTAAAAGTCCCGAATTTCTGCCCCAAAAGTGAAGTGCTAGCCTTAAAGGCAGAAGCCTGGACTTCCTCCCCTAAGCTAAACTTTGGAATAAAGTCAGTGTCTTTATACCAGACCTCTTGTTAGTTGAACTCTACAAGTGGCAAGCAACTGAACCTCCATTTTGGTTACACCAAGAACAGCATAACATTAGATCATCTGGTTCACAGGCAGCAGCATGGCTCCCATATCATGCCTTCCTGCCTGGTTCTCTGCCTGCCTTCAGGAGACAGGGCCTGTCTTTAATCCCTGCCACTGACAAGCCTGATAAAGTGAGACCCAGAGTGACGTGGGCTTCCTGTTTCTAATGGACTATGTGTCCATCCTCTTATTAAAAGTCAGCTCCTCCTCTTGGGCTCTGGATCATATCCTCTCAGTCTTTCCAAGCCCTTTGCTCCTGTGCTTGTCTTCTGTTTGCTACATCCATTTCCCCCTCTCTTCCTAATTATTCACATCAGCATAGAACACCTCCCATTTTAGCAAACCTTTCCTTGAGCCCACATCCCCCTTTAGCTTCCACCCATATTTCTCTCTTCCTTGGAAGAGCAAAATTCTAGAGAGCTGTCTGCAGACACTGTCTTCCTTCCTTTTTCTTACAACAATTTCCAATTTGAGTTTTATCTCTGTTATTCCTTTAAAATTGTCTTTTCAAGTTCACTAGTGGTTCCACCATGCAAAATGCAATGGCTTCTTTGCTGATCTGAAAATATAGGATTAACAAACTCAGTTTCTTCCTGCCACCCTCTCACAACATAGTCACATGCAGCTTCTGACACCTAATGTAGGGGGCTTCTCCCCACACACCAAGCAAGCACTCCTCCAGTAGCTGACACCAGCTGGGTGCTCTCTAACTCAATTCCATTCCAACACTACCTACCTGGAGATAGCATCAGATCCCACAGGTTAAGGGTTCAGTCCCACAAAAGCGCCTCCCACTTCCAATGCCAATCACAAGCTCCAGGTTGTTTGATCCGTGCTTCTGATGACCAGCTATATATCAGGGTTCCCACAACCTCCTCATTGGGTTTGATTAATTTGCTAGAGTGGTTCACTGAACTTAGGGAAACATCTACATTTACCTATTTACTATAAAAGATATTACAAAGGATACAGTTGAAGAGATGCATAGGGCAAAGTATGGGAAGGGGCTTGGCACTTCCATACCCTCCCTGGGTGTGCCACTCTCCAGGAACTTCCAGGGATGTGGCAGTCTGGAAGCTCTCTGAACCCTGTCCTTTTGGGTTTTTATGGAAGCTTCATTATATAGGCATGATTGATTAAGTTACTGGCCATTGGAAATCAACTCAACCTTCAGCCCCTCTCCCTTCCCTGGATGTTGCAGGGTAGGGTTGAAAGTCCCAACCCTCTAATTCTGCCTTGGTCTTTCCAGCAACCAGCCCCCATCCTGAAGCTGCCTATGGGCTGCCAACCCCTCAGTAAACTCATTCGCATATGAAAAGGCACTTTTTAACATAAAATCACTTTGAAGATTTCAAGGATTTTAGGAGTTGTGCGCCAAGAGACAGGGACGAAGACCAAATATATATTTCACAATATCACAGCTGGCTTTATCTTCCTTGATCTCCCAACAGCTTTCTACATAACTGACTTGCTCCTTTTGGAAACACTTCTGGTTTCCCTTCCCTCACTGGCTGCTGCTTCTCAGTCTTGTTGGCTCACCCCATCATCTTCTTCTGCTGGAGCTCTGGATATTAGACAGTCTCTGAAAAGTTCCTTGATGCTTTTACTTTGTCTAGCTACATTCTCCCCCACCCTGATGTCTCATCTATTTCTGTTGCTTTTAGAGTGTACCTCTGGGAGATTATTCCTTAACTGTTCCCTGGCCACGTTTGAAGTGAGTCCTGGGATTGAGTCTGCCTTGGGACAGTGTGGCTTTCAGGACCAGCCCAATTCCTGCTTGTGCAAATCTGGGAGACTGAGTGTGGTTTTAAGCTTTGAGAGTCAAAGACATTATCAGGCCAGGTTCATGGACTTTTGGCAATTCAATTTCTCCGAAAATAGCCTTTGGCTGTATTTGCTTCCAATCGATTTCTTACGCCAGTAACCCATTAACCATGATTAAAGTTCTTTCCTCAACTTAGTTGTCCAATCTGTTATTATTATTATTATTATTCTGCACCGCCAAGTCTCCTTGTCAACTTCCTGGTGGTTACCTTGGGGTCATCTGCGAGTCAGCTTGGGTGGGAAAAGCAACACCTTTAATCTGATGTTTGTCACAGTACTGAGTCTCTTTGTAAGAGAATTTTTAATAATGAGCCTTTAATGCTTGAAGCCTTTTCCAGTTTCATTCCTGTAATTTAGGGTCCAGAAGCAGGTAGCTTTCCTATATCCAAGAAAACCCAAATTTTTGGATTTTCCTCCTACTTACATTCATTTCTTCTCGGGAAATTGTCAGTTATTACCTGAACACATCTCTTCATAGTAATATCTTGCTACAAACGCTGAGGAGCAATCAACACGTACTAATATTATGTCCCCCACCCCACCTCGCTGTTTCCCTTAGAGCTATAGGCTTAGTATATACTTGGCTTAGTCTACCTTTTAAGTAGTTGCACTCAAGAGTTTTCCTAAATGTTTTACTTATGCCTATCACAGGGCTCTTTCTAACTAGCTATCTTGCTCTTCTTCTGCCAGCAAAGGCTCTAAATAAACCTGCCACTGTCTACCTTTCTGACCGTCTTCTTCCACTCTTTTCCCACCTCTATACCCAGCCTCACTGTGATTCATTTGTTTCCAGAACAGGACAGGCCTTTGCATGTGCTGTTCCCACTGCCAAGAGCTCCTTGCCCACCCCCACCCCCAGTCCCACCCCATATCTTTGCATGGCTGCCTCCTTCACATATAATTTGGGTCTTAGCTCAAATATTGCCTCTCAGTGGGGTCTTACCTGACCATCTGCTATGGTTTGAATGTGTCCCCCAGAAGTTTATGTGTTGGAAACTTAATTCCTCTGCCCTCTTGAATGGATTAATATTATCATGGGAGTAGGTTTCTTACCTTGATAGTGGCTTTGTTAGAAAAACAAGCTCTCTCTGGCTTGCTTGCTCTGTCTTGCCATGCAATTCTTTCACCATGTGATGAGACGGCATAAAGGCCCACACCAGATGGCTGGTGCCATGCCCTTGGACTTCCTAGCCTCCAAAACCATGAGCTGAATAAACTTTTATTCTTTGAAAAATGATATTTAGTTATAACAAGAGAAAATAGACTGAGAAACCATCCCATCTATAGTTTGTTTTCAGCTGGGCACGGTGGCTCACACTTTTAATCCCAGCACTTTGGGAGGCCAAGGTAGGCAAATCATCTGAGGTCAGGAGTTCGAGACCAGCCTGGCCAACATGGTGAAACCCCATCTCTACTAAAAACACAAAAATTAGCTGGGCGTGGTGGTGCACACCTGTAATCCCAGCTACTCAGGAGGCTGAGGCAAGAGAATCACTTGAACCCAGGTGGCAGAGGTTGCAGTTCACCAAGATCACGTCACTGCAGTCCAGCCTGGGTGACAGAGCGAGACTCCATCTCAAATAAATAAATAAACAAATAAATAAAAATCAAGTTTGTTTTTCCTAGCATTTACCACTGTTTGATATGATCTTCTTTATTTGTTTACTTGTCATGGTTCATGTCCTAGTCTCCTGCATGTGGACCCTGTGAGAGCCAGGGCCTTGTCTGCCACCATATCCTTGATGTTATGAACTGTGCTTGCCACACAATTGTTATGACTACAAATGCCAATACCTACATAATACTCATTGTATGCCAGCCACCGTATTAGTTCGTTGTTAAAAATATTTTAATATTTTTAATGAATTACATATATTTCTAATATACATAAAAATAGAATAATATGATCAACCCCACATAATGCCCGTCACCCAGATTCAACATCATCCAGATTCTGCCACACTTGCTTCACCTATTCTTCTGTCTTTTGTTCCTTTTCTGTCTTTCGTTTCTTTTTCCTGTCTTTTGTTTCTGCTGAAATATTTTAAAGAAAATCCCAGACATCGTGTTGTTTCACCACGACATACTCCAATTCATGCATTTTTCAAAATGAATTTTTCTCATTTAACCTCAGTGCCATTTATATCTTTCCAAAATTAGGAATGGTTCCTCCGTATCCTCACTCAGTCTGTATTCAGATTTTCCTGATTGCTTCAAAAATAACTTTTTAAAGTTGATTTATTTGAATTAAGAGCCAAATCATACCCACATACTGCATCGATTTGTTATTTCTCTTAAGTTTCATTTTCCCCATGCTGTTAACTTGTTGTAGAAAGCGGTGATTATTATTATCTATTCAGTTATGAGATGATGAGGGCCTGAAATGGGGCTGGGTAGTAGGAGTAAAAGGAGGAAACGATCTGAAGAGACCTTATGGAGCAGAGTCATCTGGTTAACCCAGCTTTAGGCCAGTGGAGTGGCGACATCGCTGACCTTTCTGAGACACCTGGGAGCTACAAGATCAACAGTGACCTTGTTTCCTCTTACAGGGTCCCTAGTGTGACAACTGAAGGGAACTTCACAGATGAGCTAATTGTACCTTTTGTTTTAGTCCTTTTTCCAGCCTCTCCCAGCTAGGCAGAACATCTGTACAGTCCTCCCACTTGTTCACAGAGTTCCCTCTTTATCTTGCATCCTCTGGAGCTTGTTAGGAGAGGGTCAGCCTCCATACATGGGACTTACCATGGTTCCCAAACCAGCCATGCAACCAAGCTTATGATTGCTTAAAAATATACTACAACAGACCAGGCGCGGTGGCTCACGCCTGTAATCCCAGCACTTTGGGAAGCCGAGGTGGGCGGATCACGAGGTCAGGAGATCAAGACCATCCTGGCTAACAAGGTGAAACCCTGCCTCTACTAAAATACAAAAAATTAGCTGGGCGTGGTGGCACACGCCTGTAGTCCCAGCTACTCGGGAGGCTGAGGCAGGAGAATGGCGTGAACCTGGGAGGCGCAGCTTGCAGTGAGCCGAGATCGCACCACTGCACTCCAGCCTGGACGATGGAGCGAGACTCCGTCTCAAAAAAAAAAAAAAAAAAAAAAACTGAAACAGCTGGTTCCCTGCCTTAGAGCTCCTGAATCAGAATTTGTGGGCATGCTACCTGGGAATCTGAAAGCAGCTGTGTCATAGGTTTTGTCCGGTTTTGTCCAGTTTCGTAGTTGTTTATGGTGAAAGGCAATTCCAGTAATTGTTACTCTGTCATGGCCAGAAGAAAAATTTCTGTTCTGATTTTTAAATTTGAATTAGTTCATTTAATCCTTTCACAAATTCTAAGAGGTAGATTATTATCCTTGTGTTTTCACACATTTTAAAAAAAAAAGCTGAGGCAAAACGAGACTAAATAACTTGTCCATGGACACATTGTGTAAGTGCTAGAGCCAGATTTTGAATCTAGGCCGTTTAGCTCCAGACTCTGTGCTCTTATACATCAACCTATTATCTTACATAATAGCTGCTTAATTAATGTATTTTGGATGAATGCAGTGAAGGCTTTCTCTTCTATCTTTCTTACCCATTTAACTTCTGTTCTCCTTGCCAGAAAAGTCTCAACCTTACCTTAATCCATTGTGTTCTCTTCTGCACCAAGACGTCTCAGCACACTGCAGAAAATCCAACTTCTGGGCAGACTGAGTTCCTGTCAAGTTATCTGGGCTCTCAACAATCCCTAATAATTCTGTATTTCCCTAGTTTTTGCCTTCTGTTTTCCATAGAGTTCTTGTCCGAATCTCAAACACCTGCACCTCCCTATTCATTATTTTCAGGAAAAACATCATTTTCAGCTCAGTTTTCTACTCATCCCTTATAAATTTGACTTGTTTTGGCATCTGTCCTTGCCTTTCCTCCACTGTCAAAATATTTAGTGTTTCTCTATCAGAGGCTCATCCACTTTTAGCTACTGCCCTGTCTTTCTTCCCTTTCACAGCCAAGCTTTCAGAGGTGTTGTTTGCATTTTCTGTCTGCACTTCCTCACCACCCTCTCACCTCCAGCTCACTCCATCACTGCATTCTGGCTTCTGTACTCATTACTTTATTCGTTTACTAGTGTCGACTTTTATCTTTATTAATTTTGTCATTGCATGTTATTTAAATGTACTTGTTATTCTTTTTTTAACTTCTTGGTTTAGATGCTTAATTCATGTATTAATTATCTTCTGTTATTAATATAATTAATTAAGGTCATAGATTTTCCTCTCCTTAGTGTCCTATAGATTCTTATGTGTAGAGTTTAAAAAATTCTAGAGAATTTTCAATTTTTTTGGTTTCTTCTTTGGTCCAAAAATGTTTAAGAAAAAAATTTAAAATTTCCGGGTGGTAGAGTCTTTTGTTTTTGTAATGAATATTTATTTTGTTGCAATTTGATCAGAGAATATTTTGTATTATTTCTACCTTTTGAGAATTTAAACAATTTCTTTGAGGCTTTTTATATAATCAGTTTTTGTGAATATTCCATGGGTACCTTGAAAAGAAGGTATATTTTCTATTTTTAGATTAGAGCATTCAATACGTGAATTAACTAGATTTGAATTATTAATTACATTTTAATATCTTCTATATTCTCATTTACTTAGGAACGTGTGAACAGAGGAAACCTGTGCCCTTTCCCTGGGCATAGCCTAGAAAGTGTCAAGACTCCAGACTCATCTCTATTCTCAATGTGGTGCTGGAGCAGAAGCAATGCTTTGATGGTTGTTTCACAGCCCAGAGTATCGTAAGCAGAGGGAGAGTGATTTCCCTTACTCCCGTCTGAGTGTATGAGTTTGGTAGTGTTGCCATAAAAAAAGACCACAGACTGGGCGGCTTCAACAGCAGAAATTTATTTTCTCACTGTTCTGGAGGCTGGAAGTCCAAGACCAAGGTGCCAGTAGGGTTAGTTTCTAGTGAGGTCTCTCTCCTTGGCTTGCAGATGGCCACCTTCTCACTGTGTCCTCCTATGGCCTTTTCTCTGTGTGTGTTTCCCTCTTCTGATAAGGATAGCAATCCTACTGGATTAGGGCCCTATTCTATGACTTCATATAACCCTAGTTACCTTTTTGTTTAGTTCTTTTTTTTTTTTCTCGCTTTGTTGCCCAGGCTGGAGTGCAGTGGCAGGATCTCAGCTCACTGCAACCTTTGCCTCTCAGGTTCAAGCAATTCTCCTGTCTCAGCCTCCCGAGTAGCTGGGATCAAAAGCATGCACCACCACACCCTGCTGATTTTTGTATTTTTTTAGCAGAGACAGGGTTTCACCATGTTGGCCAGGCTGGTCTTTAACTCCTAACCTCAAGTGATCCACCTGCCTCAGCCTTCCAAAGTTCTGGGATTACAGGCATGAACCACCATGCTCGGCTCCGAATGACCTTTGTAAAGGCTCTGTCTCCAAATGCAGTAGTCATATTGGGGCCAAGGGGTTCAACATATGAATTTTGGGAGTGGGCAGGGAGGCAGGCACAATTCAGTCCATAAAAGTAGAGAATGGGAATAGAAGGGAGAGGGAAATTTGTTTTAAAAGAGAGAAAGACATTGAGACTGTGTAAAGGGGATGTTGCAACCTTTTAAAATCTGTGATCTCAGACCAAATTATACAATATAATCTCAGTAGGTGCCAGTAGTAGGGAAAAGTGTCAGCCCTCGTGTCTGGCACTAAGTACCACCCACCCCAACCCCAGTGATGGGAGCCTCTAAATGACTGAGATTTAATGTCTACTACCTATTTGAATGAGGACTTGAAGAAGAAATTCAGTGCAGTTATAGAGCAGGTGCTTTTTGCACACTTATCCCCACTACATGTGTGGCTCCAGCTCAGGTCTCTCTGTGAGTTTTTGACCTGCATCTGGGTTAGATTCAATTTTTTAGCCTCAAGCCAAGCATGCTCCAAATGCAACTCCTCGTTTCTCATCATGTCATCCTCTTCACCCTCCTCTAAACCTGTTCTTCTTCCTGTGTTCCCTACTTTATGAATTACCAGCATCCACTCAGTGGTCTGGGACAGAAACCAGGGTGTTGTGTTCGGGAGCTGAAAACACTAAAGACTAAAACCCAATGAAGACATCTTCATCCTAGTATCTCACAGCTCCTGGGGGTTCACAGGAGATTTTGTTTAAAAATTAATTAGGTATGCTACTTAAAAACCCACCGTAGAAGAGAGTGCAGTACAGTGGAGCAGAAGAGATGGGAAACCCTAAGCTGCTAAAAAGCCTGGGGGTTGGTTGAGGGGGGCATCTGTGCAGAGAAGGAACTGGAAGGAGGGAGAGGTGGTTGTGACAGAGGTGAATACCTGGGAGAGGAAGGTTCAGGAAACTTCCTTCATTGGCTGTTCAATTCTTCACCTAAATGTCTAGAGGTGGAGCTGGGCTTGCGGGGATGGTTACTGAGTCTGAACTCTGTCAAGAAAGGCCCGGGGGATCAGATGGTTTGCTCCTTCCTGGACAAACTCCCTGCCCTCCATGACTCTTCAGGAACCCACAGCACCTGACATCTTTTGGGTGGATTGTGAGCCCATAGCCCGCCTGGACTACTTCAAATCCAGCCGGAATCTTTTGGGAAATGGATTCCTCTATTTACTGTGGAAGGACTACAGTGACATGATTAAGTCAGAAGCTCATCTCCTTCAACCTTGCAGGAGGTCTGTGGGTGCTCAGGGTAGCTGTGAAAACTTTAAATCAGGTGCAGCTCTACTTCAACCCTGGGGCAGGGTTAGAGAGGGAGGTGGGTGAGACCCACCAGGTAACTGACAGACACGTTGGACCTTCAGAGTGTGTGGAACTGCCCTAAGGGAAAATTTTAGTTCCACTTGATACATGGTCCATGGTGGGAGACCCTCAAAGTCTCTGAGGTTTCTGAGGTCGAGATTTCCTGCCCCCATAAAGTCTAAGAGTTGTATCTTTGATGGTCCTGAGTGAAGCTGCGAAGGCATCAGAAAGTAGGAAGCCTCTCTCCACCTGCAGGGTGGCCTTGACTGCTCTGCCCGTCACCAGTGTGGCTCATGAAAACATCACTGTGGATGGCTTCCAGATTTGCTCCTAGGGAAACAATGGTACTAGCCAGGTTAGACCATTGAAATCAAATAACGGGTATCTTTTCATGATTAACAGGAGAAAAAATAACATAACCCACTAGATAGACTTTTCCCACTTACAATTTTTCTGCCATAAACTTTTCTTAAACCTCTGATGCCTGCCTCAACCTACCTGCCACTGTACCCTACAGATAAAACAAATGAGCAGGGAGCAAATGAAGAGTAGCAGCAGAACCCAGGCGTGAATGAGCATGCTAAGTTCAATAGCCTGTGTTTCTGTGTTTTCCTGGATCTGCACGTATGTGCCTCTGATTTTATATTGCCTATGGACCTGACTACTGTAGTGTGGTATGTTTCCTGCTGGCAAAATTGTTCATAATTTGTGTATTAGAATTAAAGAGATGACTATTTCCTGTCGTTCTACAAAAAGGACCAAGATTTCCAGGTGCTCTGCCATCTGAAGACATTTAAAGACCAGTTACAGCTCAGGGATAAGAGGGTGAAAGCTTCCAGCTTAGGCAGATGGCGAGAGGCGCTTCTTGCTGAACAAGAGGTTGGAGACTGGGCCAGAGGAGGAATTATAACAGATTCAGCTTGTTTTCTCTCCTCACTGCCTTGTTCATTTTGGAAGCCCCTTGCCAGAGTCCAAATGATATTGATATTTTGTGTCAACCCAGTCTCTCCCTAGCTGGAGAGAGGTCAAGATAGGAATAAGAGACCAAGAGTTCTGTGCGCAGACCCTATAGTCTCATTTTAGTCCCCATGCTGCCAAGCAAGATTCTTAGAACACAGTTGATACTTAATAAATGTTTAAGGCCAGGTGCGGTGGCTCATGCCTGTAATCCCAACACTTTGGGAGGCTCGGGTGGGTGGATCACCTGAGGTCAGGAGTTCAAGTCCAGCCTGGCCAACATGGTGAAACCCCGTCTCTACTAAAAATACTAAAATTAGCCGGGTATGGTGGCACGTGCCTGTAATCCCAGCTACTCGGGAGGCTGAAGCAGGAGAATCACTTGAGCTCAGGAGTCGGAGGTTGCAGTGAGCTGAGATCGCTCCATTGCACTCCAGCCTGGGCAACAGAGTGAGACTTTATCTCAAAAAAAAAGTTTGAGACCATGTTACAGATGGTCTCAGTGGGGCCATACAGCACTTCAGTGAAGAACAATTGGAATAGGAAAGCCAGTGTCCTCATGAATGTGACCAGTTATCTCTGAACAGGTAATTTACAGTGGTCAATTGGCAGTTGAAGTGACAAAGCTTGTTCTCTACTAGTTGCTGCCACACCCCTCAGTGCCTTCCTGCTCCTAACACTCCCCTCCTACCCCTGCTCAGTGCTGGGGACTGTGCTCAGTCATGTCTAAGGCTGTTAGTGCAGATAAAATTCCAAATCTTAGAGTCTGCATTCCCAAGTGGTTGACTCTCTACACCCCAAACAAACGTGTCTCTCTAAGAAGTCTAGAGAAAGTAGAACCTTTTGGGAAAGGTGGACCTCAGAGCCATGCTTCGATACTGACGATTTAGAAATATTCTTGTTCTAAAACAGGTGGGCTGATAGGAAAGTGACTAATTGGCATTGGCCCTGAGGCCACCATTATCAGCTCCTCTCTGCCTGTGAGTCTTTCTAGGAGACCATTGCCTCCAACTACATGGACAAGAATGTCCTGGAGCTGAACAGGTAGCAGAGACAGAGGCTGCAGTCATTTGACTGGTCTCCAGTGGTAAAATATGTATGTGAGCTTGAAGGGATTAGGCAAGGAGTTCGGTGTTTGTTTTTGCACCTTGAGGATGCCAGAGCTTCACGTGGCTCTCTGAACTAAGAATTTTCTGTGGGGCTCATGTAGAAATGGCAAGAAAGATGGAGACTAAGAAAGAAGGATGTCAGTGGAACTGCAGGAAGAAGAAAGGAAGAGTGAGTTCTATAAAGCCCCAAGGAGGGAACCAAAGTAGATGGCTAGAGACAAGCCTGGAGCCAGAAAGAAACTGTCCCAGATGCCAAGATCTGAGCCCAAGCATATGCATAACAGGCAGGATGACAGTCAGCTGGCTTTTGATGGCAGGCAACCGTTCTGACTGGTCAGTGTTCCTGTTGTTCCAATTGCAACCTCCAGACTTTTGACCCTAAACCTGTGGAAGCTTTCTGTGGGTCTCCTGAGGTGACCTCTCACTGCTGGGAACAGGGAAACACAGAGAAGGCCATCGCTGGGATTGGAGTTGGGAATGGAATTAAGACCAATCTAACTTTGAGGCAGAATAGAATTTACTTACCTTGCGTAATTTCAGGCACCAGGAAAGTTCTCCATAGCATCTTCACTCCCAAAATACCCCACATCCTAGTTAAGTAAGAAGGTTGAAGTTGTTCATTAGGTCCTTCTTCATTTTGCTTAAGACAATAACATTTGTAATACACTATTGAAGAGCTGTAAAGAGTAACCCTTTAAGTGCTAGTCCTTATTCATACCTCAGTATGAATGAGCCTCATAGCCTATACTAGGTATTTAAGAAGAGAATGTGACAACTGAGTGGAGTGTGTAGCCAGGAGCCACTGGAAGGGAAAGATGATGGAGGTACTGGATGTCCTCAACAACATCTACCAAGCTCACTTTGTATTAATAGTTTTGCTCTGCTGGTTCCAGGCAGACTTTCCATTTCCCTTTGCACTTGGCTGACTTGTTTTAAGTCATGGACCAGGCAGAGAAAGAATGGGCTGATTGTCAGAAGCACATTGCAGAGACAGCCGGCAAGTGGAAAGAGCACTGACTGCAGGGTTGGCGGTCCCTAGGCTTGCCCGTGCCAATAGCTGATGTCATGACTGCATCTCCAGGACTCAGTGTCTTCATCTGTAAAAGGAGTGACCTGATTCTGATATTCTGAGATTCTGTGAGTGTGTGTATGGCTTGGGGTTAGGGTTATGGTTAGGTTTTGTGTTAGAATATTCTGATATCTTGCGAGTGTGTGTATGGGTTTAGGGTTAGGGTTAGAATATTCTGATATCTTGTGAGTGTATAGGGGTTATGGTTATGGTTAGGGTTAGGATTTGAATATTCTGATATCCTGTGAGTTGTGTATATGTTAGGGGTAGGGTTACAGTTAAGATTAGGGTTAGAATATTCTGTTATCCTGCAAGTGTGTGTATGAGATGCAGAAAATGACCAGGAGTGATCTATATGTCCCATGAGGTAAGCTTGACCCAGCTGGCCACTCTTTCCATTTCCTTCTTTCCAGAGAGAAGTGGGCTGAAAAGGAGGAGTGTTTAAGGAAAGCGACTCAAATGTGCTTACATGTGACATTTGGAAAGAATGGCCTCTGAAACCTGCAGTCCTGCCCCTGGCCGACTGCCTCGTTTTCTCCCTGTGGTTTCAGGCTGCCCCCCCACCCACCCTGGGTACCTGCCAAGGCACCTTGTGCCAACTTGGGACCCTGCTTCAACCCAGGGACCGTATGCTGCAAGCAGAGGCTTTGAGACCAGTGTCTACATGGTGGGGGACAAGAGGTTCTCCACACTGCCCCTAGAGAGGAATTTCTGCAGGAGCCCCTGCAGGAGACAGGCTTGGATTTGGAGAAGTTGGAGAAGGCTCAGCAGGCAGCTGAGAGCCACTTCCACGACTGCCCAGTTGACCCAGAGATGTTCTCTGTGGCCCGGCGAAGGGACTGATGCAGCAGACTTGGTAGGAGCTAGGAGTGCACAGGGGCAGGATTTCCAGATGCCATCCTGCTACCTCATTTGCTTTCCTCTTCGTTTAGTCTGTTTTATTTAGAAACCTTACCAGCAAATGCTTTTAGAGTCTTATTATACATGATTGCCAGGTAAATAGGAATGTTGATCTCAAACAGAGAGGTTTATAATATGCTCCACTCATGGCCCAGGGAGGGAGAGAAAGAATTAGACCAGAGAAATAAAGCTGTGCTTCTTCTTGTTTCAAGGGCTCTGCAGGGTTGCATAGAGAGAAGAGGGGAGAGCCCCCCATGATCTCCTAGTTTAGGCCATTTGTCACCACACAACTTCTGAGCCCATTCAGCACCTCCATCCTCACCCCTGCGAATACTGCAGCCCTACCCCATGAAATGAGAAGAACAGAGGTTTCCGCATCAGGAGACATGGCTTTTCCTCTTTGGCTCTCTGACTTACTTGCTCTGTGACCTTTGGTGGGTCACTAACATCTCAGAGCCTCAGTTTCCTCATCTCTGAAATGGAAATAATTGCCAGGTGCAGTGGCTCACGCCTGTAATCCCAACACTTTGAGAGGCTGAGGCGGGTGGATCACCTGAGATCAAGAGTTCAAGACCAGCCTGGTCAACATGGTGAAACCCCATCTCTACAAAATACACAAAAATTAGCTGGCGTTGGGGCTCATGCCTGTAATCCCAGCTACTCGGGAGGCTGAAGCAGGAGAATCTCTTGAACCCGGGAGGTGGAGGTTGCAGTGAGCCGAGATCTTGCCACTGCACTCCAGCCTGGGCGACATAGCAAGACTCTGTCTCAAAAAGTAAATAAATAAATAAAAGAAAAAGAAAAGAAAGAAAGAAATGGACATAATAATACCTATCCCCAGGGTTATCGTAAGACCCCAAAGATATAATAGGAATGCACTTAGTAAATAATTATGTGTGTGATGTGGTATGTAAGAGTTTTGGCTGACTTTATATATATGCATGAAATGAGTGGTTCTAAAGAGAGCTGGATAAGCTGTCTTCTTTCTTGATCCAACACAAACCATCTAACCCAGTCTGAGGCAGGGAGGAGGTACTTGGGGAAAGACTTTTTGAAGGAAGTAGCAGCACATTGGTGAGATGTAAAGGATATTTGAGGGTAAGCCACGTGAAGGAATGGGGTTGAGGGGTGAAGAGCAGGAATTCCCACATGCTGAGACCTGGAGAAGAAATAACATACTATGTTAGGTGAACTTCAAGAAAAGTGAAAGAACCTTAGATGTAATTGTGGCACTATCCCTAGAGGGCACTACTAAGGCTGTGGTAGAACAGGACAGTGCTCCAAGCCAGCAGAGAGGACCAGAGGTAACTGTTGATAGGCATGGGTGGTGGGCAGGTAAGTGATCGATTCATTCAACAAATATTTGTGGAGTACTCTGTAAAGCTCAGTGCTAAGCTCAGCATCAGAACCTTTGCCCAGGGTTGGTCCTCATGCTAAACATAGTTGCAACACGTAAGCCCTTGACCACATTCTGCCTCATGCACCTACTCTGCCTCTTTTTCTCTCCGTTAGTTCTGACATCGGTAGTTTTTACCTTACCCTTTACCCATTACTAAAAGAAGAAATATGTTGGCTGCTATGTTAGTCCATTTTGCAATGCCGTAAAGGAATACCTGAGACTGGGTAAATTTATAAAGAAAAGAGCTTTATTTGGCTCATGGTTCTGCAGGCTGTACAAGCATGGCGTTAACATCTGCTCAGTTTCTGTTGAGGCCTCAGGAAGCTTACAATCATGGCGGAAGGCAAGGGAGGAGCAGGCATTTCACACGGCGAGAGAGGGAGCAAGAGAGAGAGGAGGAGATGCCAGGCTTCTTTAAACGATCTGCTCTCTTGTGAAAGAGCTCACTCGTTACTGTGAGGATGGCACTAAGCCATTCATGAGGGATTTGCTCCCACGACTCAAACACCTACTACCAGGTCCCACCTCCCACATTAAGGATTACATTTCAACATGAGATTTGGAGGAGACAAATATCCAAATTATATCAGCTACATCAAGAATGTTCTCTTTGTACTTAGGTACAAAGGTTGTGGCACTGTCCCTAGAAGGCACTACTAATGTTCTGGGCACCTGGTGTGATAGAACAGGCCAGTGCTCCAAGCAGGCAGAGAGTACCAGAGGTGACTGTTGGTAGGGGTGGGAGGTGGACCTAATACTCATGTGTGTGTGTGTGTGTGTGTGTGTGTATTATGTGTGCATATGTGAGTGTGTGCACATGTATGTGTGGTGATTCAGGTAGTGGAGAGTGGCTAGATCTGTCAGTGGTGTCACCACATGGGTGATGAATGAGGTTGTATCCCAGGTGCTGGGGTCAGATCAGAAGTTGGATACCAGGAGAAGCTTGCAGCAGATGGGACCAGAGGCTGAGTGTTAACTCCTTCCAAGGGGAGCTCCAAGTGTACACAGGAGTGTGCAGCCAGAAAGCTGCTATGGGATGGGAAGGCATAAGGCAAAGAACAAGGCAGCCAGGCACATGTGCAGGGTTTCCAGGGCAGGTGCCCTACGCAAGACTGGGTTGCCTGGTGCTCCCCTTGCTGCATAAAGTAGGATGGACCAGCCTGGGCCACCCAGGACGAGGGTGTGTGTCCTGCGATAGGTTCTTCTAAGGACCTGGTGTTAGTTATGTGAACATTCACATTGGGAGACTATTGGCTCCTTTGATCCTCAAGTCACCATATACACGTGGGCCCAGTGTGAGTAGGTATTGCTATTGGCCTCACGGGAGAGAGGGTGATACTGACATGTACAAGGCGTGGCTAGTGACAGTGAAGAGCTTACAATTCACTGAATTTATTAAAAAACACACAGCGTGCTTTTATTAAGTCCCCACTGAGTAGGCATGGGACTCTACTACAAGGCAGAATTTGCTAATTCTAATACAAGGGGATGATGGGAAGCACAGAAGAGGGAGGGATTAGTTCCTGCTGGGGAACTGGAGAAGACTTCATGGAGGAAGCTGCAGCGAAGATGAATCTTAAAGGAGGGTGATGGTTGGAAAGGCATTCCTGCTAGAGGAAACAACACTGCTAAAAGCATGGTGCTGGGGTCAGATCAGGAGTTGGATACCAGAAGAAGCTTGCAGCAGATGGGACTAGAGGCTGAGTGTTAACCCCATCCAAGGGGAGTTTAGGAAGATGCTGGGTGAATGATGTGATGTTTCATTTGGCTCATTTGGCTCAAGGGTGGGCTCCCTATGCCAGAGCAGAAGGAGACAGTGCTAGGAAGGTAGCTCAGGCGTGGCTCTAGGAGCCCCTGCAATCAGACTTCACCAATAAGTATTCATATATCATTTGCCAGGTACTAAGAATGTGAGGATAACAATTTTTGCCCTCGCTGGGCTTGCAGACAGTAGTGGCAGCAGTTTATAGGAGGTGAGAGCGCACAGAAAGAAATGCCTAATTTGGGGGAGATAATGGAGTCTTTACAAAGAGGTAACATGTCCACACTGACTTTGAACTAACAGGAACTAGCAGGTTGCCAGGCAGGTGGTGAGATGAAGGTGGTGGTGGACTAGGGCGTCGAAGGTGTTTCAGGTGGAAGAAGCCACGTGACAAAGGTGGGGTCACGGAAGGATGCTGAGCGTGTTTGGGAAACCTCGATCAGGAAACATGTACTGAGAGTCTGCTATGTGCCAAGCCCCATTCTGCATTCTGAGGCCATGGAGAATGAGTCAGACAGGGAGGGCCCTGCTCTCATTCTAGTTGGGAAGGGAAGGGAAGGCAGACAATGAGAAAATAAACAAATAAAGATGAGGACATGATTTTCAGAATGGGAGAAGCCCTAAAAGTAGAAAGAATGGCACTGTGGAGAGTACCTGGGGCAGAGGGCTGGAGGGAGGGCTGAGTACAAGTGCCTGGGATAGACAGACCTGGGCTGGGCTCACACAGCCAGATGGTGGTGTGTGAGCCGGGAGCCCCTAGGGCAAGGGTGCTAAGCCCAGTAGTCACCCTTTCACTGGACCAGAGCTCTCCAAAGGTGGAGCAGAGAACACCTCTGAAAGCAGAATCTACAGGCAGACAGGAGCTGATCCTGCCTGTTGCACACCCTGTCTGCCCGCCCTGCCCCAGAGAATCCCCTTATTCATTTTCAAGCCCTTCCTTTTTCCCTTCCAGAGAAGGGTCTTAGGTACTCAGACCTTCAGGGGAAGGTACAGGCAGTGACTGGGGTGGGTGGTCCATTCTTGGGGACAAGGCAGGTCATCCTGCTGAATGTGTGTCTCTGCGATGTGCCCTTTGGGAAAAGGAGGAACAAGGACAGCAGGATGGCTGCAGGCACCTGACCAAGACCTGTTTTTGGATTATTTCCCTTGTCTTTCACTCTCTGGGCACAAGAGGGCAGCCAAGTCTTGAGCTTGGGGGCTGCAGGGCCAGTGGGGTGGGAGGGCTCTTCCCTCCTTTGCTTGTCCCCGGCCTGCTCATTTGCCGGCAGCCTGCACTCCTGTTCTCCCAGATCCTGACCACTGAATGAGGGAACCAGGAAGAGGAAGGCCGCAGCCAGCGCAGAGTGCCCTGACCTCCACCCGGCCATGTATTCTACATGTTGCCTCACCTCCACCACAGAAGCTGAGGCCCAGGAAAGCCAACCCAGACCTGCTGGCCCAGGGTCCCACTAGGGACGTAGGCTAGCCCATATGCTGCCTGGATGACAGACCGAGGGAGGGGCACACTAGCTGGCCTCTGGAGGAGAATTCTTCCAGCCTCTCTCTGCTGTAGTAAAAACCTCCTTAAAACCCACGAAGCTGGGGCAGTAGGACCAATTGCAGCAGATGGGGCACAATTAGCTCACTAGATCCGTTCAATGGCTATTAAGGCCAATCCGTGCGTTAGGGCCCATGCAAGTGGGAGGAATACAAAGATGAATGGGATTCAGGCTCTTCCAAAAAGCTTACCTTCTAGTGGACAAGTGGCCATTGGAGCATAATGTGGCAAGTTTAGTGAGAGAGAGATGTTCAGAGCACTGGGGAGTATAGAGGAGGTCCATTAACCTAGCCCTGGGGGTATGGTGGAGGGAGGTCAATGAAGTCTTCCTGGAATTCATGCCCAAGCTGACTATTAAAGATAAAAGAATTTAGACAAGCAAAGGGAGGGAGGGCTTTTCAGGCAAAGGGTCAGACAGTGTGAGCAAGAAATCAAAGTCAAGACACAACATGAGAGGGATTAGAAGTTCCAGTGTGTTTGAGAAAGTTCCAGTTTGGCACTGTTTACTGTTGCAACCATTTTAATAGATACACACTCCATGAGCTGGCTCTTGTCTCCCTCTTCAGCCAGTTGAAAGGGCTTCTTGAACAGGTTTGCACATTTCCACAGGGGCTTTGGAGAACTGAGTTTTTCTAGGCTAGGGACTACAGGATTAGGGGAAATTGGATGCCAAAAAAGAGAATTAGAGGCAGGGAAATTAGCTTTCTGGCAGGCCTTTTTCTCTGGGGGAATGTCTTCTTCACTGTGCCTGAACAAGTGACTCCTGTGCGAACTAGAGACTGATGAGGAAATTGACAAAGGAAGGTAAAGTGACTAAAGACTTCTGTGCCTGAAATGAAGTACACTCAAGAGGAATCCAGAGGTTAAGATCATAAACCCCAGCCTGGGCAATGTAGTGAGATCTCCACTCTACTAGAAATTAAAAACGCCAGGCATGGTGGCATGCACCTGAAGTCCCAGCTACTCAGGAGCCTGAGATGGGAGGATCGCTTGAGCCCAGGAGGTCAAGGCTGCAATGAGTTGTGATTGCACCACTGCACTCCAGCCTGGGCCACAGAGTGAGACCCTGTCTCAACAAACGAACAAACAAATACCCCAAAATTGTAAACAAATACAAAAACAATAAAAAAATTAGATTCCTGCTTGATAATTAGATTCCTGCCAAAGTGATCAGGTGGACAGACTGGAAGAAATATTTACAGTGAATAAAACCAACAGGGGACAGATATTTTCTAGAATATACAAGGAACTACTGCAAATCAACAATAGGAAAAAGTCTAAAGACAAAAAGGAGCAAGAATATGACCAGGAAATGTATAGAAGAGGAAACTCCAAAAGCTAGCAAGCATTTTGTGACAGAGATTGTCTAACTCCTCCCCAATTTGCATGTCCTTTTTTCAGCACACATCCAGGCTGTATTTCACAGCCCCCTTGCCTCAGGCCATGTGATGGAATTCTGACCCAAAGAATATTAACAGATTAATGTATGGCACTACTTAGGCTGTGTCCTCAAAACCCTCGCATTCCAATCTCCTCCGAGAGCTCTCTCCCCTCCTCTGAGGGCTAGATGAAGAGAATCCAATGGAAGGCTCTGGGGCCTTAGAGCCACACAATGGAAGAAGTCTGAGTGCCGAAAGGACCACTGGGGGAGTACCCTTCCCTTGCCTGCCATCATGGTCTGTGATGTGAAAACAAACATTTATTTTGTTAAGCCACTGAGGTTTGAGGTCTGTTACATCACTTAGCTTATCTCACTGATACTGATATGCATGTTTAGAAGTGCTCAAACTCATCAGAGAAAGTGTACAACTTCACTTATTCTCATTAGACTAGCAAAAATTAGTATAGCAGATCATTCTAAAAATTGATGGTAGGGATGGGAGTGGGTGTGCCGATACAGGGAACCTCATGCACTGCTGATGGGGGTGTAGACTGGTATAGCCTTGCTGGGGGCAATCTGGTGGTTCTTACTCAAATTAAATATGTGGATACCTTAGGATTCACCAGTTCTACTACTGGGAATGCCCCCCATAGGAATTCTCACACAGGTCTCTATATGAAGGAGACATGGATGTCTCTGGAATCATTGTGTTGGGGAGTTGGAAACAATCTGGGTATCTGCTCCTGGGGGTGTGGATAAATAAATGAGGGGTGCAAATCATGAAGAACGATGCAGTGGCATGAAGCAGTGGGTCACATACACACGTAATGTGATAGGGCTTTAATGCATAGTGAAAATGATGCAAATACAAATATATGCATACACAGCAGCAGCACACATTTTACCAAAATGCACATAAAGAATAGACATCAAACACCTTGGGATGGTTGTCTATGAAAGGGAAATGAGAGTGGAAAATAAAAGGGGAGGAAGAAAATATAATCATATGAGTGAATTTCCTTCCACTGTACAGATTCTCAGTTCATTCCGAAAGCTTTTTGACAAGAGATTGAAGACTGACAATCACAGCTGTTTTACTTCCGAGGCTTAGTTTTCTTTACAGAATCTTATTTCCATGAGGTTATTACGTCTATCCTCAATTTTTAAAAAAGCTTATATTCTGCCTTTGTTGCTTTTTTTTCAATTTAATAAGCATTTTCTTTTAACCACCTGACCTCATGCTTTTTCAAAAACTAAACTAAACAAAACAATAAAGGAAGAAGAGAATTACAAGATCCAATCTTAGTCCTAACATCTTTTACCCTGAACATAAAACGATTTGCTTTTTACATAGGTAATAAACAGAGGGAGAAGAGTGAACTTCATAATCTTGATATTTGTATAGCATTAGTAGTGATAGGACAGATGTCCTAAATAGGTATCGTACCGTTACAGTAATTAGTAGGAAGCAAAGAAAAATCAATGGAACAGAGCAGATAGCCCTAAATCAGGTCCCAGTAAGTTTTGTAAGTAAGCATGTGACAAAGGAGCAACAAGCCGAGGAGGAAAGGAAACAAAGCAAAATAGTGCAGATAGCACAGAAGCCACTCAGGTTTTCAGCTTTTGCCAGCAGGATATTAGGGAGGCTCCACCCTGATTTCCAGCCTCTCTGTGCCAGGCAGATGTGGATCTCCAGCAAGCTGGCCACCTGCCACAGCAACACTGCTGGTACCTGGCTCTGCCAAAGGCCCTATCACCCTGGATGCCATCTGCCTGCAATTTACAAACTGTATAGGAGGGGTAGGTCAGGCCTGGACACCTCGTGGCTGGACTATGGAAACTGGTCCTGGCTGAGGCTCAGGAATTGCTTTCCTTTCCAAGTAGTCCTCAACCACCTTCACCCCAACATGGTTTTTTTTGTTTGTTTGTTTTTGTTTTTTGTTGCTGTTGTTTTTCTTGAGATGGAGTCTTGTCCAGGCTGGAGTGCAGTGGTGCTATCTTGGCTCACTGCAACCTCCGCCTCCTGGGTTCAAGCAATTCTCCTGCCTCAGCCTCCCAAGTAGCTGGGACTACAGGCATGTGCCACCACACCCGACTGATTTTTGTATTTTTAGTAGAGACGGGGTTTCACCGTGTTAGCCAGGATGGTCTCGATCTCCTGACCTTGTGATATGCCCACCTTGGCCTCCCAAAGTGCTGAGATGACAGGCGTGAGCCACTGCACCCGGCCATCTTTTTTTTTTTTTTTTTTTTTTTTGAGCAGAGTATTGCTCTGTCACCCAGGCTGGGGTGCAGTGGTGTAGTCTCTGCTAACTGCAACCTCCACCTTCTGGGTTCAAGTGATTCTCCTGCCTCAGCCTCCCAAGTAGCTGGGATTACAGGTGCATACCACCATGACGGGCTAATTTTTGTATTTTCAGTAGAGACAGTTTCATCATGTTGGCGAGGCTGGTCTTGAACTCCTGATCCGCCCACCTCAACCTCCAAAAGTGCTGGGATTACAGGTGTGAGCGACTGTGCCTGGCCCCAACATGTCTTTTCTCCCATCACGCTTCTTCTTCCTTTAGCCAAGAAGCTTGCCACCTTACACCCTTCCTCTCCCTCCCTCCTTGGCATCCTTCTCAAAGCTTTCTGTAACCTGAACAATGGATTTAGAAGCCAGTGAAAATATTTGAGACGCTGGAGTATTGATAACCAGATAATTAGATAACTAGAGTTTCTGGCTGAATCAGTGTCTTTGTGGCTATGGATTTTCAACCCAAAGCTCTACGAGAGGGCACACTGTGAGAACCAGGCAGAAGGCAGCCCTCTGCGTACATACAGTGACGCCCTTATGGTCTGCAGCCTCATTTTTACCCCAAAGGTAGCCATGACTTAAGAGTGACAAAAGAGAGAAGCTGACAGGTTGTGGACTCCAAGAAAGGGTTCTCTACCTCCCTGCAATTAAGGCTCATATTAATCAGCTCTGGACTCACCATATGCATCCACTAAAATCTAGAGCAGGCCCTGCGGGAGCACATCAAATTTGATGGGTTATAGTTTTGGTGATAATTTTGTTTATTTGTTATTAATTACCAAGCACATGAAATGCTCCCAAATTACTGATGCCTCTTACTCCAGGAGTTGCTTAATTTGGCTCTGCCTTGGAATTCTTTCCTGGCGACTCACGCCTGCCACAAGGTATGGTTTGAGCAGAGAAAGAGGAAGAGGCTCAGTAGTTGCTTCTCTGCAACATATGTGAATACCCCACCCACAATTGCAGCAGGAAGAGGTGAAGGGAGCAGGCTCCTAATTGCTGTGGCGTACCCAGGGGTACATTTCTTTCTTGGAGATAAGCAGAAGGCAAGGAGTGTCAAATGAGAGATCACTGCCTACAGAAGTCTGTGTCATCTCTGAAGCATCCTGGGGCCCTCTGATCTACAGTAGGCCTTGATGTCATCTGAGGCACAGAAGGACTTCTTCCAGCATTGGAAAGAAAAGCTTGGAAGGAAAGCTTCAGCTGCAGTTTCTGTAATGTTCTCCTCCATCCTTGCCCCATTTTTGCAGAGATCGTTGTTTATCCTTTAGTACCATTGAGTACCATTTAGCCCCACTGGGTAAAATTGAGTGAAAAAGAAACACTAGGTCCTGCCTCAGAGAGGAAACTTGGGAAGACCAATATTATCAAGTAGACTTGATCTCTAAATTTGTGCTTGTTTCGAGGGACTCTGCGTCTGGATATGCAGGATGTTTTTTAAATTGTGAGATGCATCTACAGAAAAGTTCATAGAACATTTACATAGAGCATAAAGGTTAATATAAAATGCATGAGCACTGGTTAGCATTGCAGGATTTTTGAAGCACCCTCTTCCCCCTGTGTTCTGTAACCTGAGCACAACTTTGTCCTCCCCAGTCACCCACAGGCAACCACTATCCTGGCATCTAATGAAATTATCTCATTGTTTTTCTTTAGTTTTCCCACCCACTTGTGCATCACTAAATAATAAAATTTACTTTTGTTTGTTTTGGACTTTTGGACTTTATAGATTGAATAAAAAGGAAGTCTTTCTTGGGACTTTCTTCTTTCGCCCTACATCATTTGGAGAATCATCCATGCTGATGCTTGTAGTTCTAATTGGTTCATTTTCATTGCTGTACACTCCAATTTATTCTACCATTGTTGGACTTTTAGGTTGTTTCTAGTTGGGGGCTGTTCCAAACAATGCTGCTAAGAACATTCATGTTTATGTGCCAGATTTTTCTCTAGGTGTGTACCTGGACTGTAATTACTGGGCATAGGGTACGCAGCAACTCAACTCTACCAGTCAATGCCAGACTGTTTTCCATAACGCTGCACCAAGTTACATGCCTGCTAGAAATACACAAGGACATCTATTGGTCAAGGCCTTTGGTGCTGGTCAGATGTGATTTTTGCCAGTTTGATGGCTGCATAATTGTATCTCATTGTGGTTTAATTTGCATTCCACTGATGAGATTAAGGATCTTTTCCTAGGTTTATTGGTCACTTGGATTTCCTTTCTCAGAAAGGGTCTGTTCAAGTTTTTTGTTTTCTTTATTTTCATATTGATTCACAGAAGTTCTTTGTAAATTCTGTTGTCAGAATTCATAAATTCTTGCTTGTCAGTTTCATGTGTTGTAGTATCTTTTCCCTCTCTGTAGAGTGTCTCTTCACTCTCTTAAAGTGTCTTTGGTCGAACAGACATTCTTAATTGTAATATACTAGCATTTACAAATCTTTTATTCATGATTCATGGCTTTTGTGTCTGGTTTAAGAAATCGTTATCTGCACCCAAGGTCATAAAGATATTCTTCTACATTACCTTCTAAATCTTTAGAGTTTTGCCCTTCATATTTAGTTTTTTAATCTGCCTGAATTGTTTTTTGTGCATAATGTGAGGTGGGGTTCTAATTCCTTATTCCTCCCTACAGATACCCAATTATCTTAGCACTATTTATTGAAAGGTCTATCTTTTTCCCCACTGATCTAAGCTATCACCTCAATCATATATCAACTGTTCATAAAAGTACAGGTCTGTTTATGGGCTCTCTACTCTGTTCTATTGGTCTATTTGTCAATCCTACTACCAATACTACTCTGTCTTAATTACTACAGCTTTATAATAAGTATTTATATCTGGTAGAGCAAGTCCTCCCACCTTATTTTTCTTCTTTAAGAGTAACTACTCTTGGCCCTTGGCACTGTCATATAAATTTTAGAGCCAGCTTGTCAAGTTTCACCAAAAAACTATTGGGATTTTAATTGGGATTTTACTGAGTCTATAAATCAATTTGGAGACAAATGACATCTTCACCATGTGGAGTCCCCCCATCCATGAAGTGGCGTATTTCTCCATTTATTTAGGTCTTCTTTAATGTCTTTCAATAAAATTTTATTATTTTCTCCATTAATGTCTTATACATAGTTTGCTGGATTTATTCTTAGGTACTTCATATTTTTCAGTGCCATTGTGGGCAATGTCTGTTTTAAATTTCATTGTATAGCTGTTGCTGATTAGAAATGAATTTAATTTTTATATTGATTTCATATCCAGATATTTTGCTAAACTGTTATATTGTAATAATTTACTTGTAGATTATTTTTCATTCTCTCTCTATATCATCATGTTATCTGCTAATAGTAACAGTTTTTTCTTTTTCCTCCTCAATACTTACATTTTTAACCTTTTTTTAACCTGCCGTACTGTCCAGGATGTTGAATGAAATTGGTATTTGTTAACATTTTTGTCTCTGTTCAACTTGAAAGGAAAGCTTGTAAATGGGTCATCGGGAAGAGTGATGTTTGTTGAGGTTTTTGTAGGTAATCTTTATCTGATTAAGGAAGTCTTATTCTATTTCCAGTTTGGCAAGGATTGTTTTTGTTGTGAATGGATATAGAATTTAAGCTTTTTCTTTTTTTTTTTTCTGCATCTGTTGAATGGATCAGAAGATATTTTTCCTTTAACATGTACATGTGATGATTTGTATTAATTGAATTTTGAATGTTAAATCACTTTGTATTCCTGGGAAACACTCACCTTGGCCATTGTATAGCTGCTAGAAAATTAGGCTCTTGAGTTAGATTGCCTGGGTCTAAAACTTGGCTATACCACTGTCTAGCAGCGTGACCTGGGCAATTTACTTTACATTTTTGTGCCTTGATTTTCTCATATGCTGAAATGGGGATAATAATAGCCCTTAACTCACAAAACTTCTGTAAATTTTAGTAATATGTCCAAAATGCTTAAACCAGTTCCTGAAAAATAGTAAGCACCATATACATATTTGCTACTTTATTGACCAGACAATAACTTGTTTAGGATTTTTATACTCATGCTCATGGGTGATTTTTAGCTTGTAATTTTTTTCTTCTCATAAGTAACCTTGATATTAGGCTTTAGCTAGACTTATAAAGTTAGTTGAGGGGTATTTTCTCTTTTTGTATTCTCTGAGTTTGTGTAAGATTAGAATTATTGATTACTTGAATATGTGGTAGAATTCACTGGTAAAGCCATCTGCTCTGAAGATTTTGTATGAAACTAATTTTCCATTTAAATTCTTTAATGGTTATAAGGCAATTCAGATTTTATATGTGTTATATATTTATTTGGAAACCTCTAAATTTAATGTTTCAATGTATAGGCATAAAGTTATTTGTAATATCTTGTTATTATCTTTTAAATGTCTGCAGCATCTGCCATGAGGTTCCCCTTTTTATTCCTGACACTGGGCATATGAGCCTTCTCTCTTTTTTGCCTTGATCATTCTAGCTAGAAATTTGTTAATTGTATTTATCTTTTCAGAGAACCAACTTTTGGACCTGTTGATTCTCCCATTAATTCTTAGCTTTTGTGCTCTGCAGGATTCTCTTCTTTCTACTTTTGTCTATTTTGCTGCTCCTTTCTTAACTTCCTCAGCTCATTAACTTTCAGTTTTTCTTCTTTACTAGTATGCATATTTGAGGACTAGAGTTCCCTTTAAATCCTGCCTTAGCTGCAACTCATGAGTTTTTATATGTAGTATTTTTATTACTACTCAGTTAGAAATATTTTATAATTTCCATTATGATTTCTTCTTTGACCCATAGGTTGTTTGTTTCTTTATTTCCAAACAAATAAGGGTGTTTTAGTTATCTTTTATTTTTTACTTTTAGCTTAAATGCATTGGTCAAATAGCAAGCCCTATATCATTTCAGCCCTTTGAAATATGTTGAGGCTTGCTTAATGGGCTAGTATGTAAGAATTTATTAAGGGCCTATGTATTCTTGAAACAAATGTGTGTCTTAGACCATTTGGGATGCTCTAACAAAATGCCATAAACGAGGTGGCTTGTAAACAACAGAGATTTGATTCTCATAGTTCTGGAGGCTGGGAAGTACAAGATTGAGGCACCAGCAGATTCAGTGTCTGGTGAGGGCCTGTTTCCTTCTTCGTAGATAGCACTTTCTCACCGTGTCCTCATGTGGTGAAAGGGTGAATGAGCTCTCTCGGGCCTATTTCATAAGGGCACTGATCCCATTCATGAGGCCTCTACCTTCATGACCTACCACCTCCCAAAAGACCCCACCTCCTAATACTGCTATGTTGAGCGTTAGGATTTTAACATATGAATTTGATGGGGAACAAACATTCAAATCATAGCAGTGGGTGTTTGGGTGCATTATGTTGTATATGTCCATTAAATCAAGTTGGTTAATCCTGCTGTTCATGTAATACATATTTTAACTGATGCTTTTGTCTGTTTTTAATCCTCAACCAAATATCTTCTTATTTTACGCTTTGTATTTGTCCTTAAAGAGCTGTTTCTTTTTCTCTCCATTCTTATCTTCTTTCGAATTGATAGTATTTTGTCATTCTAGTTCTTCTGCTCTACTAATTTGGAAGTTAATACACTTTGATTATATTATTTTGTGGTGTCTAAAATTGGAGTGTAAGTATTTTATTTTGGATCCCACTAAGCACCAGTGAGGGAATGGGGAAGTGAGACAGGGAAAGCAAGCAATCTGATGCAGGGGGGATTAATGTGGAAAACTAGGGCTCAGCCACTTTAATTCCATCTTTCTTATTTTTAACCACACAAGGCATTATTTTTTATGTCTATTAGAATCACCCACATGTTGGCCTTCTCAGTTAATTCTTCATTCCTTCTTGCATTTCAGACCTTCCACTGGGGTTCACATTCCTTCTGTCTGAAATTCATCATTTAGAACTTCCTTTAGAGAGGACGTACTAGTGGCAAGCTTTTAGTTTTGCCCGCTACTTTCTCTATTTTGTCCCAATTCTTCAAAGACTTTTTCTGGTTGTAGAATTCTAAGTTGACAATTGCTTTGTTTTAGCACATTTACAATATCATTCTCTTGTCTTCTAGCAAGCTTCCTAGTCCTGCAAAGTCAGCTGTTAGTGTAACTATCACTTGTGTTTTTTCTCTAGATGTTTTTAACATCTTTTGTAGTCTTTGGTGTTGCAGTTTTTTATCAGTAAAATGTCTAGGAGGGAATTGCTTTTCAAATATTTTGCTTGTGATTCACTGGACTTCTAAACATAGTCCTTCCTAGACTGTTACAATGATTAAATGAGTTAATATGTGTAAAGCACATATAGAACAGTACTTGCACAAATAAGTGCTCAATAAATACTACCTATTTTGGATTCTGTGTATTGATGTCTGTGTCAGTTCTTAATACATTCCTTCATAGCTCCAACCCACCCTTCTGTACTCTGTGGTGTGAGAGCTAGTCTATGTCTCTTAGCTTTCTCTTTTATTTTTTCCATTTCCCTTTCTCCCTCTGCTACATTTTGCACAATTTCTTTTAGCCTATCCTCCAATTGCAAATTGGACAGATTTACAAATTGGATTTTGCACACACAACTTTCCTTTGCCAGTGTCTCTATGTTGGTTCCACCAGTGAGAGATTCTGGAGGGACATGCAAGGCTTGAGGAGGAGGAAGGGACTTACCATGTCCTGTTTTTTTGTTTGTTTGGTTTTTGTTTTGTTTTGTTTCTGAGGTCTGGTTGTGGGCTTATGATCCTGTGAGCAATCTTGGCGATGGTTGTCTGCATGCAGCTGTTGGCTCAATGCACGGCTCATCTCTGCGGTGGCATTCCTTGGGTTCCTCAGGTGTCCAGCATTCCCGCAGCAGCTGTGCTTTCTCATCAGAGCTTTTTGATGCTTGGTTCTGTGGACTCGTCCTCTAAGTTTCTAAGTTTCTCCTGGTTTCCTTGTTCTGTCAGCCCAGTGAGTTTCTGCATTTGCCACCTCTGTTACACTCCAGAGTCCACCTTTACTCTCTTAGCCATTAACCACTTTTTACTTAGTCAATTCTTTATACTAAATTTTATATTAATAATTTCTGACTCAAGTTTAAGGTGGGTTTCTGTCTCCTGACTGGATTCTGATACAGTATTTATCATCAGTTCTGGAAAATTCTCTGTCTTTATCTGTTTAAATATTATTCTAGTCCATTTGATCTCTCTTATCTCTCAGAAACTCCAGTCTGACATAGAGCAGATCTTTCTCCTCTATGCTCGATGTCTCTTAGCTTTCTCTTTCACTTTTTCTATTTCTCTTTTGCCCTCTGTTACATTTTGGATAATTTTTTTTTAGCATATCTTCCTATTTACAAATCTATTCAATTACATATAACATTCTGTCAAACTCCTCTACTGCTAATATATACAAGGTATTTTATATCTATATATCAGCATGTTTAGCTTTTTAGCATTTTAGGCTTTCAGGAAAAGGGTGTATCTTGAGAGTTAGCCAGACATATTACTGGAACCTGATATGTCAATATTTGGAATCTTTTCTTCCAGCAAACATAAGCAATGATGGTGTTCACACTTTTGGTTTGTATCGTATTTTCTAGCAATGGATTTGGTGTAGCACCTCTGGAGTCTAGAGTGAGGTATTTTCTAGGAGAATGCCCCACTACATTGATTTTTTGTGCATTAAGTATTGTAGCATTATTTTCTCATGAGGTCATAGCCTGGGACGATGAATCAAATTCTTTACCAGCAGACCGTGTGGGAAGAACAGCCACCAGTGAACCAAATACCCAGACAATATGGAAATAACATGTTTTTCTTTCTTCTTGCCTTCCTTCTCACCCTTTGTTTCTTCCCTTATATGTGCATTTATTTACTTATAACAAACATTTATTTAAGGGTGGGTAGAGGGTCATTACAAGGAAACAGATTCCTATCTATAATAAAAAATCTGATTCTGACTGTAAATCTTGGAAATTTCTGGAGAGGGTAGAAAAAAATTAATGATGGAGTGAGGGGAAATGGGTACAATATCAAGGCCACATATATGCTATATCACCACTATGTCTAAAATTCCCTGGTAAATTGACCCATGAGTGGGAATGAGGCACATTTCCCAAGGTAAGGATTCAATGTAAGGAAAGCTATCATTGAAATTCCTCAATACCTCAGATTGAATAGTAAAATACGTACTGTTAAGGCCATTTTACTCACCAAAACTGAGGCTTAAGAGTCTCAAAAGTTAGTTTTTCCAGTTGTCCATTTTACAAATTGCTAGTAGCAAACCAGGATAACAACTTACATCTTTGGACTTTCTGGATGTCTCCTGCTGTGCTCCATTACTAGGGCAGTCAGCAGAAGCAGGGAGTGTCTGTGCTCCAGCAGCAGTGCCTGGGGTCAGTCCACAAAGACACCCTGCTTCCATTCTACATCTCCTAGGTCTGTGAATTGACATTTGAAGATACAACAGTTGCAATAATCTGAGACAATTTGCCTGCCACATGCAACTTCTTGCAATGGGCAATCTTAATACCACACAGGTTTCCTTTACTCCCTTTCCCCACCCCAACACACTTGGTGAGCAGGATCAATGACTGATCTAAGTTCAAGGGCAGAGGCTACCATTTGGAATTGCCAGAATAGAGCTGTGTGCACTCCAACCAACAGTGTACAAGGGTCCCCTTTTCTCCATATCCTTGCCAGCATTTGTTATTGTCTGTCTTTTGGATAAAAGCCATTTTAACTGAGGTGAGATCATATCTCATAGTTTTGATTTGCATTTCTCAACTACGAGATATGATCTCACCTCAGTTAAAATGGCTTTTATCCAAAAGGCAGACAATAACAAATGCTGGCAAGGATATGGAGAAAAGGGGACCCTTGTACACTGTTGGAATGTAAATTAGTACAACCACTATGGAGAACGGTTTGGATGTTCCTCAAAAAATTAAAAATAGAGCTACCATATGACACAGCAATCCTATTGCCAGGTATATACCCAAAGGAAAGGAAATCAGTATATCCAAGAGCTATCAGCACTCCCATGTTTATTGTAGCACTGTTCACAATAGCCAAGATTTGGAAGTACTCTAAGTGTCCATTAGCAGATGAATGGATAAAGACAATGTGGTAATACACATAATGGAGTACTATTCAGTCATAAAGAAGAATTAGATCCTGTCATTTGCAATAACATGGATGGAACTGGAGGTCATAATGTTGAGTGAAATAAACCAGGCACAGAAAGACAAACTTTGCATGTTCTCACTTATTTATGGGAGCTAAAAACTAAAATAACTGAACTCACAGAGATAGAGAGTAGAAGGATGGTTACGAGAGGATGGGAAGGGTAGCGAGGTGGGTAGGGGGGATGTGGGGATCATTAATGGGTATAAAAAATAGTTAGAGGCCAGGCGCAGTGGCTCACGCCTGTAATCCCAGCACTTTGGGAGGCCGAGGTAGGCGGAACACCTGAGGAGTTCAAGACCAGCCTGGCCAATATGATGAAACCCCGTCTCTACTAAAAATACAAAAATTAGCTGGGCGTGATGGTGTGCACCTGTAGTCCCAGCTGCTTGGGAGGCTGAGGCAGGAGAATCGCTGGAACCCAAGAGGTGAAGGTTGCAGTGAGCTGAGATCGCGTCACTGCACTCCAGCCTGGGTGACAGAGTGAGACTCCACATCAAAAAAAAAAAAAAAAAGTTAGAAAGATTGAATAAGACCTAATATTTGCTAGCACAACAGGGTGAATATAGTAAAAAATAATTTATTTGTACCTTCAAAAATAACTAGACAAGTATAATTGGGTTGTTTGTAACACACAAAAAATAAGTACTTGAAGTGGTGGATACCCCATTTACCCTGATGTGATTATTTTGTATTGCAGGCCTCTATCAGAATATCTCATGTAACCCATAAATATATACACCTACTCTGTACCCACAAAAAGTTTTTAAAAAGAAAAATAAATAGCAACCGAAAAAAAAAGAGAGGGAGAAAAGAAAAAAGAAAAAAAAATCAAGTGCCTGGCTGGGTAGAATAAATTCTAAGGCCACAATGTTACTGACCATGGGTTTTTTGGCTCTCAGTGTATAGAAATTGACACAAGGCCAATAGTCTTCCCAAACATGCTTTACTGGAACTTACGCCCTGGCATAAGGGCCACAACAAAAGAGAGAGCGAATTCTCTGGCTTGCTGACTCCTTGGAAAAAACCGGTAGGGATTTTTTTATTAGGCAAAGCACAGGAATTGACGTCAGAGGCAGGATGTGCTGCTGGGCAAAGCATACGAGAAGTGGGGTATGCAGGTCAGCATTACTTGGTTGCAATGGTTATCTTGAGGAATGGGCCAACTGGTGGTCTGGCCAGTGGCAACAAGGCTGTAAATCAATTATTCAGCATTCCTTCCCAAGGTGGGACACCCGGCAACATTGTTTATCTCCTAAGGCCAGTTCCTGGAATTAAGTGAAAGGATGACTAATGGACATGTTGTCAGTGAGGTAGTGGTGTGGGTTTTGTGACCAGTGGGAATGCACGAAAGAATGCTTTAGCGGGGAGTGAGCTGAAGCCAAGCCCCATCCCTACTCTGTCTCAAAGTGAGTTCAGAAAAGGGGATTTAAAGAATTCTTTTTTTTTTTTTTTTTTTTTTTGAGACAGAGTCTTGCTCTGTCGCCCAGGCTGGAGTGCAGTGGCGCCATCTTGGCTCACTGCAAGCTCCGCCCCCCGGGTTCATGCCATTCTCCTGCCTCAGCCTCCCAAGTAGCTGGGACTGCAGGTGCCTACCACCAAGCCCAGCTAATTTTTTGTATTTTTTTTTTAGTAGAGACGGGGTTTCACCATGTTAGCCAGGATGGTCTCGATCTCCTGACCTCGTGATCTGCCCGCCTTAGCCTCCCAAAGTGCTGGGATTACAGGCATGAGCCTCCGCCCCCGGCCTTAAATAATTCTTAAAGGAAGTAAAGTTAACTTTGAAAGAACTATCAGGATTTGGATTGACTGAAAGGAGTGGGGAAGCTTAGGGAGGAGGTGCTTGCCAGACACTGGGTCATGGCAGTGGTCGGTGAAGCTGCAGTTGCCTAGGGCAGGGATGGAGAGAGAGTCTGGGCATGAGGAGAGGGTCTCGGGATGTTTGGCTGGACTAGATTTTACAGAAAGCCTTATCCAGGCTTTTAAAATTACTCTTTCCAGACTTCATCTGAGACTCCTTCTTCAGCCAACATTCCTTAGCCCTGAATACATTTCCTATCCTCATCTTTCCCTTCTTTTTTTTCCTTTCTTTTACATGTTTAAATTTAAACCATTCTTCGTGACCCCTTTTCTTGGGAGATTCATGGCAAGAACGAGAAGAATGATGGTGCTTGTTAGGGGATGTCCTGTCTCTCTGAACTTTGGGGTCCTATGCATTAAATAATTTTCCTGACGAGCTCAAGTGCTCCCTCTGGTCTACAATCCCTGGCGGCTGGCCTTCATCCCTTGGGCAAGCATTGCATACAGCTCATGGCCCTCCCTCTACCATACCCTCCACCCCCGTTCGCCTAAGCTCCCTTCTCCGGGAATTTCATCATTTCCTAGAACAGCCAGAACATTTGTGGTCTATTTCTCTGTTAGTGTTTAACCAACCATCTGTTCTAAAAGAAGGGCTGAACTGATGGAAGGAATGCTGTTAGCCTGAGACTCAGGAAGACAACTTCTGCAGGGTCACTCCCTGGCTTCTGGAGGAAAGAGAAGGAGGGCAGTGCTCCAGTGGTACAGAAGTGAGACATAATGGAATCAGGCTTCACCTCCAAGGACACCTATCTAAGCCATTTTAACCCTCGGGATTACCTAGAAAAATATTACAAGTTTGGTTCTAGGCACTCTGCAGAAAGCCAGATTCTTAAGCACCTTCTGAAAAATCTTTTCAAGATATTCTGCCTAGGTAAGTCTGTTGTCTGCATGTCTCCCCACTAATGTGAGTCATATAGATGGAGTCTCAGGGCACGACTGGGTTTTGTGTCTCTCGTTGTTGCTTCACAGCCCTTTTGGCATCACCCATTTATTTAACTAGGATAAAAACGAATATTGGTATAGCGATTCCACAGTTTACAAAGTGCTTTTGTATCCACTGTCTCACTTGATCAAGCAAAAGGAAACCAGAGGACCGGAGTGCTGTCCTGAGTCTACCTTGATTTGCTAGGCGACTTGAGGGAGACTTTTAGCCTCAAAGGGCCACTTAAGTGGAAATTCTAAAACAGTACCTATTCTGATCCTAACTCAAGGGAATGCTGTGAATATGCATGAGATAAAGACCTCCCAATATATGAAGAACTGGGTGATTTTTGGAGAAAGACATTATATACTCAATTTCTTTTTTAATTAACTTTCCTTGAAAGTATTGCTTAATAGTTTTTACATTCTCCATGTAACAGACTTTCTGGATCTGGTGTTCAGTCTGTACACCAGATGTAGATCTTTTTTACCTTCTCCTAGACCTTAAAATTCCTGGCAACATGCCTCCACCCTGGATTGGGGAATAAAAAATGAAAAGTTTTTTTTTTTTCTTTTTGACTTTAAATTTTATTAAAGTTTGAGGTTTTTCAAACTGATGTGCTTTATTTAAAATTCAAGTGAGACATTTTTAGTCTTTTTGATATTTATATTTTCTTTGTCACTATGATGTAAATTACAGGGATTTGGGGAAAATATGGGATTTTTTTTTTTTTTTTGGAGATATAGATCTCACTCTGTTGCCTAGGCTGGATGGAGTGCAGGGATGTGATCACAGCTCATCATAGTCTCGAACTCCTGGACTCAAGGGATCCTTCTGCCTCAGCCTCTCCAATAACTAGGTCTTCAGGCACACGCCACCATGCCTAGCTAATTTTAAAATTTTTTTGTAGAGATGAGGTCTCACTATGTTGTCCAGGCTGGTCTCATCCTCCAGGCCTCAAGTGATCCTCCTGCCTTGGCCTTCCAGAGTATTGGGACTGTAGGCATGAGCCACTGTGCCTGGCCCAGAAAAGATGTTTTAAAAAAACATTTTGAGGGAAAAGTTGTGAACAGTAGTGGTCTGTCTTTGAGGATCGCCAGCACAGTCCCAGGGAAGACAATGTAAATTTGACTCTGCCCACTGCCATGAGATGCCTGATCTCTCCTCTTTGTTCCTCCCACTAATCCAGACGGTGTGAAGGGAGACCTGCTGATTGACATCGGCTCTGGCCCCACTATCTATCAGCTCCTCTCTGCTTGTGAATCCTTTAAGGAGATCGTCGTCACTGACTACTCAGACCAGAACCTGCAGGAGCTGGAGAAGTGGCTGAAGAAAGAGCCAGAGGCCTTTGACTGGTCCCCAGTGGTGACCTATGTGTGTGATCTTGAAGGGAACAGGTAGAGAAACTGGTGTCTACTTCTTGGCTTTTGAAGGTACCTGAGTGATGGTTGGCAAAAGCAACAGACAGATAGGGACCAAAGAGAAATCCAAATGGAGAATGAGTGGTAACGAGAGAGCGAGAGCAAGAGAGATGAGATAGGCCCATGTGTGTGCATGTTAGTAAATTTGTGTATGTGCACGTGCATGTGTGCACCAGAGTAATGGAAGACACAGGGAGAGGGTTGAAGAAATGGATACTGAGCAAAGAGGAGTAAACCCCCAAATTTTCCAGGCCTTTGGGGACAAGAGCAGTGTGCAGTCAAGTACCTTGGGACCTAGGTTTAGGACAGCTGCAAGTAAAAGGCTAACCCAGCTTCTCACCAGCAGCTTTTGGATGTCAGTGCTTGTCCCTTGCCTCACTGCCATGCTGCTGTAGCCATCCAAGCCTATAGAACTTGGCTGTGAGTGTGGCTAATGCTGACATCACCAGATACAACCAAAATCTGACTAGGTTTTTAAACTGAGGTAAGAAACATAAAGGAATTACTTGAAAAGAATTTATTAATCACCATCCATGAAAGTAGACTTTGTATACTTACAACTAATGGTCAAGATCTTACACTACCACATCTACATGTAAATTTATGCAAATGAATCTCATTTGTTCATGTAAATTTTAATTTCTTCCAACACGAGAAATTGGCAATAGCCTATTAGCCAGAGGTAGCCACGCCTGCAATTCACTGTCTTTCTCATATCCTTATGCACTTCCATCTTCTGCTGATTGTCTGACAATATCCAGTCTGTTCCCCAACTGACCATTCACTCCTGGAGCAACATTTCTCTGCTGCTATGCATATTGCTGAGACCCCACAGACTTCTTTGCAAGCTGCATAAAAAGATGAATGTTTGCAATTATAGTATCTGCAAATAAAAATAGGTTTTGTTCTTCTATTCCAACTTTATGCTTTTTATTTATTTTTCTGCCCTTATTATGTTGGCAAAAACTTTCAATACAATATTGAATAGAAATGATGACAGCAGACCTCTGTGCCTTATTCCATATTCTAGGATAAAAAATGTTCAATGATTTATCATTAAGTATATTAACTATTGGTTTTTCATAGATATTATTTATCAGACTAAGTTCTGCATTCCTAGCTTTTTTGAAATTTTAATCAAATGTTGAATTTTGTCAAAATTTGTTTGCATTTATTAAGATGGTCTTATGATTTTCCTCCTGTATTCTGAAAATGTGAATTACATTGGAAAATTTTGAATGTTACACCAAAGTGGCATAAACTACTTGGTCATGAAGTATAATTGAGCTATAATTTTCTTCTAGTGTGCTTCACAAATTTTGATATCAGCATGATGCTGGCTGGAGTCATAAAATGAGTTGGGAGTGATATCCCCTCTTCTATTTTCTGAAAGAGTTTGAGTATTATTAGTATAATTTCCTTCTTAAATGATTGATAGCATTTACCAGCGAAGCCAGGTGAATCTGAAATTTTTGTGCGAGAGAAGACTTTATTAAAAACAGTATTTCTTTAATGGTTACTTGGATTTTCCGTTTGTTCTTTTGTCTGTTTTGGTAAGTGGTACTTTTCAAGAAGTTTGTCCTTTTTATCTTGGTTGTCAACTTTATTGGCATTTTTTTTTTTTTACAATATCCTTTTAATACCTTATTATGTCTGTAGGATCTGTAGTGATCTCTCCTCTTTCATTCTTGATATTGGTAATTTGTCTTGTTTTCTTTCTGTTGTCTTGATCAACCTTGCTACAGATTGATCATTTTATTAATCTTTTCCAAAAACCAACTTTTGGCTATGTTGATTTTTCTCTATTGTCTGTCCATTTTCTATTTCATTGCTTTCTGCTCTTATTTTTGATCACTTTCTTTCTTCTAGTTATTTTAATTTTAATTCTTTTCTAGTTTACTTTATTTTTTTCTAGCTTTCTAAAATGTCTTGTTTTTAATTCTTCTTTTAGCTTCTTAAGTTGGAAACTTATATCATTTATTTCACATATCTCTTTTTCTAATGTAGGCATTTAATGCTGCAAATTTCCTTTAGCACTGTTTTAACTGCATCCCATGATTCTTGTATGTGGTATTTTTATTATTTTCAAATTCAGCATATTGTCTCATTTCCTTTGTAATTTCTTTTTTGACCATGAATTATTTAGAATTATGTTGCTTAATTTCCAAAGTATTGGGATTTTTCTAGCTATCTTATTGTTATTGCTTTCAAATTAAATTTTGTTGTAGTCAGAGATTTATTTTGTGGCTCTGCATATGGTCTATCTCAGTAAACGTTCTATGTGCTTTCTACATTGAAAAGAGTGTATATTGTTCAGTTGTAGATATAGTTTCTATAAATATCAATTAAGTCAGGCAGGTTGATAGTATCATTCAAATTTTCTACATCCTTACTGACGTTTTGTTTACTTTCTCTGTCAATTACTGAGAGTGTTAATGTCTCAAACTATGATTGTTGATTTATCCTTTGCTCCCTATAGTTCTGTCAACATTTGCTATATGCATTTTGACACTTGTTTTTAGCTCTGTTATATACATTTTTAGGATTGTTATGTCTTCTTGATGAACTGACCACTTTACCATTGTGAAATATCTCCCTTTATTTCCAGCAATGTATTTGTCTTGAAGTCTACTTTTTCTGATGTTAATATAGCTACATCACCCTTCCTATGCTTGCTGTTTTGCATGGTGTGGTGGGCAGCCTCTAAGATGGCCCCCAATAATCCTTGTGTCAGTATTTTCACCTTTGTGTAATCCCCTTCCCTAGAATATCCACTGGATTTAGTGATTCAGTACTGACAAGTTTGGTAGAATGCAGCATAGTGATGGGATATCAATTGTGATATTAAATTAAAAGGACTACAGCACCACTACACACCTATTAGATCTAGGCCAGAATCTGGAAGACTGACAACACCAAATGCTGATGAGGCTGTGGGGAAAGAGGAACTCTTATTTATTGTTCGTGGGAATTAAAAATGGTGTAGCCATTTTGGAAGACAATTCGACTATTCCTTGCAAAACTATTCAATCTAGCAGTTGCACTCCTTGGTATGTAACCCAGAAAGCTGCATGTATTACACTCCTCAGTATGTAACCCAAAAAGCTGTGGTATGTCTACACAAAAAGCTGCACACAGATGTTTATAGTAGCTATATTCATAATTGCCAAAAATTGGAAGCAACCAAGATGTCTTTCAGTAAGCGAATGAATAAATAAACTGTGGTACATTTAGACAATGGAATAATATCCAGTGCTAAAAAGAAATGAGCTATCAAGCCACGAAAAGACATGGAGGAAATGTAAATACAATTACTAATTGAAAGAAGCCAATCTTAAAAGGCTACATGTATGATTCCAACTATATGACATTCTGGAAAATGCAAAACTAGGGAAGAAGTAAAGAAGATAAGTGGTTGCTAGGGGTCGGGGAGGGAGAGATAAATAGGTGGAGTATAGAGGATTTTTTAGAGCAGTGAGACTACTCTGTACAGTACTATAATGGTGGACACATGTCATTATATATTTGTCCAAATCCATGGAATGTACAATACCAAGAGTGAATCTTAACGTAGATTACAGACTTTGGGTGATAATGGTATGCCAATGTAGGCCTTCTGCTTGATTTTGCGGTGAACCTAATATTGCTGTAAAAAACAAAATCAATTTTTAAAAAATGACAGCTTTTTATTGGGTATTCTGTCTCTATCTCACTCTCTTGTCCTGGGGAGTGAGCTTGGAACCAAATTTCCCCCAGTTGAACCAGAAAAAACAGAGAAATAAGTGTTTGTCATTTTTAGCTGCTAAATTTTGGGGATAATTTATCCTGCAGTTACATATAACTAATATACATGATATATCTACATATCTTTTTCTACCCTTCTGTTTTCAGATTATGTTTTCTCTTTTTAATCCAGACTGACAATTTCTGCCTCTAACTGGATTGTTTAGTCCATTTACATTTAATGTAATTACTAATATTACAGGGTTGAATTTAAATCTACCATCTTGGTATATGATTTCTATCTGTCCCATCTGATTGTTGTTCACCTGTGTCTTTCTTCCTGTTTTCCCTTGGTGAATGCAGTAATTTTTAGTATTCCATTTAGTATAAGTGTACATATTTTTAGTATTTATTTTTTATCTCCCCTGTTAACCTCTTCTGTGTCTTGTGTGAGTTTGTGTGGTTTTTCTAGGAATTGCAATATGCATCCTTGACATATCTATTGTCTCATGAAGGATGTAAGATATTCCAAAAGTGTAATTTCCTTAACCGACTTTCCTGGCCCTTATGTTCTTGTCATGTATTTTATTTCTATGTATAACACTATAATACATATATTGTTATTAGTTTTGCTTTAGTTAGTAGTGATTTTATTTATTTTTATTGTCTTATTTTTAATTTTGATTTTTAAAATAAAATTTACCATCTTTACTATGTTTAAGTGTTAGTTGAATAGTGTTAAGTATAGTCACATAAGTCAGTATACAGTTTTAAACAATGTATATAACAATATATATTAAACATAGGAATTTTGGACTGAATGTTTTTATCCCTCCCTCCCAATTTCTGTGTTGAAATCCTAACCCCCTTATGATGGTATTAAGAGGTCGGGGCTTTGAAAGGTCATTAGGTCATGGAGGTGGAGACTTCATGAATGGGATTAGTGCCCTTATAAAAGGAACCCCATAGAGCTCTCTAGCTCTCCTTCTGCCATATAAAGGTACAATGAGAAGTCAGCTGTCTGTGGCCCAGAAGAGTCCTCATCAGACCCTGACCAGGCTGGCATCCTAATCTCAGACTTCCAGCCTTTAGAATTGTAGGAAATAAATTTCTGTTGTTTATGAGCCACCCAGTCTATGGTATTCTGTTACAGGAGCCCAAACTAACTAAGGCTATATTATGCATATATTTAAGATCTTTTATATTTACCCACATATCTTTCTTCTCTAGTGTTTTTCATTCCTTTCCCAAGATCTGTTCTTCTGTTTGGCATCATTTTCCTTCACCTGAAGAACTTATTTTAGTATTAGTTATAATGCAGTTCTGCTGGAGACAAATTCTCTTAACTTATCAAGTCGGGTAAAAAGTTAGTAATTGTTTTCCTCCCTGCTAACTTGAGGAATTTAACAATTTTTGATAACCAAAGTCCCCTGGCATCTCTCTTACCAGTATTTATTATTGAAATCTGAGATTTTAAAGTTCAAATATTGTAATTTAAAGTATTATTTTTATATTTTCTTTCAAGATCAGTTTGGACATTTGCTTTTGGTTTGTAATCAAATTTAGAATTATTTGGACATATTTGGTGCTCATTTTATACAATTTTTCTAGATATTGAGTCTTTAATTTTGGTTCATCTGTCAACTGAATAGATCTTCAAATATTTATTTCAAGAGGAACATACAGTGACGTGTTTTCTAAGTCCATGCATATATGAGAATGTATTTTGTCACTCTTACACATGAACAAAATCATAAAATTGTTTAAATATTGCCCCACTTTTTTTCTGACATGTAGTAAGAAGTTGAGAGAGGCTATTCTATTTTTTTTAGACAGGGTCTTGCTCTGTCACCCACACTGGGGTGCAGTGGTGAGATCTCACTGTAGCCTTGACCTCCTGGGCTCAGGTGATTTCCCACCTTAGCCTCCTGAGTAGCTGGGACTACAGGTCCACACTGCCATAGCTGGCTAATTTTTTGTAGAGATGGGAGTTTTGCTCTGTTGCCCAGGCCGGTGAGAGCCTATTTTCATATGCATTTTAACCTGTATACCCCTGACTTAGAATTTTATATTGGCTATAGCCTTCAAAGTGGGGCTATATTCTTCAATATAAAAATAATTTCATACACCTTTTTTTTCTGTTGACTATGTGATTCTACAGAATGAAATTGATATTAACTAGAAACAATTGCAGCTATGACAATTTGGACAATATCTAAAGTTATTTAGTAAATAAGGAAATTCCCAGGGTTTGTAGAATCTCAGGGAAACTTTGTAATAAGTAAATAAATCTTCAGTCACTGTTAGACAACACACCTTGCCAAAGTCCAAATCATCTGTCAAGAAGGCCTTTGAAACTTTGTTCTCACTTTCTGTATCCACCACCGGCCTTTCCATCTCATTCAAAAATAAACCCTTACAATCTAGCAGGATAGTAAAAGCATTACTTATCTCACACCTGAAATGTCAGCTTGGAACAACTAGCTCTTGAGACACTGTCCCCTCCCAATCACTCTGTTGGACATTGCATTTTTGGCAGTAAATTTCTGCATTCTTATCCTTATCCTTGTGCTAGATCCTGTGGCTTTAATTATTTTAAGAATGATAATGATCCTATGCAACTCATGTCTTTCCTGCATCTTCAAGTAGCTTTATCAACCTACAACCTATTTCCTTCAAGATGATTTCTTCTTTATCTGAAGTTTTTTCTTGTGCTAAAGGCTGCCAAAGACGTATGTACTGTCTCCTGTTCTTCTACCTCTGCATTTAAATACCACTCATTTTAAATTAGCTGGCCATAGTGGTGCACACCCGTATTCCCAGCTACTGGGGAGGCTGAGGAGAGAGGATCACTTGAGCTTGGGAGATCGAGGCTGCAGTGAGCTGTGGTCACATTCCAGACTGGCTGGCAGAGTGACACTCTGTCTCAAAAATAATAAAAAATAATAATAAAAATAAATAACCCTCATTTTTACAACTATCCAAAAAAGTTTTAAGAAAGTCAAACACTAAGATACAATTACTCAAGCTTATACAATGAACAGAGGAAAATGAGCTCTTTCCTTAAGAAATTGTAGAAGCTGCATTACTTAACCTATGGTTCCTGGAACTTGGAATGCATAGCTTAGGCTTGTGGTCCCTGGACTAGTAGTTTGACAACACGTGGGAGCTTTTAGAAATGCAGGCTGTCAGGCCCCACTAGCTACCTACAGAATCAGAACCTTCACTGTAAGATCTGCTAAGGGTGGTATGCACATTACAGTAGAAGAAGCACTGGTGTCTGGAGCAGGGCTTCCCTCTAGGTGTGCCAGGGCACACACACAGGTGGGTGGGAATCAGTTGCAGGCATGCTGTCCAAGCTGTTTTCCTTGGCCCTCTTGACAGCAGGTGGGGCATGGACCACCTCCTGGTTGCCTCTGTAGAGAGTGGCTCCTCCTTTTTTTTTTTTAATTTTTTATTATACTTTAAGTTCTAGGGTACATGTGCACAACGTGCAGGTTTGTTACTTATGTATACATGTGCCATGTTGGTGTGCTGCACCCATTAACTCGTCATTTACATTAGGTATATCTCCTAATGCTATCCATGCCCCCTCCCCCCACCCCACGACAGGCCCCGGTGTGTGATGTTCCCCACCCTGTATCCAAGTGTTCTCATTGTTCAATTCCCACCTATGAGTGAGAACGTGTGGTGTTTGGTTTTCTGTCCTTGAGATAGTTTGCTCAGAATGATGGTTTCCAGCTTCATCCATGTCCCTACAAAGGACATGAACTCATCATTTTTTATGGCTGCATAGTATTCCATGGTGTATATGTGCCACATTTTCTTAATCCAGTCTATCATTGTTGGACATTTGGGTTGGTTCCAAGTCTTTGCTATTGTGAATAGTGCCACAATAAACATATGTGTGCATGTGTCTTTATAGCAGCATGATTTATAATCCTTTGGGTATATACCCAGTAATGGGATGGCTGGGTCAAATGGTATTTCTAGTTCTAGATCCCTGAGGAATCACCACACTGACTTCCACAATGGTTGAACTAGTTTACAGTCCCACCAACAATGTAAAAGTGTTCCTATTTCTCCACATCCTCTCCAGCACCTGTTGTTTCCTGACTTTTTAATGATCACCATTCTAAGTGGTGTGAGATGGTGTCTCATTGTGGTTTTGATTTGCATTTCTCTGATGACCAGTGATGATGAGCATTTTTTCATGTGTCTGTTGGCTGCATAAATGTCTTCTTTTGAGAAGTGTCTGTTCATATCCTTTGCCCACTTTTTGATGGGGTTGTTTGATTTTTTCTTGTAAATTTGTTTAAGTTCTTTGTAGATTCTGGATATTAGCCCTTTGTCAGATGGGTAGATTGTAAAATTTCTCTCCCATTCTGTAGGTTGCCTGTTCACTCTGATGCTAGTTTCTTTTGCTGGCAGAAGCTCTTTAATTTAATTAGATCTCATTTGTTAATTTTGGCTTTTGTTGCTATTGCTTTTGGTGTTTTAGACATGAAGTCCTTGCCCATGCCTATGGCCTGAATGGTATTCCCTAGGTTTTCTTCTAGGGTTTTTATGGTTTTAGATCTAACATTTAAGTCTTTAATCCATCTTGAATTAATTTTTGCATAAGGTGTAAGGAAGGGATCCAGTTTCAACTTTCTACATATGGCTAGCCAGTTTTCCCAGCACCATTTATTAAATAGGGAATCCTTTCCCTATTTCTTGTTTTTGTCAGGTTTGTCAAAGATGAGATGGTTGTAGATGTGTGGTATTATTTCTGAGGGCTCTGTTCTGTTCCATTGTTCTACATTTCTGTTTTGGTACCAGTACCATGCTGTTTTGGTTACTGTAGCCTTGTAGTACAGTTTGAAGTCAGGTAGTGTGCTCCTCTTAACCTCAGCATACCTGACAGAAGAAAGCTTAGGCCCCTGTCGAGGTGGCAGTTCTCTGAGGTAAATGCTCTCTGTGCAAAGACCTCCATTTCTATTTAAAAAGATGTTTGTATGTTGTCCAAAAATAGACACAGTTGTGCCAAATGTGTTCCACAAACTAGTGAACCACTTCTATTCCAAAGCATCTCTGGACTTTCACAGCTTGCAAAAGGATATTGATAAGCTTTTTCAAAACCAGGATCTTGATGATCATGATGATTGTTTCAGTGATACCTAGGAAACATTCCCGCCTTTTACAAGGATGCCTCTCTCTTAAATAGGTGCTCTTGCCACCTTATCTCCCCAGGAAAATTCACAGGGCAGGTTAAGAAACCTTCAACTAGCTATTTCCTCAATTGTAAACATTTCTACTCACAGGTCTCAGAGCACTTCAAACTCAGTGTGTCCAAAACAGAGCTACCATCTGCTCCAGATCTGCTTTATTTCTGGTATTCTTAGCTCCTTGAATGGCACCATCATATAATAAATTGGACAAGCCAGAACCTGGAAGTCAATTTGTCCTTTCCCTCTCTGTCATGTTCCATATCTAACTTAACATCAAGCTCTGTCCATTTTACTTCCTGACTTCCTCTGTAACCCATTTCTTCCCGTGTTTACCATCACCTGGTCTCAGCTACCCCTGTCTCCCTCCTGACTGGCCTCCCACTTCCACTCTTGCCCCTCCACTCAATTCTTCTCTGTTCTGCAGCCCAAGTGACCCTCTCAAAATGTAAATCTGATCATGTCACTCTCCTCCTTAGTGCTCCCTAGTGACTCTCCAGAGCTTTTGGAATGAAAAGCAAAATTCCTGTCATGGTCCACAAAGCCCTGCCTAGTCTGGCTCTGCCAACCTATTTCCCCACAATCCAGCCACGTTGGCTCTCTCCTCCTGTGTTTCCTGCCACCACGTGGCCTTTGCACTTGCGGTTTCCTCTTACTGGAATTTCCTCCCGCCCTCCCTGCTTGCTTCAGTCTGGTTAACTCCTACGTATTTATCCTCTATATCTCTGCTTGCCCGACTCCTTTTTGGAGGAGCTTTTCCTGATCCTCTAGGTCAAGGGGAGCTCCCAACATCTCCCCATTAGTGCCATGCTCCTTTCCTTCCTTGCATTTGTCAGTTTTAATTTCCACTCCTATGAGTGATCACTGGGTTAATGCTTTCTCCCGCCACCCACCCGTCTACAATCTCCATGAGGTTAGAATCTGTTTCTCATTTGTTCATCCTTGTGTCCCCAGTGCCCAGCCTATTTCCTGAACATAGTAGAGGTTCAAAACATATTTGGAAAATACATGAATACTCACATTTTGCTTTTCAGACTTTTCCTCCTAGAATATCATTCACCTGATTCGGGTGTGGGGTGTGGTCTCTGTCAAAGATGCACTAATGATTGTTCCTTGCCCGTACAATTCTCACAGTGACCTCCACGCTTACTTAGCCTTGATTTCCTTGACCTGTTTTGATGGTTCTTTCTCAGGAGAGCCTGCAGGAACTTCTGAGGATGGGGCTTTGGGGATGTGAGGACAATGAAAAACAGCTTGTCAGGGAGATTCTGATGCACTGCCAGCCTTGCTGAGACAGGGCAGGAGGAACCGCCTCTAAATCTCAGGATAGTTCACCTGGAATGTGGGAAGACATTCTCAGAAAGGGTTCTTCCCGGGGCCCTCCTCTTCATCCTTTCTTGCCTCCCTCCCTTCCTCCCCATACCCCTCAGGCTTTTATAGATGCATATTTACAGAGGACAGGGCTACCTTTTTTTGCATATTGATTCTTTTGAAAGGGCAGACCTTTAGAACTAAAGAAATGACCACACCGCTGTTAGCTTTCTGCAAAACAGCATAGCACTTTCCCGGTGTGTGTTTATTACCTACCCCATGAGCTAAACATGAGGCAAAGTAGTAATTGGCTGGGTCTCTGGTGAGTCCATTTCCCTGCGTTGCCCCGAGGTGTATGCAGGCTTTACACAGCTACCTTGGCAACTGACTTCCCCAATGTTTGCTGTGTGTCCAAGGACAAGCAGGGATCTATGACACTGGGTGTTTCTAGCAAATTTCCCTCTCAAATTGGCACATTCTCTGTGAGCTTTGGAGACTTCACAGTGTGGCTCACAGTTTGGGAACAATTTGCATCATCATCTGACTGGTAAGTTCTAGTTCTGTGGTAACTCAAGTGTTTCAAATAGCTTAATACGCAATAGGGCACGGAGGTTCGTTCTGCTTCTGTTGGAATCAAACACACATTTCCACAATGTTCCCGTTATACAGGATCATCCCGAAACACATCCCCCAGAACACTATGTTGTCACTACTCTACCTTTTGATATACACTTTATTATTATTCCTATGTGCAGATAGGTTACTTAAGTTTTTCTGTTCTAGATTAGTTTGTCTATTCAAATACATGTTTCTCACACACTTCTACAGTGTTTTTCTTTTTGTTGTTATTCTTAAAGTGTTCTATGAAAACTTCCATGTTGTATCAAGGCTGGGTGGTAGCTTTGTAACTAGTTTCCCACCTTAGAATGACTGTCTGCTTTGTCCAGGACTGCAAGGGGGACTTAGAATATGGGATTTTTCAGTGCTAAAACTAGAAAAGTCTGAGACAAATCAGGACAAAGTGGTCACCCTGCTACCATTTCTAGCCTTGATAAAGGAGCAGGTAGACCCAACCAAGGATAATTTTTGTTTTCTATGTAGATACCAGTTTAGTGGTTGGTAGGAATTCCCCCAAATCAACACCTTGCTAAGCTCATCTCTCTCTCTCTCTCTCTTTTAATATGACAGCTTATTGAGATAAAACTCACATACCATACAATTAATGCACCCATTTAAATTGCGAAATTCAGTAGTTTTTAGTATACTTTCAGAGTTGTGCAACCTTCATCACAATCAATTTTACAACATTTTCATAATTCTCAAAAGAAATCCTGTACCCATTAGCAGCCACTCCCATTTCTCTCCAAATCCCTCAGCTCCTGGCAACCACTGGTCTGCTTTCAGTCTCTGTAGCTTTGCCTTTTCTGGACATTTCATATAAATGGAATCATACAATATGTGGCCTTTTGGTTCTGGCTTTTTTCATTTAGCCTGTGTCTAGAAGGTCCATCCATGTTGTAGCATGTGTCAGAATTTCATTTCTTTTTGTTGCCAAATAATATTCCATTATATGTATATATCACATTTTATTTACCTATTCAGAAGTTGACGGTTGCATTGTTTGCACCTTTTAGCTGTTTATAAACATTCATTACAAGTTTTTGTATGGATATATGTTTTCATTTCTCTTGGGTATATACCTAGACAGATTTCCTGGGTCATGTGGTAACTCTATATTTAACCTTTTAAGGAACTGCCAGACTGTTTTCCAAAGTAACTGGACTATTTTACATTGTCAGCAGCAGTGTATGTAGGTTCCAGTTTCTGCAAATCCTTGCCAACACTTGGTATTATCTGTCTTTTTTATTATAGCCGTCATAGTGATGTGAAGTGGTATCTCATGGTTTTGATTTGCATTTCTCTGATGACTGACAATGTTGAGCATCTTTTCATCTGCTAATTGCTAAGCTCCTTAAATGGAAAATTATAGGAAGCATAAAGCATGTTTGCAAAGAAGTGATTATATTCGCTAGGATTAAGATTTTAAGTGAATATTTAAGATGCCCATGACTAGTGTCCACTCTCTCGAATCAAGTTTTATTTAAACCATTGACTTTTCCTCATAACTGGAAATGGTCCCAGTGAAAGTCTCCCTCACTTGCTGGAATGTGGGGCCATCTCTGCTGTCTGTCAAGCCTTGATGCCCAAGTGGCCATTTTCTCCTGGAGTCTGCATCAGATGGTAGAGTGTGTGTTTCCTGAGTGTGAGACTGGATCTGCTCCACAATGCTTTGCTGGTTAACTCCTTCCAAGAGTGCAATACCCAGGGGTCACTCCTACTCTTAGTGCTCTGGGGCCTGGGCCCTTAACACACTCAATGTTTCTTCCCCTTTTCTCACTTATCTGATCTTCTGCTACTTCTTTCTCCTTTGTCCGCCCCTGCTCTCTGGTTTCTCTTGTACACTCTGTTTATTTAATTTTGATCATTTGTTTGTTTGTTCCTTTCTTCCTCCTTTAACAAATTCAAATAGGATACAAGCCACTCTGTCCCATCTCCTGCCCTTGCCTTCTCTTCTTTCATTCTTTTATTAACTGATTTTTCTCTTGAGAAATCACCACTGGGTCAGGTGTGGTGGTGGCTCATGCCTGCAATTCCAGCAGTTTGAGAGGCTGAGGCAGGAGGATCACTTGAGGCCAGAAGTTCGAGACCAGCCTGGGCAACATAGGGAGACCCTGTCTCTATAAAACATAAAAAAATTAGCCTGGTATGGTGGTGCAAGCCTGTAATCCCAGTGCTTTGGGAGGCTGAGGTGGGGAGGATCCCTTGAGCCCAGGAGTTTGAGGCTGCAGTGAGCTGTGATGGCGCCACTGCGCTCCATCCTGTGCAACAGAACAGGACCCTGTCTCTAGAAACAAAACAAAACAAAAAACCCAAAACATGCCATTGATTTGGCAGAAAAGGACAGGGTTCCTGGCAAGGCTACCAAAAACATGATCTCTGTCAGAAAACATACTATCTGCAATATTTGTTGGAATCTGAGAATGGGAAATGTAGCTTTCTTCTCTCCAGGAGTGCCCTGTTCACAGCTGTGGGATAATGATCAATAGTTCCTAAAAATATCTATGGAAGACCTCACCACTCTTATTGATCAGCAACTACTGCAAAGATAATGTTTCAGCATTTGAAACCCCTTATTATTAATACTTATTCTGTATGGGTCAAGTAGCCGCTAACTTACAGTTTGGCAGATGGATCAAGTATAATAATAATAACCTATAAATACTAATAAATGAGCCAGTATAGTATAAGTGAGTACTATACTAAGCAGTGAAGGAAGAATAATTTCATGGAGGGAAGTCCACGGTAGAAGCAGGCTGCTAGGTATTATTATCGTTTTCACATACTATTCACTTTATGAAGAGATTTAACATAGCTCAGGGTAATATGGTCTCATTCAAATGCCAAAATGACCCCTCAGTTCTTCTTTCTCTCCTTTCCCGATAGAGGTGGCCCTAAGGACACACATCTGGGACAATACGGCCATTTTTAGCCTTGACCCAAGAGATCTGGGTTCCCCATGACTGGAGTGGAAAACAATGTCTGTGGGTTTGTGTTTTTCAGAGTCAAGGGTCCAGAGAAGGAGGAGAAGTTGAGACAGGCGGTCAAGCAGGTGCTGAAGTGTGATGTGACTCAGAGCCAGCCACTGGGGGCCGTCCCCTTACCCCCGGCTGACTGCGTGCTCAGCACACTGTGTCTGGATGCCGCCTGCCCAGACCTCCCCACCTACTGCAGGGCGCTCAGGAACCTCGGCAGCCTACTGAAGCCAGGGGGCTTCCTGGTGATCATGGATGCGCTCAAGAGCAGCTACTACATGATTGGTGAGCAGAAGTTCTCCAGCCTCCCCCTGGGCCGGGAGGCAGTAGAGGCTGCTGTGAAAGAGGCTGGCTACACAATCGAATGGTTTGAGGTGATCTCGCAAAGTTATTCTTCCACCATGGCCAACAACGAAGGACTTTTCTCCCTGGTGGCGAGGAAGCTGAGCAGACCCCTGTGATGCCTGTGACCTCAATTAAAGCAATTCCTTTGACCTGTCCAGTTGACTTTAGTCCTTGTTTCTAACTGCCAAGTCATGTGCTGAGTAGAGGCTCAGTGGTTGGGGCCCAATGGTTCATCTAGGACGGGACTAGAGAGGTCAGTCTACAAGCAATCCATTGACCACTTACTTGGTGCTGCACACAAATGTTGGTGCTATGGGACCCAAAGATGAGCAATTAGTATTCCAGTCTTCATTGCCTGTGCTTACAAAAGAAGACCTCACTTCCCTAAACATCTAGTTATGGCGGCTCAAGCCCGTACCTGCCTACAGAGAAGTGTCTGCAGTTACTCACTATTAGTTTCCTAAGGGGGCACTGCTGGCTCCTTCTCTCCCAGGAATGGGCTTCTCCTATTCTTTAACTCTTGCCTTCTCCCTGGAGAGGCTACCAAACCCTGGCCTCTGCCGCTGTTCAGGCTGCCATGTGGGTATAGCTGTTTGCTAGACTCCACTCTGGCCTCAGGGGCCAGAGAACAGCTGTCCAGCATTTCTGTTCATCCCAGCAATCCAAAAAAAAATTTTTTTAAGCTACAAAGATCACTCCATTTTCAAATTCAGACTCTGCCACTTATTAGCTGTTTCTCATTAGGCAAGTTATATAACCTTGCAGTGCCTCACTTTCCTCATCTATAAAATGAGATTAAAATAGTCTTTTTATTAAGAGAATTAAAGTGAATTGTGGCCAGGCACTGTGGCTCATGCCTGTAATCCCAGCGCTTTGGGAGGCTGAGGCAGACAGATTGCTTGAGCTCAGAAGTTCGAGACTGGCCTGGGGAACATGCAAAAACCCTGTCTGTATTAAAAATACAAAAAAATTAGCTAGGTGTGGCGGCATATGCCTGTGGTCCCAGCTACTCAGGAGGCTGAAGTGGGAGGATGGCTTGAGCCCGGGAGGCGGAGGTTGCAATGAACTGAGATCGCACCACTGTGTTCCAGACAGAGTGCGATGCTGTCTCGAAAAAAGTAAAATAATAAATAAATAATAAATAAAATAAAATAAAGTGAATTGTTACATGTAAAGGACCTAGAATATTGCATGGTGCTTGATAAACATTCAGTAAATGTTAGTTACAATCATTATTATTATACGCATCATCGTTAATATTAGTTGCCAAAGCAGCTGAGAAAAGATGGCTTATTCTCCAATCAGGAGAGAGGATTCCTGTTCTCGGCTACAGGCACTGGACTCTTTACTGGCATTGCCTTTGAGAGAGGCTGTGATACAACTCAGTTTCTATACCACATGCTGCCAATTCCTTTTTGATTTAAGAAATCTCTAGCAAACATTTAGCACTCTCCAAGCATCTTTCTTTCATGCACCAGGCACAAGAATGAAAATGAAATCCCAGTGTCAGCTGACTCAACAGCCCTCATCTTCATAGTCCCAGAAACACCCTAAGTGCTCCCAGGTCCTTCCAAGGGCAGTAGTGTACCTGCACCAGCAGTCCCTACCCAGAATCTCCCTGTTGAGGCTCTCCTGCTCAGGCTGTGATGCTGGGGCCCCTGAGCCCAGCCTGAGGATGCTGGAAAGGGACCAATATGCCCTCTTTTGAGAAGGATACTGCCCATGCCTAACACTCTGCTTTAGATGCCTCAGAGCCATCCTGGTTTCCTCCCAGAGTGGTAAGAAACACTTTTCATTTATTCCAGGGATTGGTAAACTTTTCCTGTCAAGGCCCAGATAGCAAATATTTCTGGCTTTGTGGGTTATACAGTCTTAATTGCAGCTACTCAACTCTGCAGTTGTAGCAGAAGCAGCTATAGACAGTATGTAACAAATGTGCGTGTTTGTGTTCCAATAAAACTTTATTTATAAAAACAGATGGATGGATAGATTAGGCCCAAGGGTTGTAGTTTGTAGACCCCTGATCTAGACCCTTAAGTAGCCTTGTTTGTGCCTGAAGTTTACAGATGATCCCCAACTTATTTTTATTTTATTTTTTTGAGATGGAGTCTCTCTCTGGAGCCCAGGTTGGAGTACAGTGGCAAGATCTTGGCTCACTGCAACCTCCACATTCCGGGTTCAAGTAATTCTCCCGCCTCAGCTTCCTGAGTAGCTGGGATTACAGGCGTGTGCCACCATGCCCAGCTAATTTTTGTATTTTGTATGTTAGCCATGTTGGCAAGGCTGGCCTCAACCTCCTGACCTCAAGTGATCTGCCCACCTCAGCCTCCCAAAGTGCTGGGATTACAGGAGTGAGCCACCATGCCCGAACCCCAACTTATGTTTGACTTACAATGTTTGGACTTTATGATGGTGCAAATGTTATATGCATTCAGTAGAAACTGTACTTCAAATTTTGAATTTTGATCTTTTATTTTTATTGTTACAAAATTGGCTTTGTGTTTGATGATGTTGCCCAGTTTTTGGCTAATGAAAGAGTTCTGAGCATATTTAAGGTAGGCTAGGCTAAACTATGATGTTTGATACATTAGGTGCATTAAATTTATTTTGGACTTATGATATTCTCAACTTATGATGGGTTATTGGGCTGTTACCTCATCATCTGCCGAGGACCATCTGTATACATTTTCTTGTGAACAGTCTGGTCAGTTTCTTCTTATAGGAGCTCAAGGCAAGTCCAAGGGGCTGGACAAAAAATAGGCAGAATATGGTTTCTTCTGTGCTCCATCCCTGCTGTAGCACTCTCTTTCTTGCTCAATCTCCCAATCAAAACTCCTCCTTCCAAATGGCATGAACCCAGGAGGCAGAGCTTGCAGTGAGCCGAGATCGCACCACAACACTCCAGCCTGGGCTTGGGTGACAAAGCGAGACTCCATCTCAAAAAAAAAACAAAACAAAAAAAAAGAAACTCCTCCTTCCTCCCCTAGTTTGAAGCATTCAATAAATACAAACAGAAAATCAGAAAACAAGGGTGGTGGGGGATGGCAGATGAAGTGTTACCTACACTAATATTTCTCAAACTGCAAGTTGCCATTCATCAATGTATCATAAAATCAATTTGGTGCACCAAATCCACATTTTAAAAATGAATAGAGAATAAACTAGAAAACAGAATCTCAGATATTAGCACTGCATGTGGTATATTATTTTGGGAAATTTCGTTTCCATTTTACAGACATCTGTCTATCTGCACACATGTGCATATTTGTTACTGGATCATGATATAACATGCATTTGTTACTCTAGTTTGTGATTTTTAAAACGTTTGAAAGCCACTGGGCTGTTCTTTGGGCTCTGGGACTCTGCTCTGATAACCAACATTTTTCTTTCCCACGGAGATGAAAGACATAGCCCCTGTTCTTAAAGAACTGCAAGTCATGGGGAGAAATCGACATGCAAACAGTTAAGACACAGCAAGACAAGGGCTCTGAGATGTGTAAGCACAGGGTGCTAAGGGGGAGGATGGGAAGAAAGGTGGCATTTGCTCTGGGCCTTGCAGACTGAATAGGGGTGTGTTTGGCAACCGAGAGGAAAAGGGCAGTCTAGGGAACAACGTGTACGAAGACATGAAATGACTCCTCCTCCTGGTAGCAGCCTCCTCACAGGTCTGTTCTCCGACGGAAGCCGGGACCTAAGTAAATATTTGGCTTCTGGTTTTTCATTTGCTTTCCTTGAAATCAAACAGACCGACCAAGTCATGAGCAAACAAGGACTAGGGTCATTCTGGTCCTAACTTGTAAATCTCTTTGACCGCTGACCCAGCTCCGGTTTTTTAAGGTCCTACTTTCTGGGGAAATGTTCAACAGTCTCACTTTAAGCAAACCTTTGTGATGCAGGAAGCTGCAAGTCTCTCTGTAACATCCTGGGGAGAGAGTGGGGAGAAGAAAGCTATTAAAAAGGTCGTTAACCCATTTGGTGTCATGCAGCTCAGTCTTCGTGATTCCCATCATCTGGCTGTCAAAAGTAATAAAAGATGTCCATGGTACAACTTACTAGGCTGAGCTTTAAAAGCTATAACTGCCCCCTCTAATTTTAGTCTCAGCCAACTCGGAGAATACGAGGCAACCAATAAATCTTATGGAGGCTCAGAGAACATGGAACAAACATAGGACTAAGGGACAGAAAACATGTGTGAATCTTAGCTTGATCACTTGATTGTTGTAAGAGCATCATTCCAGCTTTCTCAGGCTTGGGACCCTTCTGGAAAACAGGGATAATCATCATTTCTCAGGACTGCACTGAGATCAAGTGAGGTACCTGTGAAGGCATTTTGTAACCTGTTAAGTGACAAATATTAGATAACTCTGATAGTATTAACCCATTCTAGGACAGCCATTAAGCCACATGTTGCTGCATTCATGAACAGTTCCTTAGTAAGAAAATAAATCATTCTACCAAAAAGACATATGCACCCACATGTTCATCACAGCACTACTCACAGTAGCAAGAGATGGAATCCAGTAGGCACCTATCAATGGTGGATCGGATAAAGGAAATGTGGTACATTTATACCATGGAATACTATATGGCCATAAAAAATGAAATCATGTCCTTTGCACCAACATGGATGCAGCTGGAGGTCATTCTCCTCAGTGCAGTAGCCAGAAACAGAAAGCCAAATACCACATGTTCTCATGTATAAGTAGAAGCTAAACATGGGGTCAACATGGACACAAAGATGGGAACAATAGACAGTGGGGACTACAAAAGGGGGGACGAGGGAGAGGGGCAAAGGTTGAAAAACTACCTATTGTACTGTGATCACTACCCGGGTGATGGGTTCAATCACACCCCAAACCTCAGCATCACACGATATATCCATTTAAAAAGCCTGCACATATATCCCCTGAATCTAAAATTAAAATTGAAAGAAAAAAAAATCTTAACACTGAAAAAACTTTCTTAATGAACTGAGTATGGCCTTCAAAACCTGTCTTGCATATGCTTTCTATGCAAGTCAGCACCATAGGCACCTTGAATCCAGAGCCTTCTTCATAGTTGCTTATTCATTCAGAAGATGTTTCTTGCATCCCTGTTATGTGCTAGGCATTGGGCCTGAGATGAGGATCCTACAGTGAAGATGACGCAGTCTCTGGCCTCGTGGGACTTATTTTCCTGCAAGGAAGACCAGAAAGAAATGCACTCTGACACAGCCTGAGCAGAAATGCTAGATTTTTTTTTTGGTACTCAAGTCAGCTAGGCAGGACCTTTTGCCCACCCAAATGAGACAAACCAGGCCCTTCTTACAGCTGTACCTTCTCATGTATAGATCAGCTTCACTCAAAAAAAAATGTTGAGCTAGGATTATGTGTTTAAGGAACATTATCACAAAGAAAAACACCATTGTGAGTAAAGTCACTGAAGCTTTCTGTTTCATATCTTCCAATGAAAGCAGGGATTTAAACTTTCTGAGTCTAGCCCTCTCGTCTCCCTTGCTGGCCAGTTTCACACTGAAAGGAGATGCTTTCCTTGGCCTTTCAAACGCTTTCCTTGGCCCTCTGAGCGCCAGCAGAGGGTGCACGTGGCTCTTGTTGAAGCCCTTCATTCCTGAATTTGACCATTTACACATGAAGGAATTTAAATTGAGTTAAACCTTCCCAAACAAGACGCTTCTCTGCAGTGTCTCCTTTTTCACAGTCTACTTATGAGGCTGCTAGGAAAAGAGAAAGAGGAATTCAGCATATTTTTCTTTAACAAAAAATATGGATAATTATTTTTATGGATACACACATTTAAAAATTTCCCTTTTAGGTCTATACACAAAATGCAAATTTTAATAAACTGTAAAGAGGATCTTGGCCAGAATAGCATGAGAAATGATAACTATTAGATTATGCAGTTAACTCACCATCACCTTCTATTTGCTGTTTATTCAAAGAAGAGAAAGAAGGTTTTTGTGCTTTTTCAAACCCTAGTTTTTTAATATTTAGAAAATGAAGAAGTCTTTCTATGGCTGTGGTTGCCGGCCAAACCTCTATGCTTATCACTTTAATTTGTACTTTAATAGTGTCTGATGAATTCAGGGGAAGGGTTGAGGTTGAATTTCAAACTCTCAACAACTAATTGTGAGTTATTATTGCCTTTGTTTGGACTTCAATATTGAAAGCCAGGAAGTAGTTTCTTTCCTGGTAGGTTATTGTCTCTCTTCCTTTCAGAGAAAAGCTTTTGAATGTTTAAACAGAAGAGGAGTTAAAGAATTGTAAACACCAGTTAGGCTGCTCTTCAGAAAGATCTGTAATAGCGACCAGGTGCAGTGGCTCACCCGTGTAATCCCAGCACTTTGGGAGGCCGTGGTGGGTGGATCATTTGAGGTCAGGTGTTGGAGACCAGCCTGACCAACATGGTGAAACCCTGTCTCTACTAAAAATACAAAAAAATTAGCTGGGCGTGGTGGTGCATGCCTGTTATCCCAGCTACTTGGGAGGCTGAGGCAGGAAAACTGCTTGAACCCAGGAGATGGAGGTTGCAGCGAGCCAAGATCACACCACTGTACTCCAGCCTGGGAGACAGAGCAAGACTCTGTCTCAAAAGGAAAAAAAAAAAAAGCATCAGTAATAACAACTCACTTTGAAGCCTTCCACCTAAGCGACTGGTATTTTTCTTAAGAGCAGGTATGTAAACACTTCATTTGCATGAGGAGGAGAAAGAGGTTTCTAGAAAGGGGAGGGTAAGCAGTTAGTTTATTGCTCCTTTACCTCTCAAGGGTCCATTTCTGGCCCCTTCTCACTGCTGTCTAATATTTGTTAAATGCTATAGAAATCCCAGTCGTTGGTCAGGCACAGTGGCTCAGCACTTTGGGAAGCCATGGCAGGAGGATCACTTGAATCCAGGAGTTCGAGACCAGCCTGGGCAACAGAGCAAGAACCCGTCTCTACAAAAATATTTAAAAAAAAAAAAAAAGAAAGAAACCTCATTTGTTTAATATGACCTTTGCCCTTGCAGAATTTATAATCTTGCTTGTGAGTTAACATTTACAAAATTACCAATCAAATCCTTTTATTTTAGAGGTGAAGATATGGAGACTCTAAGGGGGCAAGGAGCTTTGCCTTTCTGTGCCTTAGTCTACTGTAAATTGAAAAGTTGAATTACATATCTGTGAAGTCCAGTGTTTTATGATTTATGAATTAGAGAACAATGCTTGTTAAAATAGAGTTCTAACTAAAGGACCACTTGGGTTAATCCCATCCTTTAAGATTCAAGTGAAATTGGCTCAAACCCCGTCCTTCATACAGCCCATAATTTCCTCTCGTCTTGCAGGGAACTGTCGGGGGCAGTGATTTGTATTTCTCCTGGTGACCCCTGGAGTGGACCTTCCACTCGGTCTGTGTTCCAGTGTGTGAATCACTCACTCCTAGCATGGGCTGATTCTTCTCTGCAGCACATGACCCCTAACCAGACCCATCCTGATCCCTTCATTTGCTAAAATTCCCCTGGCCCTCAAATATATAAGTAGCAGCCTTTGCTAAAGCCTCAAGACAACAGAAGGGGTTCATGCTTAGGACCCTATCAACTTAAAATACTTGGCATCCTTGCTGTTAATCTCATGGGGAATTTCTCAGTGACTCAACTTCTTCAGTTGACCCTGGCCATGTTGCTCTGGCATCTGTCCTCCCTTCTCTGGTCCCCAGCCCACTCCTCTTGGGCTGTTTGCCTCCCCTCCTGAATTCCTGTACTGATCTCTTATTTCACTTGCTTCTTCAAGTCGAGACCACACCCCTGGGGCTTCACTTCCTTGAAGCCTTCAAGGTGTTTTCTTTGAAAGGAACTTAAGTGCCCGTATTTAAAATTAGAAATTTCTCCCCCTTTACCTAATCAAGGGCTCGGGCTCTGAGCTTGCTAGCCTCCAAGGCAAAGAGGAGAAGTATCGGTTACAAGCTTCACTGTTCATCAGTGCAAAACAATGCTGTTCAATGCAAGCACGACTTTCCCCTGAAAACTCACTCACAGTTCATGATGATAGGGGCATAGTGTGTGTATCACTCTCTCCTACCTGCCTCTACTGTGCTGTACCTGGCTTCGCTCAGTTACTGATTGTAACTTCATGTTTCCCAAGTCTGAATCCTTTAGAAGAGCATTATGAAATCCTGTATGCAAAAAGCATTTATTGAGTGCCAGAAATGAGTCCGACTGTTATATAGAGAGGAACCCAAGACAGATGTGGTCCCTGACTTCCTGGAGCCCACAGTTAAGATGGGCCCAGATAAGCTCTAATATGGAATGCCACGTAGATGCAAAAACACAGGAGAGTCGAGTCTAGTCATGAAAGGTTGGCAAAGGTGTCCTGGAGGAGGCGGTGTCTAAAATGAATAAGATTTATCTGAGAAAAAGGGAAGAAAGCAAGTTCTAGACAGAGAGAAGAGCATGTACGGGAATGCCCAGCGGTGAGAGGGATGGTACACAGGATTGGTGACCCTCATAGATGCTGCGGTGCTACACCTGGGCCCCCTTCTCCAGGTCAGCACACCCAGCCCCCAGCTGCTCCAAGTGGAGTGTTGCTGCTCACAGCTCACAGCTCACAGCTGCTCCTTCTCAGGAGAACTGCTCTTAGCTAATCAGAGCCACCTCCTCAATAAATGTACTCAATACATGTTTTTTTGCATGCAGGATTTCACAGTGCTCTTCTAAAGGATTTAAACTTGAAAAACATCAAGTAACAGTCAGTAATTGAGCAAAGCCAAGTACAGCAGAGTAGAGGCAGGTAGGTGAGAGTGATAGACACAGTAAGTTACAGGCACCGTCCCCTCCCTCACCCATAGCCATGACTGACTGATAGGGGGATTCAAAAGCCTTGTCCCCCTCCTGCACTGGGGGACATTCATCAATGCAGTTTCTGTTTCTGCACCTCTTCCCTTGTGGATCGGGCCAAGATTGGACTTTTCCTGAGACCACATCCCTGATTGGCTCCTTCTCCCTCTCTAACCAGTTCTCCCTAAAGAGCACTCCCTCAATGAATTACATGTTCCCAAATCCCTATCTTGGACTCTGGAGCAGCTGTGAGCTGTGAGCTGTGAGTAGCAACACTCCACTTGGAACCCTGGCTGAGACAATGACAAAGGAAAAAAGTTGAGATTGAAGTTTGGACCCATGCACTAGGTCCAAATTTGAGCCCCAACCATGAACAGGTTAAGGCTTTACTAACTTAAATTACGACCATTTTCAGTGAAAATTCTTACGTGATGCATCCATTTAAATTGGATTATTAGGAATACAGTAAATTAAACTTAACTCTGACTTACTCCAGCCTCCTAAATTGTAAATAAGGACTCCAAGGCCCAATAAATCATGACATTCAGGTAAAACCTCAGTCTCTTTACAAAGAGGGAATAGTAATCCATGTTCTCTCTGCTTTATCAGTGTACAGCTAGCATAAAACGTTCCCCAAGAGACGACTGGGCACGGTGCCACATGCCTGTAGTCCCAGAAGTTTGGGAGGCTGAAGCAGGAGGATCGCTTGAGCCCAAGAGTTTGAAACCAGCCCAGGCTGTTAACAGGGTGCGACCCCATCTCTAAGAAAAAGAGAGAGAGAGAGGATCTAATGTTCTTTGACCTTCTGGGATATGAGGACAGAAATGCCCTGAATCACAACTTCCAAAATTCCAAATTCTGGAAATGCAAACTCCTCATACCAAGTAAAAATAGTCCACTCTCTGGTGCTGATTCACTCTCTTATGAGTCTGACTTGCATAAGTGAGTAACCAGACCAGCCACAGATGTAATAAAAAGTCATGTTTCTTAACCTACAAGACCAGACGCTGAAATAAGACACTGATGTTTTCTGAGACTTAACCTGCACTAGTCAAATGTTTTCATCCCTCTCTTTAATTTCCTAGAGATCAGGGTAAATGACCTCCCATAGCGGGGCATGATGGGAGCTGGAACTTGAAGGGTGACTAGAAATAACTCCAGTAAGACCCACTGGGAGGCAAAGAAGCAGAACGCCTCCCCACAAATGCAAGGTGCTTTTTAGTTCCTTGCTCCCAGGCAGTAAGTATAATCCATGAATTAAAGATAATTAGTGTCCTTTTAGAAAATGCAACTGTAATTGTAGACATTTAAGTGTACTTTGTGCATTTGAGAAGAATTGATTGTTTCACAGTTCAAAAAAGACCCTGCTGGCTGGAGGGCAAACTCAGCACCCTTAGCAACTTTATAATCATTAGAAGAGTGGGGCTCGAGGAAACCTGGATCTCAGGGAACAGTACAGTCCCCATAGTGGAGAATGGAACATTTAACCTTTAACATAATGGAAAACCCCACTAATTCCTAGGCTAGGGGAGCTAAATTCCCAATTCTCCCGAGGTGAACTTGTTTGTTTCCCTCTGTTTGGGCTCAGAGGCACCTACTAAGTGTCAGGCACTAAGTACTAGGGAGAGAAACAGTAAATTGGACACACGTGGTTCCTGCCCTTTCCAAGTTTATGGTCGATTGCCAAGTGCTAGGGACTGTTTGTGTCCCTCCAAATTCATATATATTCATAAATTCATAACCCTATTACCTCCCAAAGTCTCCCCTTCTAGTCCCCAGTGTGATGGTATTAGGGGGTGGGGACTTTGGGAGGTAACTGGGTTATGAAGGTGGGGCCCACATAAATGCGATTAGTGCTCTTACAGAAGGAGACACAGGAGCTTGCTCTTGTGCTCAGCTCTGTGCCATGTGAGGACATATGGGGAAGAGGGTCATCTGCAAACCAGGAAGAGGACTTTCGACAGGCACCAGATCTGCTGGGACCTTGATCTCAGACTTCCCAGGCTCCAGAACTCTAAGAAATAACTCTGTGGTTTAAACCACACAGTCTATGGTGTTATATTAGAGCAGCTGGAACTGACTACCACAGCAAAGATGGACAATAAAATCAAGCAAAACAATTCAGTATGAAAAGGGTCATATAGAAACACATGTAGGTATGATTTCCTGGAGAAAGCGAGTTTCAAGCTGAGAACTAGAGGATGAAGAATTAGCAAGGTGCATGTTGCAGGTAAGGGTTGGGAGAGGGGGATCTATATTCCAGACAAAATGCAACAAAGACTTGGGGACAAGAGAGAGCATGGCTCATTTGAAGACACGAAGGAAGTTCCATGTGGCTGGTCTACAGAGGCTAGTGAGGAGATGACTGGCTACAGGTGGACTAAAGAGAGAAACAAAAGCTGAGTGAGAAAGACTGAAGCTGTTTGTACTTAATTCCAAGCACAATGAAAGGCCCTTGAAGGTGGTTAAGGAGAGATGTAACAAATTCTGGCCTTGAGAAACAGAGACCTCTATTGTCCTTCAATAGTTTCAGGGAGGGAACACATAGCTTCTTTGGGTTGCTTATTCTAACGGTTAACTGAAAGAAAATGTTTTTTAAAAAACATTTTTTTAAACTTTTATTTTAGGTTCAGTGGTATATGTGCAGGTTTGTTATTTAGGTAAACCCATGTCATAGGGATTTGTTGTACAGATTATTTCATCACCTTAGTAATAAGCCTGGTACCCAATAGTTATTTTTTCTGATGTGCAGGTTTATTATTTAGGTAAACTCATGTCACAAGGATTTGTTGTGCAGATTATTTTGTTACCCAAGTACTAAGCCTAGTACTAAATAGTTATTTTTTTCTGGCCAGGTACGGTGGCTTATGCCTGTAATCCCAGCACTTTGGGAGGCTGAGGCAGGTGGGTCACTTGAGGTCAAGAGTTTGAGACCAGCCTGACCAACATGGTGAAACCCTGTCTCTAGTAAAAATACAAAAATTAGTTCTGTGTGGTGGCGCATGCCTGTAATTCCAGCTAATTGGGAGGCTGAGGCAGGAGAATCTCTTGAACCCGGGAGGCGGAGGTTGCAGTGAGCTGAAATCGCTCCATTGCACTCAGCCTGGGTGACAAGAGCAAAACTTGGTCTCTAAAGAAAAAAAAAGTTATTTTTTCTGATCCTCTCCCTCCTCCCACCCTCCACCTTCAAGTAGGCCCCAGTGTGTGTTGTTCCTCTCATTGTGTCCATGTGTTCTCATCATTTAACTCCCACTTATAAGTGAGAACTTGCGGTATTTGGTTTTCTGTTCTTGTGTTAGCTTGTTAAGGATAATGTTCTCCAGCTCCTTCCATGTTCGTGCAAGGGATATGATCTTATTCTTTTTTATGACTGCATAGTATTCCATGGTATATATGTACCATGTTTTCTTTATCCAATTTGTCATTGATGGGCATTTAGGTTGGTTCCCTGTCTTTGCTATTGTGAATACTGCTGCAATGAACATTCTCATGCATGTCTTTATGGTAGAATGATTTATATTCCTTTGGGTATATACCTAGTAATGGAATTTCTGGGTCAAGCAGTATTTCTGTTTTTAGCTCTTTGAGGAATTGTCACACTGCCTTCTACAATGGCTGAACTAATTTACACTCCCACCAACAGTGCATAAGCATCCCGTTTTCTTTGCAACCTCGCCAGCATCTGTTATTTTTTGACTTTTTAGTAATAGCTATTCTGACTGGTGTGAGATGGTATCTCATTGTGGTTTCGACTTGCATTTCTTTAATGATTGATAACATTGAGCTTTTTTTTTTCATATGCTTGTTGACTGCATGTCTGTCTTCTTTTGAAAAGTGTCTGTTCGTGTCCTGAAAGAAAATGTTTAACATGGACACAGAAAGGGGAGCAACACACACCAGGGCCTGTTGGGGGGTGGGAGGGTGTGGGGAGGGAACTTAGAGGATGGGTCAATAGGTGCAGCAAACCACCATGGCACACGTATATATACCTATGTAACAAACCTCCACGTTCTGCGCATGTATGCTCATTTTTTTTTTAGAAGAAATAAAGAAAAAAAAGAAAATGTTTAGTTTTACCTAAGCCTTTTGCTTCCTGGCCACATTTGCTCATTCCATACTCCTGCCTGTAAGCCTTTGGTGACTCTCCGTGGCACATGGGATCAAGTTCAGACCCCTTAGCATGGCATCCAGGGCCTGTCTCAATGGCCCCACCTACTTCTGCCCCTCACTCTCAGCCCTCATTCATACATGCCTGACACTTAGAATGTGTTCAGTAAATACTTGTTAAATGAAAGAACCATGGGCTGTCTTTGGGCATCTATCTCAGTGGTTGACAAATGTGCCCCCCAGGCCTTCGGGCTTTGCACATGTCACCCCCGTCCTGGATCCACCAGGAAGGTAAACGGTCAAAACCATTGTATGGGAGGAAGGATTTTCTGTTTACAGATGAAACAAGTAAGGTGTGTACTTAGCCTTGGCAAATGAATTTTTCTACTTGGACCTAACTGCCTGAGGCAGTGGCAGAGGCACTGCAGGGCCTTGGTGGAGGCTCCCCAGCAGCAGAGGGACAAGGCTGGCACCCGGAGGGGACCCAGCCCTAGCCTTGGGGTCCTTTGCCAAGTCAATTCAGAAGTCCCTCTGCTGAGAAGTCCCTGCCTCTGGCAGAGCTGATAGACCCTCGTGTGGGTTCTTTCCATGTATAATTGTTTCTTGTTATTGTGGTCATTACATTCTATAAAATAATCACAATACTGAATTAGTAAATATGGATCCGCTGCTCCTAGGAAAATTGCAGGGTCAGTTTCCTGCCAGCTTCTGGTTACATTTTCATCAACTGACCAATGCATAACTTTGTTTTCTGTTTTAAAAACACCTTATTTACTATATATTGTTATTCATTGATTTTGAACTCTTGGCCAACAGCATTATGACTTACCCTGCATGACGCTTGTCTAACACGCATATTTTCCCTCTAAGGCACATCACAGCCATCTTGTGCTTAGGAACAGAAGACAGCACTTCACTATGCTTTGGGGTCATTTTAAACAGTGAAACAACCAATCAAAAGCACAAAAATTAAAAACAAACAAACAAAAAAACATGGCACCAAACAGACCATGAAAGGGACATTTGTTTATAGTATGAGAACTGAAACAGAAAGACAGAGCATTGCCTTGTTCGACCTCAGCTGAGAATATGCGTGCTGGGCAACTCAGATGTTTCACCACTCCACATGCCCATAGGTGACCACAACCGTGATGCAAGTGTCGATTTGGAGGTTACAAATTTTAGTAAGCAGGCAGATCAGCAAATCCAGAGTCCATGAATAATGAAAATTGACTGTATTTCTATTATAACATTTATTACCCTGAATGACAGTTGGTAATTTATGTCTTCTTCCACCAGAGTCTGGTGACTACAGTGTGGGGTCCTTGAGGAGTTGGCATACAACAAGAAATAATGCCAACAGCAGATGAACATGGAGATCTTACCATGCAGTTTTCCACATGCAATTTTCTCATTCAGTGCTCACAAGAATTCTCTGAATTATGTGCTGTTATTATTACTCCTGCTTTATGGATGGAGAAACCAAGGCTTAGCAGTGATATCATGAAACTTGCCTATAGTAACATAGCTAGTAGTGGTAGCAAGATTTTCACATAGCCTAGAAGTCCACATGCTTAATTGCTGTGTTATTCTGCCTGTGGATTTAAGCCCTTTTGGAGAAATGTTTAGAAAAAAAAACCACAAGACCTCAGCATAATGGACCAATCAACCACTGAGAGTGACAATTGGCCCAACTGGTGAGAGAGGAAGGAGGAGTGGCTTCTAGGAGGAGGCAGAGTTGATGGCAAGACCTCTTATGCATATCCCCTAGAGGACTGAATTTCCTCATTAGTTTGAAAAGGCGAATGGTCAAAGCGATTGTGAGGAAGGAGGGATTTTCTGTTTGTGGGTAAAACAAGGAAGGTTGGTACTTGGGCTTGGCAAGTGAATTGTCCAAATTGGACCTACGTGCAGGGCATGGCAGAGGCACTGCAGAGCCTTGGCAGAGGCTCCCCAGCAGTAGAGTGACAAGGCTGGGACCCAGGGAGGACCCAGACTTGGCTTTGGGGTGTGAGAGCCTTTCAGGTAGCAGCCTGGTATCTGGTGATGTCAGGAAGAGTACCATTGTGCCTCAACCACCCAGGATCTAGAAGGTCCTGTGTAGCATGAGAGAATTCTCTATAGGGAATACACCTCAATCATCATTCCTCACATTCTTTGAGGTCAATGTTGGGTACTTGGAAAAGGCCAAAGCTCTAGCCATTGAGTTTTCTACCATTATCCTGCTGACAGTGTGCCCGGGCTGCTCAACCTGGAGGAAATGGCTGTGTGCTCAGGGAATGAATGTGCATAAAAAGAAATATCACCTTAGGTACAAGGACATCCATAATTCCTCCGACCAGAGAGCTCCTTCCCGCTCCTAGGGAACTGAGAATCAAAGCCCTCTTTGTGGCCTAGATATTTTGATTCTGAACAAAACTGCACTTGGTTCTCAAAAAACACTGTCGCCATTCACATCTTGAGCTGCTTACAATCCTCACCTGAGTCCTTCAAATGGTCACAGGAGATTAGGGGAGCCAGCTTAGAATGTCTGTGGCTGGAAGGAGACTCTAGAATGTCTCCAGTGAGAGCCATTTCCATACTTCAGAGCAACTTGTCAGATCTTTCCAGAAACAGAAAGGCCAACATCTCTGGAGAAGGTACGACTGCTGCCTATATACAAATTCTCTTTCTGCCAGAGGGAATGCTTGCCATTTGTCTCAATCCCCCCATGCAAGATGAATAAAGAACCAGCTCTGCACACTTTTCCCTCCTGGCCTACCTGCCTGGCATTGCTCCGATTATTTCATCTGAAAAACCAACCTCCTTCCCCACCCTCAGAACTTCTAAAGTAACTTACCCTCCCCAAGGGCCATTCCTCCACTCCCTCCATGTTCCAAGGATGCAGCTAAGGAGAATTACAGTCTTAGTACAGCCCAGCACGGCTGGTAACATTTTCACCATTTAACAAATTCTCCCTTGACCACGATTTATATCATGCAGGTGTCATCTAATTTCTCCAAGGCCTTGTGGCCATTTGTACAACAAGAATGGATCTGATCAAAATGATGAAGTGGCTGAAATTTGTCTCCATTAACCCCACACCACCCAGTGCTCTTCCTTCTTTAGGTACTGACTGCTTGTGAGCGGCTGCAGGCTGCTCATTCTCCTTCCTCACGCAGCAATAGGCTTCTTTTCCAATCATGGAGACTGTGTGCCTGGGACTTTCACTATTAGGAAACAGTGTATGAATATGTAACCCAAGTAAAACTAGGCTCTCTTGTGGCCAATATTACTTTCAAATGAAATAAAAATCTGAATCCAAAAGCATTGAAAGGTAACACTGGTTTTTTCTGAGGTGTCATGAGGCAGTAATGTGTCATGTTGTACAACTCAGAGAAAGATTTCCTAAGCATTCACTTTTTAGGCCAGATGCAGTGGCTCACACCTGTAATTCCAGCACTTTGGGAGGCCAGGGTGGGAGGATTGCTTGAGCCCAGGAGTTCAAGACCAGCTGGAGCAACATACCAAGACTTTATCTCTAAAAATAAATTCACTTTTAAAATCTCTCTGCAGTCCCATTCCTCACAACAGAAGATTTTTTTTTCTGTCTTTAAAACTTTTCTTCCCCAAGTACCTGACTGTCTCTGACTCCTCATGGCCCAGCCACCCTACACCTAACCCCTTTTCCTGCCTCTTAGATATTCTTCCCACCATAGCCCTATACTCTGTCCCATTTTTTGGCTCATTTCTCTCCATTTTTCTTTTTCAGTTTTGCATTTTATGCATTTTTCTACTTGTCTCAATAAAAGCCTGGTCATAGAGCAATAGCAAGAGAAGTTCTGAGCTGGTAAGGAAGGCAGGATGTCATGAATAAGAGAAATGAATCACAGCAATGGTGCTACCTGGCTAAGATGCTTCTTCTCTTGTGTGTGTACTTAGGAGAGGTATGCAAAATGCTTTGTCCAAGTCAAAATCCAGGGATCCTTAGAGCTGTGCTGGTATTTCTGATAGGTGAGTGGGACAGAGATTTGTTTTTAGAAAAACCTTTTTCAGGAATGAATTAATGGCATTTGCAGCAACCTGGATGGGATTGGAGGCTATTATTCTAAGTCAAGTAACTCAGGAATGGAAAACCAAACATCACATGTTCTCACTCATAAGTGGGAGCTAAGCTATGAGGATGCAAAGACATTAAAATGATACAGTGGACTTAAGGGACTCAGGGCAAAAGGGTGGGAAGGGGGTGAGGGATAAAAGACCTGAAACTGGGTTCAGTGTATACTGCTTGGGTGATGCGTGCACCAAATTCTCACAAATCACCCCTAAAGAACTTATTCATGTAACCAAATACCACTTGTTCCCCCCAAAAACTATGGAAATAGAAAATTTAGAAACAAAAACAAAAATAAAAATATTTTCCTGTGGACAGACACAGTGACTCACGCCTGTAATCCCAGCACTTTGAGAGGCCAAGGCAGGTGGATCACTTGAGGTCAGGAGTTCAAAACCAGCCTCGCCAACATGGTGAAACCCTGTCTCTACTAAAAATACAAAAATTAGCTGGGCCTAGTGGTACATGCCTGTAATTCTAGCCACTTGGGGGGCTGAGGCAGGAGAATCGCTTATACCTGTGGGGCAGAGGTTGCAGTGAGCTGAGATTGCACCATTGCACTCCAGTCTGGGCAACAGAGCAAGACTCCATCCCCTCGCCAAAAAAAAAAAAAAAAAAAAAAAAAATCCTATGCTTAAAATCATCCAGTTAGCATGTTGCTTCTAAGGTTTCAAGCTATTTTTCAAATTTGTCAGTTCAGAATTTGTCCCTTGCCTACTATTCTAGTATTACCTCCAGTTACTTGCTCACGTGTTTCCTTCACTCCTTCACTCTAACCCTAATTGATTATCTTTTTGACTGTATTATGTCATTTTATGTCATAATGCCCTCAATCTCTCCTTTCTCTATATTATGCTCTCCATACTAATTGCCAGTGACTTTCTGATTTCCCACTAGATTATAAACTCTAAGTTTCTAAGAAGACACATGATGCATAGTGAGTTCTTAAAAATATATTTTGTATGAATGAATGAATGAATGGTTATAAAAAATTACAATGTATTTCTAAATTTTGGTCAATTTGTTTGTTAGAATAATTTTGGTGAAATTTTACTACTTCAAGTAAACCAGATTACTGAATGACTTCAAAAAAAAATCTAGGGATTTATGTCTTTTTTTATTTCTGGAAGTTTCTCAGTCCCTTATCCCTTATAGTATTTTCTCTCCCCATTTTAACTATCCTCTCTATCAGGAGCAACAATTATACATATGTTGGAGCTTCTCAGTTGATCTTCTATAACTTCATTTTCATTTTTCTATGTAGTTATCTTGTTTTACATCATTCAAAGTTTATTTCTTGCCTATGCCACAGTTTGACGTAGACTGGGGGCTCTTTGGAAACATTTCCTCTCATGGCTCAGAGATTTAACTTCCTTTCACCTTGTGATGCTACCATCATCAACCTGTGGTCTTCATGACCTCCAAAGAAGGAGATGATCACCCAGGATGTTTTGTGGCCAGAACTAAAAGCTATATGCATTACTTTCATCCATATTCCAATCACATGACCCCAATCTCATTACAAGGACATCCAGAAAATATGATTTTCTTATGTGCCCAAGAAGAGAAAATTGAATTGGTATTTACTCAGCTTCCATCAAATTTATTTAGTTTTCTTTTCCAATATGCTGATTTTCTTTTACCTTATCTTGCCTATTTAATTATATATACTAAGTTTTTTACTCAATTTTGTAATTTCAATAATTTTTAGTTCAGTTTTTATATATGCCTTCATTAATGACTTATTGTCAGTTTATTGTAAGAATGCTATTCTACCCAGATATATGAACTAAACATTATTAGAAATAAATGGAGAGACAGACCCCTCATGCCAAAAAAGAATGCTATTTCTTTATCTCTTTGAGGATTGTAAACAAACTTGTGTTAAACACCTTGGTACGTTCTCCATTATTTCTATTTCCTTAGGTGTGATTTATTCTATTTATTGGATTTGCCAATCAGCTCTCATTATTATGTATGTCATTATGTGCTTTGTAATTTTTGTATGAAAACTGATCATGAATAGGAATTTTTTTCATGTTTTCCCCTTCCTGTTGCATGGTTTCATTGTTACCTCAGTCTGGTTGTCTGAGATGTACAGTTTTGAACCAGATCTTCAAATAAGGATTTAGGCATTTTGCTCTATTATATAGCACCATTTTTGGATATAATACTTATGCACAGCAAAGGTCCAATTCCTGTTTTTATATGAGAATCATTGCTTTCTGGCCAGGTATGGTGGGCTTACACCTGTAATTCCAGCACTTTGGGAGGCTGAGGCAGGGGGGTCACCTGAGGTCAGGAGTTTAAGACCAGCCTGGCCAACATGATTAAACCCCACCTCTACTAAAACTACAAAAAAAAAAAAAAAAAGAAAAGAAAGAAAGAAATTAGCTGGGTGTGGTGGCAGGCACCTGTAATCCCAGCTACTCAAGAGGCTGAGGCAGGAGAATTGTTTGAACCCGGGAGGCAGAGGTTACAGTGAGCCAGATCATGCCACTGCACTCCAGCCTGGGCAACAGAGTGAGACTCCATCTCAAAAAAAAAAAAAAAAAAAAAAAAAAAAGAATCATTGCTCTCTATTCCTCCAAGTAGAAAGATTCTGACAACTTAGAGCTGTCTTAGCCCCAGTTCACTTGTGGAGACCTTTGGCTCTGTCCCAAGTTTCAGGCAGGGAGCTGAATTCTGATTCCCATCTACCCTGAAGGAGCTCTTGGGCACTTTTGTCAGAGAATGATTGAAGACTTAGCCTCCATACAGTCTAGCTGGTCCCAGCTTTTCTTGCACTGCATGGCTTCGGTTCTATCTCCTTGTAAAACTTTCTCCTATCGTTTCAAATAAATGTGAATTTATTAGAATTAAATGTGCCATTTTCTGTTACCCAGCACATATTACATTATAGTTATTTGCGCATAGCTCTGTCTTCTTAACTAGACTGTAAGCACTTAGAAGGTAGACACTATGCCCAATTTATCTTGCTTCCCTAGTGCCCGGCACAATGACTACAGATTAGAGGTACTCAATAGTGTCAAAACTGAATTTGAGATGTTTTAGGGCCTCTTGAGAAATCTGATTTTTATTATAACCCAGAAATGAGTCTCCAGAGATATAACATGATGTTTGTGAAAGATAATTTACAGATATAACCAACAGGCATGTATTTGGACTCTGTAAATGATGTTCTGATCTGCCTGTTTGTATGCTAACTTGTGCAAGGCCTTTTATTTGCTCTCATTTTGCTCCTTTGAAGATATAATTGCTTCTTGGTTCCATATTTCTATTGCTCATTACACTGTTCCATACCATTTCATTCTGAAAATAAAACAAAATAGGATATTTAAAATTAATGATGTGGGGCACAGCTTTTTTTTTTCTTTCTACCTCTAGGCAGAATTTGCAAATGGCTTGAATGCCAGCCATTCTTTTTATCGGAAGCATCTGGGTTTAATTAGGGTAAGAAAAATCACTGATTACAAGAGGAGAGACCCCAGACCTTCTTTGCAATGGGTCACTAGTATGTTTATCTATTCCTACTGCCTCCTCCTCAAACCTGGCAAGCTTATGATGGCTACTTCTGTTTAAAAGGAAATTGAAGAGTCATCCCCACTAGTTTTAGAATTTGAAGATTTCTTGTATAGGAGTTTTCACATTGGTTTCATTTTCAAGATTCAGAAAATGAGCAGTTTTTCAGATGCTATGATGTGGTAGAGCTCTGTATCTTTGCAAATGGTTCCTGTCCCTGAAGAAGCTATGGTACCAGTAGGGCCAAGTGGTCATATTTTTAATTTATGAGTGTAGTTGAAAGTTTGTCCATTCCCCTGAGCAGCAAAACTAGGTTAAAATGAAGTTTGCAAAGACACATATGGAACCATCACAGCAGGTAATGGAACAGTCTGTGAGAGGTGTTAAAGAAGTAATAATAACTGGTCCAGCATGTAAGAAGTTCAGAAATCACCACTCCATCTGAACAAGTAAAAAAACTGAACAAACTAAAAAATCAACTCATCTTAGATCCATAAGAAAAGTGAGGTCAGAGGGCAAACTTCTCCCCAAAATCAAAGGGAAAAATGAGCAAATACAGAGAATCATAACTTATGGTGCAGAAACCCACAAGCAGAAATCTCGGCAGGAACCAGTGCTTGAGTGGGAAAACCTGAACCATAGTTGACAAATTGCTGGAGGCTCAGTACGGACAACTCTGAGAGTTAAATGCTCCAAGGGGACCCAACTATGGGGGCAGGGGACTACACCTTCTGAGTTTTACCCCCAGGAGCTCTACTTGATTCTTGCATTGAATATTGGATAAAATCCCCTCATGTTGGAAGGGAAAACAATCATTTTGAAATATGCCAAAGCATTTTGTTCTTCTTAACACAGTCTGTCTTAAGGAGAAACTAACCAACCAGAGCCTAATCTGCTGGGGTTTTATCAAAGCCTAACTGACCAGGGAAAAGAAAATACCCAACTCCAACCCACTCTCACCACTTCTTCCACTTAAAGGGGCAGGTGTGGGAGACTGAGAAACACTTGTGATGTTTGTAGTCCAGAGGTACAGGTTCACTAAAAGACTGAGACCTAATCATAACACTATAGAATGCTTCCGCTCCATTCATACCTCACCAACACATTACTAAAGGCCTATGTAGAGCAGTTTCTTTTACCCAGTATACTATGTCTGGCTATCAAGGAAAAAATTACAAGGCATACTAAAAGGCAGAAAAGACACAGTTTGAAGAGACACAGTGAGCATCAGAATCAGACTCAGATATGGCAGGGATCTTGGAATTAATCAGACTGGATGTTAAAATAAGTATGATTAAGATGCTAAGGGCTGTAATAGGGCTGGATGAAGCAGACAGAATGCAAGAACAGATGGACAATGTAAGCAGCAAGATGGCAAGTCTAAGAAAGAACCAAAAGGAAAGGTTAGAGATAAAAAACTCTGTAACAGAAATGAAGAATGCCTTAGATGAGCTCACTAATAGACTGGACATGGTTGAGGAAAGAATCTCTGACCTTGAGGATACTTCAGTAGAAACTGCAAAAACTGAAAACAAAGGGAAAAAAAGACTGAAAAAAACCCAAAACATAATATCCAGGAACTTTGGGACAACTATAAAAGGTGTAATATACAGGTCATAGAAATACCGGAAGAAATATTTGAAGCAATAATGACTGAGAATTTCCCAAAGTGAATGTCAGATACCAAACCACAGATCCAGAAGGCTTAGAGAACATCAAGCAGGATAAATGTCAAAAAACTACACCTAGCTGTATCATATTCAAATTATAGAAAATCAAAGATAAAGAAAATATCTTGAAAGCAGTGAAAGAGAAAAAATACCTTGCCTACAAGGGAGCAAAGATAAAAATTACACCTGACTTCTCAGAAACCATACAAGCGAGAAGACAATAAAGTGAAATATTTAAAGCGTTGAGAGGAAAAAGACCCACCAGCCTACAATTCTGTATACAGCAAATTTATCTTTCAAAAGTGAAGGAGAAATAAAGACATTCTCAGACAAACAAAAATTGAAAAATTTGTTACCAGTGACTTGCCTTGCAAGAAATGTTGAAAAAAATTATTTAGAGAGACTAAAAATTATAGGTCAGAAATTCAGCTCTACATCAATAAAGAAAAATACTGAAGAAGAAATAAATGAAAGTAAAATTTAAAATTATTTTTCATATTCTTAATTTATGTAACAAATAAGAGTTTATTCAAAATAAAATAGCAACAATGTATTTTATTACACATGCTTATGTATAAGTAAAATGAATGACAGAATGATACAAGGGGGGGGAATTAGGATCATTTTGTTATAATAAGCACTAACCAAGAAGCAGTATAATGTTTGGCGAAAATGGACTTGGATTAATTGTAAATGTATATTGCACACTCTAGGGCAACCACTAAAAAAAGTAAAAAGTATAACTGATATGATAAGAAAGGAGAGAAAATTGAATCATATAAAGTTGCTAAATTAAAATAACTAAAGGCAGAACAAGAGTGAAAGACAAAAATAGAAACGAAGAACAAGGGTAACAAAAACAGTAACAAATATGATAGATATTAACCCAATTATATCAATAATCACTTTGAATATGAGTGGTCTTAAGCACAACAATTAAAAGACAGAGAATGTTAGAATGGATCAAGAAACAAGACTCAGTTACAGGTTGTCTATAAGAAACCTCCTTTAAATATAAAGACTCATATCAATTGAAAGTAAATGGATGGAGAAAGGTATACTATGCTAAAACTAATCAAAAGAAAGTGGAAGAAACTAGAACAATTTCAGACACAGAACACTTCACAGCAAGTAAAGTTATTAGGGATAAAGAGGAGCATTGCCGAATGATAAAGGGGTCAGTTCTCTAAGAAGACATAGCAATCCTTAATGTGTGTGCACCTAATAACACAGCATCAAAATACATGAAGCAAAAACTGATAGAACTGTGAGGAGAAATAGATGAGTCCACTAGTATAGTGGGAGAGTTCAACATCCCTCTATCAGAAATGGACAGATTCAGCAGGCAGAAAATCATTAAGAACATAATCAAATTCAAAAACATCATCTATAAACTGTAAATAATGGACAGCTATAAACTAGTTCATCCAGCAATAGCAGAATTCACTGTACATTCTTCTCAAGCTCACATGGAATATTCATCAAGATAGACCACATTCTAGACCACTTCATATACCTTAACAAATGTAAAAAAAAAGTAGAAATCGTAGTGTCTGCTCTCAGACCACAATGGAATTAAACTAGAAATTTATAATAGAAGGATAGCTGAAAAATCCCCCAATACTTGGAGATACAAATACAACATGTGTCTAAATAATACAAGGGTCAAAGCAGAAATCTCAGGAGAAATTAAAAAGTACTTTGAACTAAATGAAAATAACACAAGTTATCAAAAACTGTGCAGTGCAATAAAAGTAGTGCTAAGGGGGAAATTGATAGCATGGAGTGCATATATTAGAAAATAGGAAAGATTTAAAAGAAATCACCTAAGCTTTCATCTTCGGAAACTGGAAAAACAAGAGCGAACTAAATCTATACTGAACAGAAGAAGAGAAACAATAAAAATTAGAGCAGAAATCAATGAAATTGAAACAGAAAATTAACAGAGAAAAATCAATAAAACCAAAAGCTGGTTCTTTGAAAAGATCAATAAAATTAATAAGCCCATAGCCAGGCTAACTTAGAAAAAAGAGAGAGAGGAAGAACATAAATTAGTAATATCAGAGATGAAAGAGGGGACATCATTACAAAAGTCATGTACATTAAAAGGATAATAAAGGAATACTGTGAACAACTTTATGCTTACAAATTTGATAACCTAGCTAAAATAGACCAATTTCTTGAAAGACGCAATCTGCCAAAACTCACATAAGAAGTAATACACACTGAATAAGGGTATATCTATTCAACTGAAAATGAATCAATAATTAATAGCCTCCTAAAGCAGAAAGCATCAGGTCAAAATGGGTTCGCTGGTGAATTCTACCAAACGTTTAAGGAAAAAAGCACACCGATTTTCTACAACCTCTTTCAAAGATAGAAGCACAAGGAATACTTCCTAACTCATTCTATGAAGTCAACATCACCTTCATACCAAAACCAGGCAAACACATTGGAAGAAAATAAATCCGCAGTTCAATATATCTTGGCTGGGTGCAGTGGCTCACGCCTGTAATCCCAGCACTTTGGGAGGCCGAAGCGGGAGGATCACCTGAGGTCAGGAGTTCGAGACCAGCCTGGCCAATATGGCAAAACCCTGTCTCTACTAAAAATACAAAAATTAGCCGGGTGTGGTGGTGCATGCCTGTGATCCCAGCTACTACTCAGGAGGCTGAGACAGGAGAATCGCTTGAACCTGGGAGGCAGAGATTGCAGTGAGCCAAGATCACGTCACTGTACTCCAGAGAGACTCTGTCTCCAAAAAAAAAAAAAAAAAATCCACAGTTCAGTATCTCTCATGAACATAGATGCAAAAATTCTCAACAAAATGTTAACAAATTGAATCCATCAAAGTATAAAAAGAATTGTGTGCCACACCAAGGGGGATTTATCCCAGGAATGAAAGGCTGTTTCAACATTTGACAACTAATTAAGGCTATCCATCATATCAACAGGCTAAAGAACAAAATACAGATGATTACATCAATAGATGTAGAAAAAACCTTTGACAAAATCTAACACTTGCTCATGATAAAAGAAAAAGAAAAAGAAAAAAAAAACTCCTCAGTAAATGAGAAATAGAGGGGGAACTTCCTCAACTTGATAAAGAATATCTACAAAAAATATACAGATAACGTCATATTTAATGGTGAGAAATTAGAAGCTTTCTCATTAAGATCAGGAACAAGGCAAACACATACTCTCTCACCACAGCTTTTCAACATTATGCTAGAAATCCTAGCTAATGCAATGAGATAAGTAAAGAAAATGTATACTGACTGAGAAGGAAGAAATAAAACTATCTTGTTCACAAAAGACATGATTGTCTAAAAGAAAATCTGAAAGAATCAGGCCAGGTGTGGTAGCTCACGCCTGTAATCCCAGCACTTTGGGAGGCCGAGGCGGGTGGATCACAAGGTCAGGAGTTCAAGGCCAGCCTTACCAACATGGTGAAACCCCATCTCTACTAAAAATACAAAAATTAGCCAGGTGTGGTGGCGTGTGCCTGTAATCCCAGCTACTCAAGAGGCTGAGGCAGGAGAATTGCTTGAACCCAGGAGGCGGAGGTTGCAGTGAGCCGAGATCACACCACTGCACTCCAGCCTGGACGACAGAGCGAGACTCCATCTCAAAATAAAAAAAGAAAGAAAATCTGAAAAATCAAGAAAAAAAGCTCCTGGAACTAATAAACAATTATAACAAGGTTTCAGGATGCAAGGTTAATATACAAAAGTCAATCATTTTTCTGCATAGCAACAATGAACAAGTGGAATTTGATATTAAAAAGAAATTGTCATTTATATTAACAGTGCCTCAAAATAAAATACTTGGGTATAAATCTAACAAAACCTGTACATGGTCTATATAAGGAAGGCCATAAAACTGATGAAAGAAACCAATGAAAAACTAAATAAATAGAGAAATATTCCATGTTCATAGATAGAAAAACTCAGTATTAGTCAAGATATTAGTTCTTCACAACTTGATCTATAGATTCAATGCAATCAAAATCAAAATCCTAGTAAGATATTTTGTGGCTATCAATAATCTGATTCCAATGTTTATATGAAGAGTCAAAAGACAGTCAATAACCACCACAAGATTGAAAGAAAAGAACAAAATTGGAGGACTGACATCAAGACTTATGATATTACTATAACTACCCTAAAGCCACAGTGATAAAGACGGTGTGGTATTGGTGAAAAAACTGGCAGAGGATCAATAGGATAGAATAGAAAGCCCAGAAATAGACCTACATAAACACAATCAACTAATCTTTGAAAAGGGGGCAAAGGCAATACAATGGAGACAAGATAGGCTTTACAATAAGTGGTGCTGGAACAACTGAACATTCACATGCAGAGAAGTGAATCTCGACACAGACTTTCCACCCATCACAAAAATTAATTCAAAATACCCCACAGACCAAAATATCAAACTGTAAAACTAGAAGATAACATAGGAGAAAATCTAGATGCCCTTGGGTTTGTCAATGACTTTTTAGATATAATACCGAAACCACAATACATGAAAAAAAGAACTGATATGCTGGACTTCTTTAAAATTAAAGATTTCTGCTCTGCCAAAGACACTGTCAAGAAAATGAAAAGACAAGCTGCAGACTGAGAGAGAGAGAAGATATTTGTTAAAAACACACCTGACAAAGGACTGGTACCCAAAATATGCAAAGAACTCTTGAAACTCAACAATAAGAAGACAGAGAACCCAATTAAAAAATGGGCCAAAGAACTTAACAAATACCTCCCCAAAGAAGACATGTAATGGCAAATAAACACATAAAAAGATGCCCCACATCATATGTCATCAGAGAGATGCAAATTAAAACAACAATGAGATACCACTACACACCTATCAGAGTGGCCAAAATTCAGAACATTGAAAACACCAAATGCTGGTGAGGCTGTGAAGCGACAGGAACTCTCCTTTATTGCTGGTGGAAATGCAAAATGCTATAGACACTTTGGAAGACAGTAAGACAGTAAAAAGATCCATGCTTGCTAGGGGTTGGGAGGAAGAAGGAATGAACAGGTGGAGCACAGATGATTTTTAGGGCAGTAAAAATACTCTGTATGATTCTATAATGGTGGATACATGTCATTATACATTTGTTTAAACCCATAAAATGTACAATACCAAGCATAAACCCTAAGGTAAGCTTTGGACGCTGAGTGATAATGACTGATGGTGAGTGTCAATGTAGGTCCAGCAATGATAGCAAATGCACCACTCTGGTGGGGGATGTTGATAATGGCGGATGCCTTGCATATGGGGAGCAGAGGGTGTATGGGAAGTCTCAGAAACTTCCACTCAATTTTTCTGTGAACCTAAAACTGTCTAAAAAATAAAATCTACTTACAAAGTAATAACAATAATAACAGTAATTTATTTTGAACATGATATTATATATTTGACCCCTTACTTTTTTCTTTGGATATGTGTGTGTTGGGGGAATGACATCAAAGGCCTTTTAGTTTTTTTAAACTTGGTTTTTTCTTCCCTTCCATGAGGCTGACACAGGAAAATCTGACTTTGTACTCTGGCCATTATCAGAAAACTCTAGCATGGTTAGGGGAAACTGTGGCCTCTCTAAACTAATATGCTTATGTGTTACAGTGCATGTTAATTGGAAATCTGCAACTACCAAAAATGTCACTCAAACTGGCTTGAACGTTAAAGAAAATTTATTGATTTACAAACCTGAAAAGCCTAAAGATATCAGGCTTCAGTCAAGACTTGATTCAGCAACTCAAGGGCAGCAAAGACCCCGGAGGCTTTTCATTTCTCCTCTCTGCGTTACACAACATGTATTTTCTCCAAGTGGCCACAAGATGGCTGCAAGTAGCTTTCAGCGCTGCGATGTCCTTGCTCATATCCAAAGAGACGAGAATGTCCCTCAAGTAGCTTCTAAGGAAGAATGAAGTCGTTTTCTCCAGGATCCTCAAGGAAATGTGCCTTTGTCTTTGAGTAACACTAATTAGGTTCTATGTCCATCCCTGGCCACTCGTGGGGTGGGGTGGCCGTGTCGATAGCCTTAAGTCAGTCAAGCCCCATTCTTGGAACTGGGTGTGAAGTCAGCTTCCCTTCCAGCACAGGGGTTGTGTGAGGGAGGGGTGAACGCCCAGATGGAAATCAGGGTGCTGAGTCAGGAACTGGATGGCATTCGCTCCAGAGCCGCACATTTCCTCAGGAGAGAAGGCTCTTTCCTTTCCTTTCTCTGGTCTTGGAGCGGAAACGGCTTGGCGGCTCAGTTAGCACAGGATGAGACTCCAGGAAAGGACGCAGGGAGTGGGCTCATCTCCAGTCTAACCCCTAGTCTAGCTCACACGTGCCCCCACCCCTACCCCTCACAGTTCACCTGGATAGCAGACCAGGCTTGAGAGCAAGAGCCTATCTAGAAACAGGTGGAGTGCTCTGCTAGAACTCCTTGTCTATGGCTATTTTAGGAACCCCACCGAGTGGCAGCTGCAGGCAGCAGTTGAGCAGGTGGTGGCACAGGAACTGGGGGTTTAGCATGGTGGTCATCTTCTCACCACCAGCACCACTAACTAAGAAAGAGGCACCTGCAGACCGATATGTATACTCACCAGCTTTGTGATGATAACTACATCATTTAATGTTTCTGTTCTTTCTTTTCTTCATCTATAAAGTGGGGATCATGTGATAATAATAACCTCCTTGCCTATTTTGTGTTGAAAAAAGAGGAAATGTTTCTGTTCCCTGTCTCATCTTTTAATCTTGACCTATACAATTGGGAACTTCTACCCCGAGACTTCTGGCTTCCCTTTCTTCTCCCTTGCTAGTTCCTCCCAAAGGAAGAAGGATTTACAGATTGTGTTGGTCAGCCACTTATCACTGATAGAGCCACCCTTGATAGCAGGGTTACATCACAGGAAGCACTGAAGGCCAGCACTAATGCTTGGCATAGCCCCCTGCATCATCTTCCTTTCCCATTGCTGTAGGTAAGCAGACACATACATTTTTGAAATTGGTAAACTCAGCCAAAGATCCTTTCAAGATCTGCTCAGCTCTCTGGCCCCGAGAGTGCCCCTTCCAAATTTAGAAGGATTGGAGAGAGGAGCCTTCACTTTGACATGGGCTCACCACCTCCAGTTCAGCTTTTACCAGGCCTTTGCATTAGAATCTTGGGTTCTTCAACCCAAATATCCATCAATAATAGGCTGGATTAAGAAAATGTGGCACATACATATACACCATGGAATACTATGCAGCCATAAAAAATGATGAGTTCATGTCCTTTGTAGGGACTTGGATGAAGCTGGAAACCATCATTCTCAGCATTGATGACGGGGGGGAGGGATAGCATTAGGAGATATACCTAATGCTAAATGACGAGTTAATGGGTGCAGCATACCAACATGGCACATGTATACATATGTAACAAATCTGCATGTTGTGCACACGTACCCTAAAACTTAAAGTATAATAATAATAAAATTTAAAAAAAGAAAATGTGGCACATATACACCATGGAATACTATGCAGCCATAAAAAAGGATGAGTTCATGTCCTTTGTAGGGACATGGATGAAGCTGGAAACCATCATTCTGAGCAAACTATCACAAGGACAGAAAACCGAACACCGCATGTTCTCACTCATAGGTGGGAATTGAACAATGAGAACACTTGGATACAGGGTGGGGAACATCACACACTGGTGTCTGACATGGGGTGGGGGGAAGGGGGGAGGGATAGCATTAGGAGAAATACCTGATGTAAATGATGAGTTAATGGGCGAAGCACACCAACATGGCACATGTATACATATGTAACAAACCTGCACGTTGTGCACAGGTACCCTAGAACTTAAAGTATAATAATAATAATAATAAAAGAAAGTCATAACAAGAATTAAAAAAACTTGGGTTCTTGTCCTGCCATCTTTTAATAAAGTGAGAAATCCTTCTCAGCTGGCTACTGATCTTTGTATATGGGCTTCTTTGGCAGGAAACTGGGGGAGGACTTAGGAGTGGGGTGGGGAGAAGGTGGAAATACATGCCAAGGCCTATCTCACTCCCCTATACCCTGCTGGGTTGTGGAGGTGAAATTAAGTTGCATAGTTGAAAGTATTTTAGAAGTGAAACTGAGCACAGATGTCAGGCAGCACTAGCCTCAAGGTGGATGGCGTAAGGAGTGATGCCCTCTCCTAGGAAATGGCTGGTGCAGATGTCAGTTCTATAAGGAATATTCCCACTTCAGTTACTGGAACTTTGATTATTAGCCGGGAGATTTTTCTCCTCCCAGATGTGGCTTGAATAAAAGTGTGTCCTCACATAAGACATTGAGTGGGCACCACTCAGAAGCTGACTGATGTTATTGAGTAAAAGGGAGGGTGCCCAGTGCACTAGAAGCCAATACTGTGACACCAGGTTTTGGAGAAAAGAAAAGATTTATGTTGAAAGTGGACTCTCAAGGAGACAGGAGTCAAGTTCAAATCTGTTTCCCTGCACTGGCTTCCAAGCAGTATTTTTATTAGAAAAGGTTCAGGGGTTAGATTCTGAGACTATATAGGTAACTGGTGAAAGGAAACAGGAGGTCTGGGAAGGCCCTGCGCATGTCCAGTTGTTTCTTCCTGCTATCTCATGGGTCACATGTGTGAATTTGGGGGGAGTTAGTATGAAACATGTGGAAATTCGGGCTGGGACGCCAGCAAGCTTGTTCTGTGCAAACTCCAGTCAGCCATCTTAGTTTCCACCGATTCTAGCCAGGTTTTTCTTGATGTCAGCGTCAGAGTCTCAGCAAGTTGTTTCTTTTCTTACCTGCTGTCCTGCAAACAAGAATTTTTGTTAGTCGTTGGTTTCTTTAACTCTTTGGGACACAATTCCAATGTGCCCTACTTGGAGGAACAGTTAGTAGCAGATCCTCTCTTCTTCCTCCTCTATGAGAAAAAGTAACTTTTTGTTAAGTCCACTTCCTTTCAATGTGCTTCGAATTTCAGTGTCTCCTGGGATACGTTGTCCTAACTCTGTCTTTTCATTTTAGCTACACTCACTCTTTTTCTTTCTACTTCCTTTTACTATCCACCCTCTTCTTCCTTAGCTCCAGAATGATTTTCAAACCAATGGTGGTACTAAGTCGCTCTCTCTATTGTCACTAATGATGTCATAATCATCTCATTCACATTCAAAGTTCTGTTTTAGTTCTCATCCTCCTTGATGTCCCTGTCATTGTTGTTCGCCATTTTTAAAAAATTATTTAATATCATCATTGTTTATTTTTAAAAGAACATCTGCAATTGCACTATAATGCCACTACACAGATATCTTTTTGACCTTGTCTAGTCTCTTGACATACTTACTTTTTTTTTTTACAAAGTTGGAAACAATGTACATATTGTTTCTTGCTTTGTTCTTTCATGTAATATTATTTCTAGACACATCATACAAGGGTAAAGCTGAAGGAAGCCTACAGATCTCATATGCCCTCTATATTTTACAGGTGAGAAAACTAAGATTTGTTGGAAATGCTCAGTGGAAAGCACCAGTGGCCAGGACCAGCAATTCCCAAATCCCAGTCAGCCCTCTACCTTGGCTATAGAACCCACAGGAGGGTTTCCCCAGTTTGGAGAGAGCACTTGGGGTGTTTATTTAAAATGTAATTTCCTGAACCTACCACATCACTGAATCAGGATCTTCAATAATGGGGCATACACATTTGTAGTTTTTAAAAAGATACCTAGGTGACTCTTCAGCATATTACGATTTGAGGCCAGGTGCAATGATTCATGACTGTAATCCCAATGCTTTGGAAGGGCAAGGTGGGAGGATTTCTTGAACCCAGGAGTTTGAGGTTACAGTGAGGTGTTACAGTGCCACTGCACTCTACCCTAGGCAACAGAGGGAGAACTTGTCTCAAAAAAATAAAAATACACATATACACATGTACCCCTGAACCTAAAATAAAAGTTAAAATAAATAAATAAAAATAAATAAAATTCAAGAACCACCGTTTGAAGAGTTTAAGTCACAGAAGACACAGAGGCAAATGTTCAGCACTATAAACCAGGACTTCTGAGCTGAGCTAGACTACCACAGACTTTGCCAAAACTAGAGGCAACGTAAACAGCCAGTTCCTTGTCTAAGCAGAAGAAGTCACCTTCAGGCCTGTCTTACCACAACCAAACCAGTAGAAACCGACGCACTTGTTCATATGAACTATAAGTAGCTTGTTCATGTTACTATAAGTAACTCATACAGTTTCTGGGTTTTTGAGCTATAGGAGAGAAGAGGGAAGAAAGAAATAGCCTAAGAGAGATTCAAGAGAGCTGTTGACACCATCTAAGAAAAAAGTTAATCCAGTCCAGTTGTATTAAATATCACTTTATTCTTCCCAACACATATGCCCTATATGTAGATTGGCACAAAATTGCATGCCTATTACAATTTCTGCCATCTATGGCTTCATTTCAGCCATGGTTTTAAAAGTAGAGCTCTCTGGGTGTATTGTGTGAATGGCTGCAGGTTGTGGGGGTTGGGGAAACCATGAAGTGTTGGAGAGAGGAGATGGGCTGGCAGTAAACCTTTGAGCATGCCTATAAATTAGACCAGTGTTTTATGAACTGCTGGTTGTGATATATTAGAGGGTTTGAAATCAATTTAGTGACCAGCACTTTTATATGGAGTGGAAAGGAATGAAATGGAGAGTAGAACAGAATAGAATAGACCATCACGTATTACTACTATTTTTATTGAGACAGAGTCGTCTTCTCCCACTCAGGCTGGAGTGCAGTGGCATGATCATGGCTCACTGCAGCCTCAACCTCCTGGGCTCAAGTGATCCTCTTACCTCAGCTACTTGAGTAGCTGGGACTATAGCTATGCCCCACCATGCCCGGACAATTTTTGTAATTTCTTTCATAATAATGGAGTTTCACCATGTTGCCCAAGCTGGTCTTGAACTCCTGGGCCCAAGTGATCCATCCACCTCAGCCTGCCAAAGTGCTGGGATTACAGGCGTGAGCCACTGCACCAGGCCTACCATTATTACCGGTGATTACGTGTGTGTGTGTGTGTGTGTATGTGTTTGTGTTTATAAGGAATCAATGTAAAATTTCCTTTTTTTCAACCACTTTATTGAGGTATGACTGATCTCACTTACATGTAGAATCTAAAATAGGCAAACTCATAGGAGCAGAAAGAATGATGGTTGCCAGGAACTGGGGGGGTGGAGAAAAAGGGTTGGTCAAAGGGTACAAAGTTTCAGTCATGCAAGATAAATAAGTTCTGGACATTCCTACCCAACATAGGACATATGATTGCCAATGCTGACAATACTGAAAATTTGCTAAGAGGATAGATTTTACGTTAAGTGCTCTTATGACAAAAGAAGAAAAAATTAAACATTTTTAGGTAGTGGCCAAAACATTTGAAAACTGCTGTGTATTGGTGGAAAACTGCTGTGTTAGAAGATGAACAAAGTTCAGAGAGGTTGAATTCTTAGCCAAAGGTTACTTAATTTTAGATCTTTTGACTCCAGATCCAGTACTTTTGCCCCTAACACTTCCATGCAGTTCACATTTCCCTTTGCTTGCAGAATCTTCATGTTTTCATTTCTAATGAATGAATATTAGGTTTATATCACATTATTTGTTTTATTATTTCTCTAATATTGAGTATTTTGGTAATTTCACTTTTAGCTATTATAAATAATTCAGCTATAAATATTTTTATAATTGTGTTTTGTTCTTTTTATGAATTGCCCATATAGGCTATATTTTCTGGTATGATTATTCTTGTGGCTCTTCACTCCAAAAAACAACCAATTTACACTTTTACCAGCAACCATTTCACAACAGTCTCACTAGTACTGGATTTTATCATTTATTCTTATACTTGTTTATCTGGTATGTGTTAAATGGCCCCTTAGAATTGTTTCCATTTGAATTTCTTTAATTAACTTCCAAGGTTTAGTGTTTCGCCTGTTGGTTTTATGTTGGTTTTCCTGGTGTATGAACTGTCTGTGTGTGTCTTGGTCCCACTGGCAGCCTGGTTTGAATAAAAGCAATATACTTTAGATATTAAACTTCCGATATGCAGCCATATTTATAGCAAACAGTTTTTCTTATTTTCTTACAACTCTTTCTGCCTTGGTTTTGTGAATTTTCATTATTTCACCATCTTACTTTATTTTTATTTTTTTATTTTTTATTTTTTGGTGCAGTGGCAAGATTTATTAAAGCGAAAGTGAAAGTAAAGCTTCCACGCGGTGGAAGGGGACCCAGAAGGGATGCTGTTTGTGGCTTGGCTGTCTTATGCTTATATCCCCTTATGACCCCTCCCCTTTCCTCTTTTTGTCCTATAGAATTAGCTTATTTTCTATCCACCTGTGGGTTGGCAGGCCTGATTGGTTTAAAACATCAGGCTGCAGTTAGAGCTTAAACTCCCTATATAATTGGTTGAAATTTCAATCCCTTATCTTGCAGCTTTGACTCATTTTGGCTTAGGGGAAAGTCCCCTTTGATTGGTTGAAGTTTTAATTCCTTTGCTTGCAGCTATGATTTATTTTGGCTCTTGCAGCTATGATTTATTTTGGCTTAGGTAACGTCCCCTTAGGGAAGTCCCTATTGACCCAAGGAGTCCAGCCAACTTAGCCACTTAGTCCCTCAGTCCCCTCTCAACAGGAAAGCCCAAGTGCTGTTTGGAAGTTGGGCGACGATCGTTCTTGCTACTTCCTGCTGAACTGCGGGGTAGAAGGGGCTCCGCAGTTGAGGTTTCCTCGGGAGGGGAGTCTTCAGTGTCGTAGTGCAAGAATGGGTTGGCGGGTCAGTCTAGGGGTCCTCGATGGTAGGTGCTAGTGGTGATCATTTGGGGCTCCATTTGTCTAACCATTTTCAGTTTCATGGATTCTATTCTGGAAGAGACAAATTTTACAAGGAGGTTAAAAATGCAGGGTCCAAAGATAAGCAACATCACAATAGCCATCAAGGGTCCCAAGAAGGGGAGAAGCCAAGGCATCCATTGGTTGACAATACTCCAAGGTCCTGTGTCTTGGAGCGCTTATGCCCGGCACTGTATCCAATCTTGAAGCTCTTTAACCTTCTCGTTGACAATTCCAGATTGATTAACGAAATAACAGCACTCTTCTAGAAAAAGACAGGTTCCATCTCTTTTGGCTGTTAATAAATCTAAGGCTGTCTGATTTTGAAGGGCTACTGCTGCTAAAGAGTTAAGCTGGTTTGTAAAGTGACCAAGCAAATCTGCGACTCATTTCATGTCATCATTTAACTCTTGTGATAATTTGTAATAGGATTGGGTGGAGGTGGTAATGCCTCCAATGCCGATTCCTAGTCCTCCTAGTACCCCAACCCCAATAATGAGTGGCAGGACAGTACAGGTAAGCTGAAATGCTGGGTTTCACGGATCTTTAAAGGCAAATAAAAATTGAGAGTCAGAATGCAGAGGGATGAAGAAGAAAGTGTACTTAAGATCTAGGACTGTAAGCCATTCTGCTTCCTCTGGTATCTGGGAGAGTAGAGTCTAAGGATTAGGTACAACTGGATACAGAGGAACAACTGCCTCATTGATAATTCTGAGGTCTTAAACTAACCTCCATTGTCCGCTGGAGTTTTGTATGCCTAGAATGGGAGCGTTGCATGGACTGTTGGATGGCTTTACTTATCCCTGTGTTTTTAGGTCTTTAACAATCTTTTGTAACCCTTGTTGGGCTTCTGGTCTGAGGGAGTACTGCCTTTGAAAGGAAAGGAGGTAGGATCCTTTAATTTAACTTGAACTGGACAAGCGTGTTTTGCTCATTGGTATTGTCCTTCCTCTGCCCAGACTTCAGGATTAATTCCTTCCTCCAGTAGAGGGCAGCAAACGGGTATTCCTTCTCCTATATTCAAGTATATAATGGCCCCTGCTTTAGCTAATATGTCCTTCCCTAGTAAAGGAGTAGGGCTCTCAGGCATAATAAGAAAGGCATGTGAGAAAAATAAGGTTCCCCAGTCACAATTTAGAGGGTGTGAGAAATACCTAGTGACTGGCTGTCCTAGGACCCCTTTGATGGTGACAGACCTGGAGGATAGTTGTCTGGGACGAAAGAGTAAAACTGAGAAGGCCGCGCCAGTGTCCAGGAGGAAGTTAGTTTCCTGGCCCTCAATGGTTAAGCTTATCTGGGGCTCTGTGAGGGTGATGGCATGCTCTGGCGCCTGCCGCAGGCACCCTCAGTCCTGTTGTTGGACCATCTTGTTAGTGGCCTCTGGCCCAGAGGACCTTCTCCCTCAGGGGCAGTGTGCCGTCCAGTGATCCCCCTGGCACAAGGGACATGGATGAGGGAGCGGCTTATTTTTGCTTGGGCAGTCCTTTTTGAAGTGCCCCTGTAAGCCGCACTGATAACAAGCCCTGTTAGGTGGGTTGCCTGCCCAGCCCTTCTTTCTTTCAGAGCCACCCAAGTTCGTCTGCCTGAGGGCAATGATGACTAAGGCAGCGGCCTTTTTCTTGTCTCATCTGTCTCGTTCAGCCTGCTCCTCCTGATCCCTATTATAAAACACTGAAGTTGCCAAATTCAATAGAGTTTCCAAATTTTGCTGGGGGCCCAGGGCAGACTTTTGAAGTTTTTTTCTTATGTCTGCAGCTGACTGAGTGATAAACTTATCCTTTAAAATTAGTTGGCCTTCAATAGAGTCAGGTGACAAAAGGTATGCTTTCTTAATGCCTCCCTTAACCTCTCTAAAAATGCCGTAGGGTTTTCTTCCTTTCCCTGCATATGGTGGACATCATTGAGTAATTCATCGGCTTTTTTCTGGTCTTTCTTAATCCCTCTAGTATACAAGTCAGTAAATGCCTGTGACTCCAGTGTCCATGCTCCGAATCGAGGTCCCAATGGGGATCCACACTGGGAACTGCCTGTTGGCCTGTGGGGAATTGTTCCCTTTCTTCTGATGTCATTTTATCATTTACCTGGCTTAGATACCAGAGATCCCCAAACTCCTGGGCTGCAGCTAAGGTGGTCTCTTTTTCGTTAGGAGTTAATGTTTGACCTAACAACAACATAATCTCTCTGGATGCTAAATCAAAAGATTGTCCTAATTCTTGTAAGACGTCTATGTATCCATCAGGATTATCTGAGAATTTTCCTAGGTCCAGTTTGATCTGTTTTCACCATTTTACACTTTTATATAATCCTACCCATTATTACTTTATAATTTGAATTTCTTCTATTCTCTAAGTCATAAAAATAAATTTCTGATTAATTACAGTTAGAAAAAGTATTCTATTTAATTTTTGTAATATGATTTGTAACTCTCTGATACACATGCACAAAATGTTTAAAAATCCCTCACCTGTGTGGAATGTGAGGGTCTAAGTTAAGAACTGAGTGCTAAGAACCTTTTTACTCTTTTTCTGAGTCAGTGGTTCTCAATGAGTGATCCCAGATCAGCGGTATCTAGGAACTTGTTAGAAATATAAATTCTCAGGCCCCTGTTCCACTCCTTCTGAATCAGAAACTCTGGAGAGTGGGGCCGAGTAATCGATGTTTTTTGCTTTGTTTTGTTTTTCTTTTTTGTAGAGACAGGGATTTGTCATGTTGCCCAGGCTGGTCTCAAACTCCTGGGCTCAAGCCATCCTTCCACCTTGGCCCCCCAAAGTGCTGAGATTACAGGCGTGAGTCACCGGCTCAGCCAGTCATCGATGTTTTTAGAAGCCCTCCAGGTGATTCTGATGCATGCTAAAGTTTGCATACCTGGGTACGAACTCAACAGCCTCGATTACACTCACTTCTAACTTTTAATTAATTGGTAGTAGACATCATCTGCCTTTGCTAGGCGGTCCCCTTAGGGCCCACAGAGCATCATTTATTCCGTTTATCAAAATGCGTAAAGACAATGTCCCTCCATCCCCACCCCTTATCAGTGTAGCCAATTATAATATATGCCCATGCCTGCAATTTACAGTCTTGCTTGTAGCTACCCTCCACTGGAAACCCCACTACTACTTCATACTTGTTAAAGTTTGCATGAAGATATTCTTCCGGTTACCCTCCTGGGTTATTAGCTTTAAGATAATATGTGTATTTTTATTTTTGCTTATAGGGAATTTCTCAGCTATGCTTTCTGATTATTTCTTACTCTCTTGCGTCTATCCCTAGTGGCTTCTCGCTGATCTTTTTTCTTCTCCCAAGGTCAGTTTTGAAACACCTTTTTTTTTTTTTTTTTTGAGACAGAGTTTCACTCTTGTTGCCCAGGCTGGAGTGTAATAGCGTGATCTCAACCTCCGCCTCCCAGGTTCAAGCGATTCTCCTGCCTCAGCCTCCCGAGTAGCTGGGATTACAGGCATGTGCCACCACGCTCGGCTAATTTTGTATTTTTAGTAGAGATGGGGGTTTCTCCATGTTGGTCAGGCTGGTCTCGAACTCCTGACCTCAGGTGATCCACCCGCCTCGGCCTCCCAAAGTGCTGGGATTACAGGCATGAGCCACCACGCCCGGCCTTGAAACACCTTTCAATACTAAATCTGAGATTAGCAAAAGGCAACACTCTTCAAATATTAAACTTTATCAGGAAAATTTCAGAAATTTTCAGGAATATAAATAGAAAATGTCAATGTTGCTAACTAGGAATGCCTTTAGCTATACAGGAGAACTTGCAAAGATCAGGATGTTTTTAGGGTCACAGGAAGTAGTCCAGGTTATGGTTTTACCTCTAGATAGCCACAAAGTAGATTTTATCAGTTTGTCCACAGTTCATCAGGCCCCTGAAAACCCAACCAATAATGCTGAGCTTCAAACACACCAACGCTATTTGGGACAATCTTCTGTGACCCTCCTTTCTTTGATCCCTTTCACATCTACTCCCATCTATGGAGGCTCACTTTGTCAGTAATAGCATTCCTGCTATTCCTGGTCTAAATAGATGCCACTCACCAGAACTCAACTGGCCTTTGTAATATGAAATGGATGCAATGAAATAGCAATTATATTCCTGTCAGGCCCTGCACCAGCTCCATCACCTTATGTATGGAGAGGACTTTACCAGAAGAGTGATCCTGAGAACCAGGAGCTACCTTTAGAATGCCCCACAATGCATCACAAATATTGACTGGGAGAGCACAAGGGTGTCTCAAACCCACCTTATGGAGCAGAAAACTGCCTTAAAAGCAAAAGCACCTATCTGTAGGTGGGACAAGCACGTTCATATTCCATGCCTCTAGCAACCAATGAAGTTAAGCTGTAGACATCTCAATGCCTTTTGCAGCCAGGCTCCAGGCCTCTTAACACCTTTTCCCAACTTTCTGCTACTCTAATCCTCTCAAAGCCAATGACTTTCCCGTTGTAGACCTCCTCAAGTAGAATCCCACTTGCCCATGTTCCCTTTGTATGCAACCCACACAAGGAGCCTCTGGTGGGCCGGGCATGGTGGCTCATGCCTGTAATCCCAGCACTTTGGGAGGCCAAGGTGGGCAGATCATGAGGTCAAGAGATCGAGACCATCCTGGCCCATATGGTGAAACCCTGTCTCTACTAAAAATACAAAAATTGGCTGGGCATGGTGGTGTGCACCTGTAATCCCAGCTACTCAAGAGGCTGAGGCAGGAGAATCGCTTGAACCCAGGAGAAGGAGGTTGCAGTGAGCCGAGATTGTGCCATTGCACTCCAGCCTGGCAACAGAGTGAGACTCTGTCTCAAAAAAAAAAAAAAAAAAAAAAAAAAAAGAAGAAGCCTCTGGTGTCGTCCCAGATTTACAGGAGATTGCAGTGCACATTTACCACACACCTCAGTCTAGAGCCATAGCTCCATGGAAGCATTGAAAGATGTAGGTGTTCTATAGAGGCTGCACTTGAAAAACAGGGCACACTGGGGCAAGTCAACTCTGGGAAAATAGCCACCTTAGTAAATAATTCGCAGAAGTGAGGACAGAGCCATTGCAAAGACACGCTCTGCTCCTTGGATCATCTGTGGAGGCTTCAGGATAATCTTAACTCCCAAAACATTTTAAGATAATTTAGAACAATTTCTTAGCCTCCTCCTCATATAGCTATAAATTATCAATATTTGTATGGGAGGGATGAAGAAATGCATTATTTCATGTTTGAGATGTGGCAAGCCCCTGTCTATGGATTGCATAGAACTTCTGAATTTCACCTGGTCTGAGGGTCCCACAGAGAACTTAATTAACTTGTCACTCAGCAGCTCACTCAGGGATGGGTCCAGGTAACTAGAGCCACCAGAGTGGGGCTGCTGTCCCAGCTACCATCTTGGAAAGTACCACCAGTCTGATTCAGATACAAGTGGATTCTGAGAGTTCTTGGGGATGAAGTTCACAACCCTGAACATATCAGCACCCATCTAATTAGCACTACAAGCCGGCCATCTCAGGCCTTCCCAGCAAAGTTAGAGATGTAGGCATTCACATGATGTTTTCTATATACCACAGAATGCCATCATATTAACTTATAGTAGTGGCTATACTTTTCTGGTGGCTGAAAGTGACTTATTTCCAGGAAACCTATGTATTGTATTGAGTATTTGGACATCCAGATCAGTAGTCAAAAGGCTGCTTTGTGGGCAAATAATCAGAGTTTACAGCTTAGATAGTCTTCAAGGATTTCATTTATCCTGTGAAAGCCTACTGAAGCCATCCCTACTATGTAGAAAAAAGAATGAGGAGAATGTTTGTGCTCACTAAATGTAGTGTTTCTCTCTCTCTCTCTCCCTCTCTCTCTTTCCCCCTGTACACCCCCATCTTTGGAATGTATTGGATTGGATAAATACTAACACATTGTTACTATTCATTTGCCTTTCCTATATGGTAGAATAATTCCAATAATAATGAAATATTAATTGATTGAAATTAATAATGCTTATGTTATTAATGGTTTCATTCCATTTATATTAATTTATTCATTCTTGTAGCAAGTATTAATGAACTTTTTCTATGTGTCAGGTACTATTCTAGGCACTGGGGATATGGTATGGAAAAAGTAAGAAAGATTTCTGCACCCTTGAGGGCTTACAACCTGTCTCCTATATTTTCCAGAATGCACGCTGTTCACTTTAATTGAATCTGGGTTTTTGCCAGCACATCACAGAATGAGGTTAGATATCATTCTTTGAGAATGACTATCCTGGGTTTGAGATCATCTATATATGGACCATGACCATGAAAATGAAATATAGCTTATTTTGGCAATGACCACTATTATCTCGCATTAATACAGCATTTTCTACTTAAAGAAACATTTCGCTTTGGCAGCAAACAGCAATCAATAAACAAGAGATTATCAGTAACATGTAGGCAAATGTGGCAGAATTCATATCAGGCTAGGTTTTGTTTTTGTTTTTGTTTTTCAGTGACACGTAAGAAGCACAGCACTTAAATGTAAGGGAATACTGGATTTTTAAATGTGATCCGATGGCATTTGGAAATTCTTCCCTGAAAATACATATTCTTGAAATAAACGTACACCTCCCATTGTATATGCATTTTATGAGCATGAATAAAAAGAAAATAATGATTCCATAATTTCATGCAAGACCCAGAATTTTTCTTCACTGTAAACAAGATGTGCACGTTAAACAAGCAGTACATGTTACCTGAGCACTATTCTGTTAACACGTGCGCTGTCTTTGTAATAATATCATATCTGCATCAGGATTGTGACTGATGCTGTTGGCTCCCTTCCCAACAACATTCCTTGCATCATTCCTTGCAAGCAGAATCTTATTTTCTTTGAGTGGTTTAAGGAGAAAGACCTCCTTCTGAACCCAGAAGATGAATCATGATTAGTCTATGACCTCATCTTCCTTGCCAGTGATTGGCAGGCATAAATATTTGATGTATTCTGGCCAATGAGGGATGAGGAGGAATCCTCCTGGGGGCTTATGGGAAGGGTTTTTTCACTCATAAAAAGAGACAAAGAGAAAGCAACTTTTTTCCTGCCTTTGAATATTATGGATTGAGGATGGGATGCTTGAAGTTGCTGTCTTGCAACTGTGAGGGGACAGACCTGACCTGAGAACAAAATCTAAAACCATACAGATGGTTTTAGATTTATAATAATAAAATAAGTTCATATTATTATATTGTGTGTGATATATATTATATTTATATAATAAAATTATATTACATATTTACATAATAAAACCCTTATAATTTAAGCCAGTGATCTCCAAAATGGAAGAAAGAAAACAATAGAAAATCAATTTCTTTCTATGTGTTAACACCTCATTTTTTAAAAGCATATTTAAAATACAAATTGAAATCAGTAGCTCCACTTCGTCTATTATTTGTCAGAAAGCTGTGTCTCCAGACAGAGCCAGGAGACAGGAGTGGGAGTTTCATAAGCATAATGCGACTTTTGACGTATTATAATTTACCTATGCCCAATTAAGTGGACTCAAAGATTATATTTTCTTAAATAATATAATTTTCAAAATTTAGACAGAGTATTTTTTAAAGGATGTTTGGAAATGTTTTCATTACTATGTATTTTGTTGCTAAAAGTATGTCATTGTGTCATCATGCGTAAGACCACAAATTTATCCGACTTTTCAAAAATCTTTCTAACAGAGTATTTCAGTGAGTTTTGAGCAAATTTATTAAAAATAAAAGCTAACCTTCCAATAATAATTTTCAAGATCAATGTTTTTCATTTGGGGAGTTGGTAATGTACTGACCAGTTTCACAATTTGGGGATGGGACTGACATACTCATTCTACCCTCCCTTCAACCCCTGGTCATCACTAATCTCTTTACTGTCTCCATAGTTTTGCCTCATCCGGAATGTCATGTAGTTGGAATCATACAGTATGTAGGCTTTTAAGATTGACTTTTTTCACTTAGCAATACGCATTTAAGCTTCTCTATGTTTTTTTGTGGCTTGGTGGTTCATTTCTTTTTAGCTCATTTCCTTTTTTTTTTTCCGAGACAATCTCACTCTGTCGCCCAGGCTGGAGTGCAGTGGTGCGATCCTGGCTGACGGCAAGCTCCGCCTCCCGGGTTCATGCCATTCTCCTGCCTCAGCCTCCCAAGTAACTGGGACTACAGGCGCCCGCCACCATACCTGGCTAGTTTTTTGTATTTTTAGTAGAGACGGGGTTTCACCATGTTAGCCAGGCTGGTCTCGATATCCTGACCTCGCAATCCACCCCTAGCTCATTTCTTTTTATCGTTGAATAATATTCCATTTATTCATTCACCTATTGAAATACATTTTGGTTACTTCCAAGATTTACTTCCAGCAATTATTAATAAAGCCGTCATAAACATTTTATGTGTTTTTATTACCATTTGGTAAAATACCATTCTTAAGAAATGACAGCCAGTTATGAACTTCTTTCATTTAGATCTATGAACATTTGCAAAGGATTTTTTCTATTCTGACAGCCACCAAAACCTAGTACAAAAACAAATTTAGACTCTCAGATGTTTAATTTTGAAATATTTTTCAAGTTTCAAAAATAATAAAGCAGAGTACCCCCGCTAAAAATGTCAGTAGTAAGTATAAAACCTGGAACTGTTTCTAAAGTTTATTTATATTTATTATATTGTTAAAATTGTATTTTTATATACATTTATAAAATGTATAAAATTGTATTTTTATGTATGTTTATAAAATGTACATAACATTGATACAGGTAATGTGTATACTTTATATATAAATGAATACATACTTTTATATAAATTGTTGAGTGCATTCTCAAACAATTTTTCTTTTACTGTTAGGTGTGCACAATCAAGAAAACATATAGGCCAGCCACAGTGGTGCCCAGCATTTTGAAAGACCAAGTGGGAGGATCACTTGAGGCCAGGAATTCAAAATCAGCCCTGGCAACATAGCAAGAACCCATCTCTACGAAACCATTTAAAAATAGCTGGGTATGGTGATGTGGGCCTGTAGTTCCAGCTATTGGGGAGACTGAGGTGGGAGGATCCCTTGAGCCCAGGAGTTCGAGGTTGCCGTAATCTATGATCGTATCACTGCACACTCCAGCCTGGGGGACAGAGGGAGTCCCTGTCTTGAAAAACAAACAAAAAACCACACATATATTTTAACTGAGTTTTCTATTACTTGTAGCCAAAATATCCTTCTTTAGTGCTTTACTTAGAAATGGCTTTCACATACACTTTTAAAAAATAATAGACTGTTTTTGATAATAGTTTTAGGTTTATAGGAAATTGAACAGAAAATATAGTTTCCATATACACTTCCCACCCAACCCCCATTTTCCTTTATTATTAATGTTTTGCATTAGTGTGGCACATTTGTTACAACTGATGAACCAGTATGAACTAAAACCTGAAATTTATTAGAATTAGAATTTACTCTTGTACATTCACGGGTTTTGACAAATGTGTCCACCCACCCTTACAGTACATCCTTACAGCACAGTTTCACTGCCTAAAAATCCTCTCTGCTCCATCTACTCATTTTACCCTCCCTTCAACCCCTGGCCATCACTAATCTTTTTGCTGTCTCCGTAGTTTTGCGTCTTCCAGAATGTCATATAGTTGGAATCATACAGTATGTAGCACTATAAGACTGTTCACTTAGCAATATGCATTGAAGTTTCTCCACGTCTTTTCATGGCTTGATAGTTCATTTCTTTTTATCATTGAACAATATTCCATTTATTCATTCACCTATTGAAAGACATCTTGGTTACTTCCAAGTTTTGGCAATTATTAATAAAGCTGCTATAAACATTTGTAAGCAGGTTTGTGTTTTCAACTCATTTGGGTTGAAATATTTTCTCTCAGTTTGAGGCTCATCTGTCATTCTCTTAACAGTGTCTTTCACAGAGCAAAACTTTTTAAGTTGAATGTGTTGGGAAAAAGCTGAATGTTGGGAGGGAAACTGAGGCAGGGCCTGCCTAATGTCCTCTGGAATGTGTCTCGACTTGCTGGCTCCTTGCTTCTAGCCCTCCTAGGCTCCTAGTCTCCTATTCCCATTATCTCAAGTAGCAGAACATGTTCCATATAAATGTTGAACCATCACAGCTGTAAATCATGTGCTTAATGCAATGTGCCCTTTTGACCTCCAAATTCTCACCACCTGTTTCTTTCTTGGATTACCAATAAATAGCGTGGGCTCCCAGAGCTTGGGGCCTTCGCAGCCTCTGTAAACTAGATGGTGTCCCACCTGTCTCTCTCGAACTGTCTTTTTCTCCATCCTTTGGCTCCGCCGGACTTTGTCACCCCCACGACCTGGTGTTGGGTCTGATCACCCCAACAGAATGAAGTTTCTCTTGCCAATATTTTCCTTCATTGATCATCCTTTGGTGTTGTATCTAAAAAGTCATCCCCAAAGCAGAGATCATCTAGATTTTACCTGTGATATCTCCTAGGGGTCTTATAGTTTTATATTTTACAGGTAAGCCTATGATCCATTTTGAGTCAATTTTTGTGAAAGATATAAGGCCTATGTCAGGATTCATATTTTTACATGTTGATGTACATGTGTTCCAGCACTATTTGTTAAGAAACAACTATCCTTTCTCCATTGAATTGCCTTTGCTCCTTTGCCAAAGATCAGTTAACTGTATTTGTATGGGTTTATTTCTGACCTCTCTCTTGTGTTCTATTGATCTATTTGCCTCTTCTTTTGCCAATACCACACTGTCTTGATAACTGTAGTTTTATAGTATGTCTTGAAGCTGGGTACTTTCAGTCCTCCAAGTTTGTTTCTCAATATTGTATTGGCTATTCTGTGAGGGTTTTGTTGTTGTTGTTGTTGTTTGTTTTGCCTTCCCCTATAAACTTTAATTGTCATTTTTATTTTTATTTATTTTTTTGACGGAATCTTGCTGTCTCACCCAAACTGGAGTGCAGTGGTGCAGTGGTGCGATCTCAGCTCACTGCAACCTCCTCCTCCCAGGTTCAAGCAGTTCTCCTGCCTCAGCCTCTGAGTAGCTGGGATTACAGGCACCTGTGACCTCGTCTGGCTAATTTTTGTATTTTTAGTAGAGATAGGGTTTTGCCATGTTGGCCAGGCTGATCTTGAACTCCTGACCTCAGGTGGTCCACCCACCTTGGCCTCCCAAACTGCTGGGATTACAGGCGTGAGCCACCACACATGGCCCCTATAAACTTTAGAATCAAGTTATAGATAACACGTATGCACTCTTTGAAATTCACAACTCTGACACAGTGGTATGGCAAAGGTCATTTAATTTACCCATTCAGGGTGAGCTGAGGCCCAAGGCAGTTAAGAACTTGTCCAATGTCATAAACAGACTCAAATTCAGGTCTCCACTGCCAAACCCCCAGCATTTTTCTCTCTACTGTATCTCCAGACAGAACAATGAAACATGTCCATGTACTGGCTCCAGCTGATTGCCTCATATACCTGGCCTGGATGCAAAACAGAACCCAGTATTTATCAGAAACACAGATCTACTGCACAGCAACCTGCCTGTAAAGCTACCAACAGTTCAGAGTGACTGGGAAACTGACAGCTTGTGGTGTTAAGAGGGCAGGGAATGAGGAAGTTGGCACCTCCACATGCCAGAAATGAGAGCGGTCAAGCTGTTAGGATGTGGCTCCCTGAACTGTCCTTCAAAAACCAAATGGCTCACTGGAACTATCATTAAGATACTAAGATACCAAGTAAATTATCTGTGCTAAAATACAGCTATTTCACAAGTACATCTCTAAAGCTGAGTGGGAAATTAGTCTCTTGTATCATGTATGACATGTGACACTTCTTCCCAAACTGACATCTAAAAAAATCTATTTTTCTATATATTTTTTTCTTGTTAGAGAAATAATACCAGTTTTAGGAAAAAAATTTAAAAATGCAGAAAACTATAAGAATAAAACCAAAATCATTTATTTGTATCACACTAAGGTAACCACCATTACAAATTTAGTGTTTTCCTTTTAGTTTTTGTTCTATGTTTATACCTAGTATCTGAGGATTGTTCTTTTTAATTAATTTTAATTAATTATTTCACTTGGCCCACTGTATTGGGATGTGTGTATGTCTGAATTTCTTGTTACAGTATCATAGGCATTTCCTATGACATTGCATATTTTCATGATGACTTTCAATGGTTGCATTATATTCTATCATATGGCTCAATAATTATTCATTTAATTATGTTAGAAAATTTGCTACTCAAAGCACAGTCTTGTACATGTCTTCATTTATATCTCTGATCTCAAAATTGTCCTTAAGTAAGGACAAGGATGCTTTTTGTCTTAGGAGGCAGCTCTCTTCAAAGATTTTGTTGTCAGTTTTGTCAAAATGTGTGTGTTTTTAACACATTAATGCCATATTTTTCCCACTGTCTTCACATCTGAAAACAATGTAAGACGCTTAACTTGTCTCTTTTCCATCAGTTTGTTTGTTTTTACCCTTCTGGTAGCTCTCAGCCAGATACAAATGTCTTTTTTTAAAGTTAAGATAGAGATGTGGGACAGTGACCTTTAAAATGGAGATCCTCAAATGAAAACTAAACCAAGTAACTGTCAAAAAAACAAAAAACAAAAAACAAAAAAAAACCCATACAGACTTGTCATTAATAAGGACCTGCCAGACAGAGCTTGCCAATGGTTTCAATGCTTCTGTGCATAAGAATTACTGAGATGGCCTGAAAAACTTTTTCTTCCAATTTCAATGAGTTGAATTTTCTCACTTTTGAAATGTGCAAATATAAACATAATAAAATGATAATGAAATGGGAAAAAATCCAACTTATTTTTCTCTTCTTCCCTCTTCTGAGAATATATAAGGCTGATGGCTGAACTCTTTCTTTTGCCATCTTAATTACCTTTTTCTGTCCAGTTTATCAAATCTGTGCAGTCATTTGCATTGAGTGATTGAAATCATCTAAGGCACTACACTAACTATATTTTTAAAGCAATGTTTAAACTGTATATATAAAGTGTCTTAAGGTGGAGTGGGTAATTGATTGACTACTGGTATAATTTTAGAGTCACCAAAGAGCACATCAACCTTAATATACTTTCCCACAACCCCAGTCACTTCCATATTATGTGACCTTTATTACAAGAAAGGAATACTATAGGCTAAAATTTCTTGTAGATACATGCAAAAATGCTCAGCAAAATATTAACAAATGAAGCCAGCAACATACATAAAGAATGACAAAATGGAGTGTATTCTAGGAATACAATAATAGTTTAGCATTTGAAATCAAAAAGTGTAATTCATTATATTAACAGAATAAAGAAGCAGTGCAATATGAACATCTCAGTAGTTGAAGGAAAAGCAATTAGCAAAATTCAATATCCACTTATGATAAAAAAAATCAGCAAACTGGAAATAGAAGGAAACTTCCTCAATCTGATGAAAGGCATCTATTAAAAAATCTATAGTTAACATTAAATTAGCTAAACTCTGAACATTCTCCCACTAAGATTGGGAATAGGGAAAGATGTCTGTTCTCATCATTTCTACTTAACATTATGCCAAAAGTCCTAACCAGTGCAAGAAGGCAAGAAGAAAGAAAGGACATAAAGATTGGAAAAGAAGAAGTAAAACATTATTTGAAGACCATATTATTTTTTATGTAGAAAGTTCTAAGAAATTGAAACAAAAATTAATAGAACTAAAACATAAGTTTAGCAAGATCTCAGGATATGAGGTCAACATGCAAAAATCAATTGTACAGTATTTCTATATACTAACAGCAAGCAATCGGAAACATTTTTATCCATTTGTAATAGTGTCAAAAATAAAATGCTCAGGAATAAATTTGACAAAAGACATGCAAAATATGTTGAAAACTACAAAACATGGGCTGGGTGTGGTGGCTCACACCTGTAATCCCAGCACTTTGGGAGGCTGAGGCAGGAGGATCGTTTGAACTCAGGAGTTGTAGACCAGCCTGGGCAACATGGTGAAACCCTGTGTCTTGCAAACATACAAAAAAAAAATCAGCCAGGCATGGTGGTGTGCACCTGTGGTCCCAGCTACTAGGGAGGCTGAGTTGGGAGGACCACTTGAGTCTGGGAGGTGGAGGTTACAGTGAGCTGAGATCACACCACTGCACCCCAGCCTGGGTGACAGGGTGAGACCCTGACAAAAAAAAAAAAAAGAAAAAACATTACTGAGTAAACATTTAAAAGACCTAAATAAATGCAGAGATATACCATTTTCATGGAACAGAAGGCTCAATATTGCTAAGATGTCAGTTCTTCCCCTGTTGATTTATGGAGCCAATGCAACCCCAGTGATAATACCTGTATCTATAAGGTATACCTCACACCTGTATAAGTATAGGTCAATTGATTTTTTTTTTTTTTTTAGATGGAGTCTTGCTCTGTTCCCCAGGCTGGAGTGCAGTGGTGCAATCTTGGCTCACTGCAACCTCCACCTCCTGTGTTCAAGAGATTCTCCCACCTCAGCCTCCCAGTAGCTGGGATTACAGGCATGTGCCACCACGCCCAGCTAATTTTCTGTATTGGTCAATTGATTTTAAACAAAGATGCCCAATAAATTCAATGAAAAAAGGGAAGTTTGTTCAACAAATGATGCTGGAACAATTGAACACACACATACAAATATATATTTGAGTATGTGAACATATATGTGTGTGTATATAAATATATATATATGTAAAGATAAAGCTTGGCCCCATCTTATACCCTACCTACAAAAAAATTAATTTGAGGTAAGTTATATACCCTAATATAAGAGCTAAAATGATTACACTTTTAGTAGAAAACAGAGTAATATTATAAGCTAAAAAAATCCTAAGCTCCCTAACTGAACAGACCCCCTCTTAGCCAAGGGGACTCCAGTGAAACCCACAAATCTGAGTTCTTTGTTATGATGAGAAGCGAAGTCAGTCACGCCTCATCATGGAGCGTAGGCACAAGTGACCAACATTAATGTTAAAATAGAAGTCATAAGACTGACAAAACAGGCTTTTTGTGGTAATAGAATACCAAATTACAAAAAAACCTAAGTCTATGCAAGGCCAGGGTTAAGTCACACACCATAAAATCCCGTTAATGTGTCTCTGTGTGTGTGTGTGTGTGTGTGTGTGTGTGTGTCTGTTTTAAGTAACCTGGTATAATGTGGCTTACCTTCCAACCAGACTCTAGTGTAGCATCACATGACAGATAGCAGACTGTGTATCTTAAGCTTTTTTTTTTTCTACTGACTTCAAGTATTTAGATAAAGCTTCACTGCTTCAAACCAATTGCTAACTAAAGAACACCTAAAACCCACCTATGACTTTAAGCCCCTACTTTGAGATGTCCCACCTTTTCAGGCCAAACCAATATATACATTCCATTGATTTATGATTTTACCTGCAATTTCTGTCTCCCTGAAATATATAAAGCCAAACTATAACCCGATTGCCTTGGGCTCACTTTTTCAGGACCTCTTGAGACTGTGTATCCCTGAGCTGCAGTCACTCATATTGGCTCAGAACAAACCCTCTTTAAAACGTTTTATAGAGTTTAAACTATATTCTGTTAATATCTTGTGAGATTATAAAAATACATATATATGGCCTCTGCCCTGGTTTCCTGGCACACCTCTCTGAAAACACTTGGAATCTCCAAAGTGAAGTTTTTTCAAGATATGCTAATAAAATGACTGATGGGTGGGGACTCCTGAAGAGATGGGGACTGATTGCCAGAGGAACCAATCACGTGATTAGGGGTTGGAACTTTCAGCACCACCCCCAGTCTCCAGGATGGAGGGGCTGAAGATTGAGTTAATCACCAATGGCCAATAATTTAATCAATCGTGTCTCTGTAGTGAAGTCATTATAAAACCCTAAAGGACAGGGTTCAGACAGCTTCTAGGTTGCTGAATACATGCAGGGAGGGTGGTGTACCACAACTCCTGGAGGAAAGAAAAAGCTGAAGAAAAAAGTTTTTAAAAATGGCATCCCAAGGTGGCTGCAGGCAGGATATACAGTTAATAACTGTGAACAATTAATATAAACTAGGCCTATGAACAAAAGCTGAAATCTCAGCCTGCAAGCCTAGAATATGTCAAATATTCCACTGACCTGTGTTGATGACAACCTTGCCTATAGATGAAGAATAAAGGCAAGATAAAATCAATCATCCCTCCCCAGACCCCGAGATGCCTACATACATGTTAATCTTTTACTCTATATACCTGAACCACATATTTGCTTTATCTTATTTATAACAACACTGAGCACCATTTAGAGTTGTAAGAATGTCACCTTTCCTTCTCGGCCACCTTCTCATTTTCTGTGAAAGAGAATGTATAAGTACTGTGCTTCGGGTAGTCCACTCCAGGACACATTCTTGGTTTGCCCTGAGACTCTGTTTCCAGGGTACAGTTAAGAAATTCTGACATTCTGGGATGGGCCATTTGGAGGTGTATTTGCATAAGGACCAATGTAAACTTGGGAGAAGTTATCTAGAGGACTTTTAGACAAATGGTCAGATCTTAAGGCTCCTCAATTAGGACTCTCAACCAAAAGGAAGATCATTGTCCACCTCTAGGAGAGCCCAAGATAGCAAAGAACTTACCCAGAGGTAAGAAGGCCCCAGGACACTGGTTGATTGGAGGGGGAGAAAGATGCTTTTGAATGTGACACTGTGTTGGTCCTTATAGACGTCCTCTGATCAGATCAAATGGAGTTGGTCTTAAGTTTCCTGATGGAGGGAGCTATAAAAAAATGAGAAAACAAAATCACATGTTAGTGAATCCTCGTAAGTGACAGCAACACTGCTGAGAGAGCCCTTCCCCATCTCAGGAGGTGTGATACTGACAAGGTGAAGCTCCAATGGCAATACCAAGGTCAATCCATGAGGCAGGCATAGTAACATTTTTAGGAAACTGAGCAAGCCAATAAGTTGCATTCTTTTCTTCCAACAAATTCCTGAATGAATTGAAAAAGAAGATACAGGGATGAGGTGGATGAAGAGGAAATGATTATTTTTATTACTATTGAAGTTGATGTAGAAGAATGTGAGTTTTATCTGGAGGCAGATGGAATTCCCAAGGCTAAACTCCAGAACTAGACAGACTTACCTACTCAGCCACAGGTAGTTCCAGACCCAAACCAGTTTTTATTATTCAATTTCCCCGGTTATCCTTGCATTGCTATGGTCTGAGAAAGCAAGAATTGTACCTTTTTTATTTTTTAATTATGGAAAGTATAACACATTACAAGAGTATAATAAACCTCAACGTAACTGTGAACCAAAAGGTTAAATAACGGGGCCTCCAAATAACCCACCCTAGAAGGTCAGAATTTCTTAACTGACTCTGCAGATGAGGCTTTCTCCTGTCGGAGTTGTAGATTTATAAGAAATGGATCTCTGAGGATCTCTCCTCAGCCAGAAGACTAGGTCAGAGAGGTTGGGTGACTATCAAGGATTCCCAACTAGGAAATAGCATAGGTTAAGTAGAATTGAGATACTCTAATTCCCAATCCAGAATTAAAAGTCTTATCTATAAAGATACGCTCTTAAGGAATTTTTTGTTTGAATGAAAGGAAAGAAACCCAATGCAAACTAGTTTAAACTCAAAATGGAATTTATTGGAAGGAGACTGAGGTAGTTCACAGAATCAGAAAAAATACTAGAAACAAGGATACACTGAAAATTTCAGGGAATAGAAGTGTGGACACAAATACCGTTAATACTCTGTCTCTCTTCTCATCTTTTTCTTTTCTTATAGATAGTTCCTCAGAAATTTCATACCAATAATAAAGTCCTTGGGATTACAGATGTGTTTTAAAACCAAATTAGCGCAAATTATGGTTATTCTTATAAATGCATTAGAATTATATTTATATTGAAGTGCACAGAATGTTTTTTCCTCTTTTGTCCTGGTATTACATTTAGAAAATTTACTATTAAAAAATTTTAAAAGGCGATACCTTGATACTTCATTGTTCATCTTTCCTGGGACAAGTTATCACACTTATCTCAGTCTGCCTTAACATTGGCTTATTTCAGTATCAGACTCCTCCACTAGATAGTCTCCTTTCCAGCTTTAGGTTTGCCACTCCCCTTGAGTATCACTGCATTTCATTTGCACCCTCACCAGTCAGGAAGATTAAGTTAAAATTCACTTTCTGTTGTTTATATTACAAAAACAATAAGTATTTTTTCACACACATCCTGTCCCACCAACCTACCACTCTTTGGTGTGTGGGATGTTAGGAAAGGCAGTCATGGGCAGTTCGTTGGACCCTTGCAAGCTGTGTAAGAATGTACATTGGGCCTGGCACACTTCCTTTCATGCTGATAAGGACCCTTTATGGCCTGTGCTGGGCTTATTGTCTTCTTTGGGAGGATTTCTCCCTATTCCGGGCTTGATGTGTACTTCAGTGTTCTGCTTAAAGTATATGGGTTATATGGCCCCTGGCCAACCACACTGCTATGGAGGAAACGGGTCCTTTACTTGCAGCACAAGAAGGGTGCATGCAGACCATCTCCCTGCGTCATCTGCAAGGTGAGACCTGCTGGCCATGGGGGACCCATGCTTACTATTAAGCCTGATCTTGTCTCTTCGCTATGTGAGTAAAGCCTTGTTCCCTCCAGTGCCTGTGACTTGATTCTTTGAGTCTTTCCCGGTGATCCCGATGCCTGCAAACCATGCAATGGGTTGACATCTGGGGCCTCTTCCTCCTGGTGGCAGGCATTGTTATGCTCTTTCCTATCCTCCCCACAGTGGGACTTTCCTAGAAAGAGTGACAGGGGTCACTTGCTCAGCAGAGGGGGATGTTGGGAGCATGTGGGATATGCCCTTCCTGCATATCACTTGAGAAACACTATCTGTAGAACATACTTATTTTAATTCCTTGCCATTCCTACCTTTTCATAGATGCCCAATACATGGTACTTGAAGTACATTGGCCTGTAATAAATACCACCTCAAAGATCCCGCTGGGCAACTCGGAGAGCCGCAGCCCCACTCCTAGAGCCATTTCTGCGGCATCTTCTCTGTGGAAGAGGAGGATGCTCCTTCACCTCAGCCCTGACCCCCCAGGGACAAAGGTGGCTTGCCTGAGGCAACCAGCCCACAATCTGATTACCGCAGCTTCCCCTGGAGATGGAGTCACTGACCCAAAAAGAACAAGGGCTGAGGTTCCCAAACCCTCACCTCAACTGCAGGTCTGATCTAGTAGCACATCCAGACATTTAGCTGGGCTAAGTATCTGTAGTTAAGACTGTAACAAAATCGATCAATGACCTGCAGTCCTTCCTTGCTTGTCCAGTAGATTAAAATGAGGTGGGGTGAAAACATATGATGGTATCAGGGAGCTGGCATTATTGGTAGTTCCAGACTGTCCTGTACTTGACATGCAAATGAAGAGGGAAGACGAATGCCTTAGGTTTTGTTCTATACACACAGCTATGGTTATGGCCATAAAGCCCTTGCTTTCTAACTCAAAGCTGTCTCCTTGTTCCTACAACAAATGCATGACTTACTCACTGAAACAAATCACAGAGTCCGTATATAAATGCATCGCTAGAGATTTCGACAAGAAGAAGACCCAAAAAAAGACTGTTTTTCCCTGCTCAGTGAAGATGTCAGTCAGCGCCCAAGCATTCCGGGAATGTGACGGAAATTGCATATACAGAAAAGTATGCTGTTAGTGTATTAGTAAGGGTGACCTATTCTTTTAGGCTATTCAGAGAAATAACTGTCATTTGCAGTGATTTTAGTCAACTGTTCTCTCTATCATTTTGTGTAATTAGGGACAGCCATTTTCTCAAGGGTAGCAAAACATGCAGAGATTCAGTTTTCCCCCCGCCCTGTAGAACAGCTCCATTTCTGTAAGCCTCAGAACGTTAATGGTCTTTGAGCAAAACAAGTCACTGAGGCAGCCGTGGCATCAACATGGAACATGAGGGTAACCAGGCAGAGAGGCACAGCTGACATGTGTAATCAGCTCCGTGGGCAGAGGAGGGATGAGTGACGGAGCTGTTTGCGGAATGTCCTACCTGTCCATCACTGGTGCCAAAATGCCCTCTTGGATATTCGGCCTCTTATTTTTCTCTCTGGAGATCAGAGCCCCTAAGGACATCAAAGCTTTATGTATTTTAACATGTCAGAGGAGAAAGTGATAAAATTTTCCTGCCACACAGGGTAAAGGGAATTTAAATATGTAATTGTTTTCAGAAGTTGCTTTGTTCTAGCACTACCCTTTTATCTACTGCTCTGAGAAATGACTTCATTTAGCCAAACTCTTCCCCTCCTGCCTCTACCACAGGCTTTTTCAAAGCATAAGCCACATGGCTTCGCTTCATTAGCGTCTTTGTTTGTATACCAGCATCATTGATGATATCAGTTATAGTTCTGGGAGTATGGTTTGTTCATACATTAACCATCATTAGGAACAAATAGCAAACAGCTTTTCTCAGGAGCAAAGCCCATTCCCTGAGCTGACACTTAGAGCCTAAGAAATGAAGCTCCATCTAGGTACTGTTTATGCCTGATTCTTAAGCTTTGTTTTACATTAGCTCTGGTGTAGTCTCCTGAGTTTAGACAACTAACCCCCTATGCCAGTGTAGAAAGAGCTGCTGTTGTTGTTTTATGAGATTCACAAACAGTGTCCTTGTCACTGACAGCACCTAGAAGTCCCAGAGTCTTCGTTTTTTATGCTTTTTAGCTGTTTCAGGTTGTCATTAAGTCATGGATGATCTTACCTGTGGCATCCAGAGACTAAGTGAAGTCTTGGCTCTCAACACTTCAATTTACACAGCTAAATACTTTAAAAAAGAAGAACATATATATTAAGAAACAATCCTTTGATTGTAGATTTGGTATCTAATAAGTGATAGGGTTTGGCAATAAAAATCAAACAATTGTATTACTAGCATTGGAAGAATATGATTAAGAACTCTTCCAGGCTGGGCATGGTGGCTCACGCCTGCAATCCCAGCACTTTGGGAGGCCAAGGTGTGTGGATCACCTGAGGTTAGGAGTTCGAGACCAGGCTGACCAACATGGTGAGACCCCCCCCGCCCCCCCCGCCACCCCACCGTCTCTACTAAAAATACAAAATTAGCCAGGCGTGGTGGCAGATGCCTGTAATCTCAGCTACTCAGGAGGCTTAGGCAGGAGAATCCCTTGAAACCGGGAGGCAGAGGTTGCAGTGAGCCGAGATGGTGCCATTGCACTCCAACCTCAGTGACAAGAGCTAAACTCCGTCTCAAAAAAATAAAAAAAAGAACACTTCCAATAGGAGTTACTTTCTCCAGTGCATTTCCTGTGACTTGATTTATCTGAGTGGTGAAAGACCTACTTCTGAAGAGTGGTAGATGATAGATACGGTGTAACTGAATCAAATCCTTCAGCTGATGCATTTTCCCAGTCATCTAAAATCCACAGTGCAAAGCAATCCATTGATTACTAAATTTTCAATACTTTTTACAACTAACTCTCATATTCGCTTTATGTTTGATTGATTTCTTGGGCCAAGGCTATTAATGAAACAAAAACGAGTCTAAAACAGTAGATTCCTTGAAACACACACAGACATGGCCAAAAACCTTGCTTCCTCTCTTTCCAGCATAACTTGATTATCTGTAAATGGTGACAGACACTTTATCTGTGATCTGAACTGTCCTATTATTAAGTGACCAAAAAGATTAGCCATATGTTTTTAGTCTGATGCCTCAGGTCAAATGTATTGTGGACAAAAGAGATAGGAACAAACCTTCCCTGTGCTAACAGACCATATCTGCTTGAATTCTTCCTTACCTGTGATGCAGGCAGAAAATTTCTGTACTGTGGCTGACAGTCTGCGGGTCAATGTGAGAGGGGGTCCTTAGGGAGGATGTTCCATGCCCCAGGGAGAAGCCTAGGACTGTGTAGAATTCTCTCTGCAGTTTACGTGTTGCTGGAATACCCCTGCTCCCCAAGGAGAAGCTGGTAGTTGGCAACGAGCAATGTTTGTGTACTTAGCCACAATGTCACAGACTTAACCTGTGGCAGGTATGATGTCTGCCAAAAACAGACAGGTCTGTCCTTGCAAAGCTTGATATTCTGAGGTTATATGACTCACTTTAGATATAATTTTGCAATTCAGCTAAGCTACCATGGATAATGAATGGTATAAACCAGGGGTTTAGCAAACTTTTTCTGTCAGCTCTGTGGGACATATAGTTTTTGTTGCAACTGCTCAGTTCTCTTATTATAGCACAGAAGCGCCTATCCACAATATGTAAAAGAATGAACACGGCTGTGTTGCAATTGATTTCATTTTGAGACAGGGTGCGACTCTGTCTCCCAGGCTGGAGTGCAGTGGTGCATTCTTGGCTCCCTGCAACTTCTGGCTCCCAAGCTCAAGCGATCCTCCCACCTCAGCCTCCCCAGTAGCTGGGACTACAGGTGTGCGCCACTATGCTCAGCTAATTTTTTTGTATTTTTTGTAGAGACAGAGTTTTGCCATGTTGCTTAGGCTGGTCTCCAACTCCTGAGCTCAAGCGATTCCCCCACCTCAGCCTCACAGAGTTTTGGGATTACAGGTGTAAGCCACCATGCCCGGCCACAATTAATTTTATTTACAAAAGCAGGCAGTGGGCTGGATTTGGCCTGTGGCCCATAGTCTGCCAACCCTTGCTCTAGAGAAGTTGCCTTCAATTCTTTTGATTTTGCATGCTATCAGTTTAAATAAAACAAAACACTCACATACATACAAACCCACAATGCCTTAAATATGAACCCCCAATACTGTATACTGTATATTTTTATTTATGTATAAATTATATACAAGTACGAATGTGCTAATATATTGTCTTCATAATAAAACATTTAAGAAAATTTTTTAAAATGAGATATAGATGCATAATGCTTTTGAATGTAAATTTAATTGTGACGACTTCATACTATCATTTCCTAAGAGCTGAAAGTACAATATATACTGAGGGCTAGGTTCACAGTTTATGTCAGAAGATTTAAATCCATAATTCCAATAGTTTTCTTGGTAATTGAAAAAAATTTGGCTAACTTTCTATTAGATCTAAATAGGTCCTTGTTTTTGTCTTGTGAAGTCACTGGCAAAAAACTGAAACCATTTTTTATTATAACAACATATTATTTGCTCTACACTAGAGACTGCCCTAAGAGTTTCAAAAATATTAGCTTATTTAATTATCATAACAGCCCTGTGTGATGGGTACTATTAGTAACCCCTTTTTAAACATTTGAAACCCGTAGCACACAGAGGTTAGGTAACTTGCCTGAAGTCACAGCTGCTAGGTGGCTGGCTCCAGAATCCTTGCTCTTATCTACTGAATTAAGCTGCCCAAGCAGGCATAGGGGAAGCATTAGCTCTTCCACTTTCTTGCCCTCCCTTACACTTTCACTATTAGAATTCAACTTCGGTCCACACTTTCAGGAATATCACTTGTCTATTTGGTGTATGGTGACTTTAAGTCAAACTGGATAATGTAGTCCAAAAATCCACTTAACCAGGCACATGTAAACCGCAATGTACATTGCAATATAATGAATGGAAGTGAATGAATGAGGGCTCCACTGTCAAACCCTCAACCTTATGGAATTCCCTCTTCCCCTTTAGGAAAACCAGAGAAACGTGTCCATCTGATAGATGGACTAACTGAGGGTGCCAGGGTCAATTTGAATATTAAAAATTATTTAGCCTTAAATTTTTCTTATATTTTTGAAATATAGAAATCCTAACATATTCTTTGAATCCCCTGGTCATCTTGGGTACCTCTTGAGATATTCCATCCACAATCATCTACAGGAGTGATCTTATGTCCCAATTATATTATACTGTGTCCCCAATAAAATGTTGACCTTGTGTACAGTAATAAACATAATAAAGACTAATCTACACCATGATTAGCATTACATTCAAATAATTGCAATGGTACAGTCAGATGTCATTGCACTAATCTTCAGCTATTATTAATCATTTTGTTAACTTAAAACCCTGCTCCTCTCTTCTGGACTTAGAAAATAATCTGCAAAGGGACTTGAGCACTGGGCAGCAGCTTGTTGTGAAATATCTCACCCAGCAGTATTCCTTCTACTTCCAATTTCTCAGTCTGTGGACTGGTGCTTAACACTCTCGACTGGTTCTCACACTTACCTGCATACCACAATCACCTGGAGGGCTTGTTATAACACAGATTACCCTGGACTGGAGTTTCTCATTGGGTAGATCTGGAATGGGCACCAAGAATTTGCATATCTAACGCGTTCACAGGTGATGGTGATGCTGCTGCTCCAGGTGCCACACTTTGAGAATCACTGCTCTAGATAACTATCTGGTCCAGCTCTCCCCAGGAAGGAGAAATTGGCTTTCAGTTGTCTATGTAAGTTTTCTATTCCAATAACCTTGTTTTCAGCCATCAATCTTGATCTCACATCAACCGCATATCCCAGGTGAACCACTTAGAGCTATTCCTGCTGTCAGCCCGTATTCCACGCCAATTCCGGCTCAGCCCTTGCTCAGCAACAACCCACTACCAGGCCTATCCTCAGCAGTAATTCCTGGCCTGTGGTGGAGCAGAAGCTGGCATAATCATGAGAAGAACTGTACAAGGTTGTATGCTTTTCCTTCTTTGCACTCTCTATTCTTATTCCGTTCAGTTTCATATGGTCACACCCATGTTTCAACTATCACCTCAAGGTACGACTCCTAAACTGTACATGTACAGCTCTTACCTCTCTCCTGAGCCCCAGACCTACACATCTCAGTTTCCCACTGGACATCTCTACATTGATGGGCCCTAAGCATCTGAAACTCAATATTATGGGTTGAACTGAGTTTCCCAAAAAGATATGTTGAAGCCCTAACCCCCACTACCTATGAATGTGTCCTTATTTGGAAATAGAGTTGTTGCAGATACAATTTACTTAAGATGAGGTCATACTGGAGTAGGGTGGGCCCTTAATCTAATCTGACTAGTGTCCTTATAAAAGAAGAGACACAGACATGTGGAGAAGAGGTCATGTGATGACAGAGGCGAAGATTGGAGTAATACGCTGGGCACGGTGGCTCACACCTGTAATCCTAGCATTTTGGGAGGCTGAGGCAGGCGGATCATGAGGTCAGGAGTTCAAGACCAGCCTGGCCAACATGGTGAAACCCCGTCTCTACTAAAGATACAAAAAATTAGCCGGGCACAGTGGCACATGCCTGTAATCCCAGCTACTGGGCAGGCTGAGGCAGGAGAATCGCTTGAACCTGGCAGGCAGAGGTTGCAATGAGCCAAGATTGTGCCACTGCACTCCAGCCTGGTGACAGAACGAGATTCCATCTAAAAAAAAAAAAAAATGGAGTAATAAAGCTAGAAGCCCAGGAACACCAAGGACTGCCAGCAAACAGCAGAAGGTAGAAGAGGCGAGGAAAGATTCTCCCCTACAGGTCTCAGAGGGAGTACAGCCCTGCTGCCTTTTTGATTTTAGACTTTAGCTTCCAGGACTACCAGACAATAAGTGTTGGTGGTTTTAATCTACCTAGTTTGTGTGATTTGTTATAGCATCCCTAGGAAATGAATATACTCATCATGTCCAAAACCGAACAGAACAACACCTTTCCTCACCAATAACCCTAACTTGTTTTTCTCCAAAGTTCTTTTTTCAAATAATAGCAACACAGTCTACAGTCCTCTCAACTATATAAACTAGAAACTTAGATTCATTTTATACTTTTTTTTACACTTCACATCTTATAAGCCACTAAATTTTGTTACCTCTATTCCCTATCCAACTTTCTCTTTAACATTGCAACAATTTCCAAGGCACCTCTTTCTTTTTTTCCTTCCTTGTATTTCCAGTAAATTCTTAGTATCTCCTACAGTATTCTATTTACAAGATTAAAATACTTACAGTAATAATAGCTACCCTTTTCTGAGAGTTTACTTTGTGCCTGGAGATGTGCTAAGCTCTTTCACAGATATTTGATCTTCACAATTTGAGGCGGTAACTACAATTATTATCTTCATTTTATGGATTAAAAAACTGGTGCCCACGTTCACAAAGCTATCAAATGTCAGAGTTGGGATTTGAAGTCTTACTCACTCTGTTATACTGTTTGTGGTACATCATGTCACCTCCACAAAGTACAAAGTACTGGCATGGCACTCAGGCCAAGCCTAAGCTATGTTTCCAGCCTGTTACCCTACACATTCCTCTACAACCCTCAGCTCCAGGCACATGAGACTGCCCATCAGTCCCTGAACATGTGATTCACTTTCGTGCCTTTATGGCTTAGGTTGTACGGTTCCCGCAATCTAGAAAGCCAACAAGTTTTCATTGCCTAAAAACCTTCAGATACTTCAGTGCCAAGCTTACCTATTATCTCTTTCACCAACACCCCAAATTAGAATTACCCGTTCCTTCCTCAGGGTTGCCTACTTAGAACTTAGGCCATTCCACCTTGCTTTATAGCTAGTCGTTTGCATGTTTATTTCTCCTACTGTCTTGCTGGCTTCTTAATTCAAGGGCTATGTCATTTAATTTTGTCATTTAGTTTCTTTCCGTCTTTTATAACAGTGCCTCAATCAATGTTTGTTGATTTGAATTGCTAATAACAGCAATAGTAATTACGATAATAATGTCAGCAAGCCTGTGCTAGGCATTCATACTCAACAATTTCAGTAAGATTTGAAAAATAAAGTTTTTTTTTTATTTAGAAACGTTGTATCAGTTTTTCTTTGTCCACAACTGAAAAGAAATTTCTTGATCTATTTACCTATTTTGATATCATACAAGAAGTTTCATTTGAAATGCCTATTCATTTCTATTCGATTTGATGTTTCTGTGAGATGTAGACATTTATTGTGTGGTAACATCCAAATCTGTTCATCATCCTTTAGAAATAAAACACTCATAAAGGGAAGGAGAGGGGAATCCACTTCTTTGCCTGCACCCCAGAACATATTTCCTTTACCCCTGGATCTTGAAGCAGGTCTTGTCCTTGTGAGGTTATGTCACAGCTAGTTTGGACCTAAGCTGGTACTCTGTTACATTTCATGAGAGGAGGTCAGGCTGAATTGAAGATAGTATGTTCACCTCACCACCCTTATGGTTCTGGCAGCTTAAACCTAGCCTTCATTTATTTTGGCGTCCCTGAGAACTGACATAGGATCAAATTCCACACTTTTGAGCAAATGGAAGGAACCCAAAGAAGAAAATAGAGAAGAAGCTAAATGAGCCTTGTGGGAAATCAAGCCAGAGTGGACATTCTGGCAAAGTGGCAGAATAACTTTCTGCTTAAATGAGAAACTATTTAGAAGTCAGTCATGTGCAAATAATTAAACAAAATGGTTATAAATGTGGGTGCCTTAATAAGGAACAGACTGAAGAACATGATTAGGAAATAATTAAAAGGAAAACAGTATTTTCCACAAAGCAGAGAAACGTGGTGAAAAATAAGATAATCACTCTGCCCCCTTGGGCTTTATTTTTTCCCAGCTGGAAAAATATCCCTATTTCTACCCATGATTTGAAATATCTAGAACATTGAATTTATTGACGGGAAATGTATTTACCATCTAATCAGACAAATCCTAAAAGGAAAAGAGTGCTGTACACATCAGAGGTACCCTAGAGACTCAGCTGTTCATAACTCTGCATGAATAGGGCGGAAAGTGCCATATTCCCATTAAAGAGCAACACAGTTGGTTAAAGAATGAACAAAAGGCAGCATTTCTTCATTAGTGTCATTGCAGGAAGCTGATGCTGTGAAAACTGGAGGCCATCAAATGGGTTATTGCAGCAATAAAACAGAATGAAAAAATGAAATGCTCCATTCTCTTGTCAATCCCATATCCTTATCTCTTTCTTTTTAATATACTAGGCACTACCCTGGTAAGCTAATGCATATTTGCGGTTTCGTTTTGTGTTTGGTAATTGTGCTATGGGCAATTATTCATTTGACAGAATTTGCTTTAAATGAAGGAAACTGGCAGGTTGGAAGAAGAAAAACCCAATGTTGCCTAATCACCAATTAAGGAAACTGCCAGAGGTAAGACTGGACCTGGGACTGGTATCAGTAAAAATGATATAATGATGCTGCACTTCAAAAGACATTTTGAAGAGACACTTAATGAAGGAGGTAAGAGAGGAGGATTACAGGGTGGCTAATATATATGACTGCCAAATTTAGACCATGAAGATAGACACAATGGGGTACAGCCATTTTTGCAAAGTTTTGGACATCTAAACAACAAACGTATCCAATTGTGCTGCAGTTGACAGAAAGGCTGATTATCTTCCTGTAAATGGAGAAAGTCGGCCTCATAATCAATTTGTTGAAAACTCCTTATTGTGAAGGGATGTCACCCTGGTAGGCACCAGGGATACCAAAATAAGTAAGCCATAGTCCTGGCCCACTCTCATGAATCTCCTAATCTAGCAAAGAAACAGGCAGGCACGAAGGCTAATTGTATGCAGCTACAAAGGACGAAGCAGGCTGTTCCTCTATATTTCCCAGTGAGTCTCTAATCAGCTGCCCATCAGTATCAGGGTGACCTTTCTTTCTCCCTCACTCTTCTTTCCTGTGGGATCCTTGATTTTGTTCAATTTCTCCAATTCCCCAACCCCAAGATTCAGCTCCATCTGGAGGAGCGGCATCAAATGGAATCTATCTTGGAATTGCTGAAGAGGCTTTAGTTCTCTATATTCACAAATTAATAAACACTTTCCCTCCTGCTAATATTGATTGCTTCTCATGGATTTACTTCAGTGAATTATTATATTAACCAAATCCTTGTCTCTTTACTCTGTCTTACCAAAGAGTCCCCTCCCAAGAAAGTGTGAAGGAGAAAAAGAGGAGAGAAGAAAGCTCTAGCTTGCCCTGGATAACATGCACCAAAATCGTGGTGTAAACAAAGTCATGTGAAATTACTGAGTACTTGGAGGGGGCATCACAAAAGATTCCATGGAAGAAGAGAGGCTGAGTGAGTGGGATGCTTCTGCACAACCCTGTGCTGTATACTGCCAAATTAAAACATGTAAGCTTTGACTTCTGTCCTAAAGAAGCTTTGAATCCAGCCAAGGAGAAAAAATAAACACACTTAAAATTTAAAAATAAAGACAACCTAGAGTTGAATGTGTAATACAAATACATTGAAATTTTTGGAACTGAAATTTATGTCCCTGTTTCTGTGCTAAATCAGACTAGGACTAGGCAAAAGTAACTTAGCTAATGGTTTCTGAAAAAAATTGTTTCTGGAAGTTAATGCTGTGAGCCAACTAAACTAGCTTACTTATCAAAAGACTGACAGCTTGCTTGGCAATACTCACTTTAAGAGCACCCTTTGTGCGGTCATCAGTCCAAAGCTCTCCTGTCATTAACTCTGCTCAATACAAACTAGTTCTCTGCCTTGAAAGACCTGCCTTAAGTCACCCAGCCCTGGCCCTAAAATACTAAGAATATCCTTCTCTCATTTTTCCTCTCTGAGAAGATACTGAGACTGTCAAGGCCTTTACTGCAGTGAATCTAATCAGCTTTGCTTGATCAAAAGACTTTTCTCACGATCTTTTTGGGAATTGGCAGAACAAATCAATAATTTTCCATAAAGACAGATGCCTGGGCTACCTGGTAATTTTTGTAGCCATACAATTTGTGCATAAATACTTCCTTTATTTCTCAATGTATCTGAAGATGGAGCCCAGGAAGAAAGCAATAGCCATGACTGAAAGGTTATGCATCAACAACACTAATAAGGTATTGGTATAAAGAAAAGCATTAATCTAGGAGGTGCCTGGAGACCCTTGGGGGTGGTACTTTTGTTTTCTGGTGGTACTGATGATGGGATGGACTAGGGCTGAGATTGGACACAGCTTTGGGTACGGTTTTATAACCTCATTTAATTTCCTGGGCTCTATTAGCCAAGATTCCTCCTGGAAAAAGAGTAAGTCATGTCAGTGCCCGGGATACACACTGAATTGTGACAAACTAGGGATGGATGGATGCTCCAGGAGAGCCAATTTGCAGAGAGGGCAGGGCACAGAAAATTCATCCGAAGGTGAGAGAACATGTGGAATGAGCGTCAGGGCCTAGGGTCAATGCATGGGCAGGTGTAGGCAGCCCTTGGTCCTGGGACTTACCAGGCCTGGTCATCCTAGCAGCACCCACACTCTGGGAAGTGTGTGGAACTCAGTGAGCCATCTCACTGGACTGGCAACCCCTCAGGGCCCAAGCAACCCTGCTGTGGGAGTCCCCTAAGGGCGTGAAACAGTAGAGGAAGTGTTTCTCTGTTCAACCCTTGACAGGTCAGGGAGCTTGGGGCACAGAGGACTATGAGCAATGAGGGTTGAGTATCTTTTCCTTGGAAGGAGCAGAGGCCCACAGAGGGAGTGCATGTTAGAGTAGCAGAGGCCCGAGAAGGCGGCCCTGAAACATGAACATGTGTCAGACAGCCCCTTCTCCCATACTCTCAGAAGGGCTTCGGGGCTGGGGTTTTAGAAGGAACTGGAATTACTTTTATGAGTCATCAAAGCCCAGAATTAATAAGATTTTGATTTGAATCTCAAGGAACCCCAAGCTTGAGTCCACAGGCTGCTGATGCTTGGAAATGTCTGAGTCACATCACGTAAAATCACTGGTTTCAGGATGATTTCCTGTAGGAGTCCTGGTAGGAGGGAGCTGGCTGGGATAGTCATTGTCATGCATGCCAATGCAGGAGAGGACAGAGCATAATTGCTTCAATCTGTGTCTCTTTTGCCTACTGAATTCCTACTCTCCGTAGACTGATTATAGTGGAGAAACAGTCAAGAGCCTAAGGAATTCTAAAATAATAGAAGCCGGTGGGAACTGGAATAGTCATAGAAAAACATTTGTGGCAGAGGTAGATGACCTGAGAAGGCTAGTAAAAAGAGTGAGAGAAGGGCTTTTACCAATATCTCTGCTTGATTCTGTATATCTGTACGCAGTCACTCTCCAAAGCCTAGGACCCCAGCAGGCAGTGCAGCCACCAGCTTGGAGTCTTTGTCCTTGGGAGGAGGGAAGGAAGGCAGAAGGAGTGACAATGCTGTCACTCTCCAGCACCCACAACTTTTGACTTCCTGGGTGGGTGTTAATAACACCCCAGCCTTTCCAGGGCAGCTCTAATTTCAAATGATCTGTCCCAACGTCTTGGAAGAATGGTAGCCATAAGAAAAGAACCGAGGAGCCATAACCAATGCCATTGCTCCAGTGCTGTCTCTTTGCTAGCTGCACTGTGGGTCCTTGATTGAGTCACTTCTCCTCTCTAACCCTGTTTCCTAGTCTGTAGAAAGAAAGACTAATACTGACCTTATGTAAGCGTGACATGCACTGCTGGCTTTCCTTTTTCCCTCCTTCCATAGTAACAGAAATGCAGCCAGGCACAGGGCTGACCAGCTGGGCCACCTTTCCCCATCTTCTGTGAAGAAGATGAGACTAAGTTCTCTCCAGAAGAATATGATGGAAATGGTGCCTTCCTTTTCCAGCCTGGCCTCTTAATACCAGACCAAGAGATATCATAAGCTTTCCTTTTTCCACTGGCTATGACCCAGGTGAGGCACCTACACAAAATTGGACAAAGAAAGAAGATGGTGAAGACTCTGTTCCCTGAATAATTGAAGGGAAGAGAGCTGCTTGCTAAGCTAGTTTATGAAATAAATAATTTTGCTTGAGCAATTGCATATTTCAAGTCCCTAAAGTTCAATCTTATCCTAATTGGGTATATCTCACAGAACTGTTGGAAGCCAAGGAGAAAAAAGGAGGAGGCAACCTCTTACAAACTGTAAAGTATTTTACAAATATATTATAGCTGCTATATAATTGAATGAACCACTAATGGAAGCAACAATTGTGAAAAACTAAAATTACCCCACTGTCTGGCTGAATTATCCAGCCTAATCTTACTACTCTGAGCAAATTAGGCAAGGATGGTAGGCACATTAGACACATTAGGTGTTTGATATCAAGCCTCTGTTCCTATTAAAACCCCTCCTTTCTGGGGAGTCTCACAAGGTAAGGACCATGGAGCCTAAGGGGCCACATCCCCCGCCCCTGCCTTGGCATGCAACCAGCCTAATATGAGGCTAGCAGGAGTTCATGTCCATTACGCTGCAGAGTGGCAGAGGCAACCTGGACCATGCCTGGGGCTTCCCCTGTGCTCCAGAACAGGAACCTTGACTGATGCCCCAGGCAGTTGTCAGCTCTCCACATCTAAGCTTACTCACAGACACAACCTAAGCAATTAAACAATATCTGTCTTGAAAATCTCCCAATTCCCTTCATTACAGCCTTTCACGAATCCTCTCAACATCCCTCAGAAAGTGGAAAGCAGGTGTAGCTTTCCTAACTTGACAGCAAGCAGATGTTTGGGAAAAGAATTAGGCAGCTCATGAGGGCACACAGGAACAGAGCTGAGCCGAGCGTGGTACAGCTGCCCTGGGCACCTGCATCTGACCAAGGCTGCTAAGCCCAATCTCTACCTAAAAATAGTGTCTTCCCTGCCTGCCAGGAGGCCAAAAATACTAGGCATTACACTGCTGGAGATAACAGAATCATTCCTTTACCTTTCCTAGGAATTATCTTTCTTAAGATGCAAAAAGCTTTGGAGAAGGGGTCTCACACAACCCTTAGGTAAGAATGAGGGGTTGAATGAGACCCTTCATTCTTACCTAAGTTAATGAGTCACAATGGAGGCGTGGAGCCCCTGGGAGGAGGGGCACGCAAAACACCCATTTATAAATGACAGAGCTGGGATAAGAACCCATTTCTCTCCCACAGTAAAGCCTAGACATGCCCTTTCCATGTTACCACACTTGGTCCCTAGAGCTGAAGAGGACACAAGTCAAGAGCATTAATTGGGTCCTCTTTCTGAAACTCCCTCCATTTATTGCAGTGGAACCTCCTGAGGAACAGATTTGTGCTTGAGGTGCTTTTCTGTTAAGTCAACTTTTGCTGTCTCCTCATCAGGATGTTCTGTCACTGAGCAGTGCAAATTATGAAATCTTCCTTAACAGCTCCGGCAACATGAGGCAGCTGAGGGACCAAAGGAGGCTGGACCCCTGGATGCAGTAAAACAGAAGCACGTTCTCATCTGAGCGTTCTGCTATTGCTATGCTCTCCAAAAAGAGGTATACACAACTTTATCTTTGATTTATGCTCCGGCCACCAACTCACATGCTTAGACAAAACAAGACACAGTCTCCGAGCGCTTTAGACCAGTTTTGAAAACAGAAATCTTTTCCTTTTCCCTCAACTTCCTATTTGACACACTTATGTCAGCTTCTGATCTTTCTTTAAATTCTCTCCACTGCCGAGGGCCTTGATTCTCTTAAAGATCAGTCTCTCCTCCCAGCTTACGAAGACTTGATCTTTCTTTGAGATAAGTGTCATTTACTTCTTTAGAGGGGAAAGGAAGATCTAAAAACTTGTTTCTAACTTATACCTTCCCTTTGTTCTATGTCAAGACTGAAATATCTTTACCAAAAGACCACACTAATTACACAGGCTGCTGCTTGCACTGTAGGCAGATGTCTTGAAGGAGTTTTTCTGCAGAGGTAGAACTTGAAATGAGCTCTTGAAACGAGCAGGCAGACCTGGATCTGGAGCTGAGCTTGGCTACTCACTAGCTGTGACAATATGGGTTAGTAACTTAGTGACTCAGTTTCCTGCTCTGAAAAATGGAGATAAAGACCCCTTTCTCACAGGCTTCTTGTAATAATTAAAGTATATCATACATGTTAAATACCTGGAGCTCCATAACTAGTTTCCCTCATTTTCCAACATCCTGTAGATAAAGAATTTGGGGTTGGGTGTGGTGGCTCACACCTGTAATCCCAACACTTTGGGAGGCTGAGGCAGATGGATCACCTGAGGTCCAGGGTTCAAGACCAGCCTGGCTAACATGGTGAAACCCTGTCTCTACTAAAAATACAAAAATTAGCCAGGCGTAGTTGCGTGCACCTGTAATCCCAGCTAGTCGGGAGGCTGAAGCAGGAGAATCACTTGAACTTAGGAGGCAGAAGTTGTAGTGAGCTGAGATGGCACCAGTGCACTCCAGCCTGAGTGACAGAGCAAGACTCTGTTTAAAAAAAAAAAAAAAAAAAAAAAAAGACTTTGGAGGGTGAGGTAGCATTGAGACAACACTGTGGTTTAGCTGCTTGAGATATGGTCCAGGACCGCTTCCATTGTCAAATATAAAGAAGCATTACAGAAGAGATTGCACACTCCCTGTCAGCTCTTGGCTCTCACACAGTGAGATGCTGTAGTCTTAGTGGGATCTCATCAAATAAAACAACAACACAGTGACAGCCTAGTTTAACTGATACTCTAACAAGTTACTCCCACAGTTATTCTAAAATCTTAAACTATAAAATGTCAAGCTGGAGAAGAAAATAGAATGTAACTATTTACTTGTTCTTTTTTGAATTTTTTTTTTAAAAACTTCTGAATAACTACATTTAAACTCTCTTAAATCAAAGCACACTTGAATTTTTATTTGGGTTCTTAAAGATAAACTATGTGTTTCCAAACAGTCCAACATTTGGCACGTTAAGTCACTTAATTTTGTTTGACTAAGGAAGGTATCCATATTAACAGATGGGATGAGGTATAAACAGAATTATGCGTGAAAGCCAGTGTGTGTCTTAGTCTTTATACCTTCAAAATATATAATACGATCATTGAAAGAGTAAGTTTGATTAAGTGATCTGTGGAGCAAAAATGGAAATCTTCATATGTACCGTATGCATAAGGTAATTCCTTTTGTTTTTTATTGCAAAATGGCCTTTGAATTTGATTCTTAGGGAAGGGCCTCTGTTTGGAGCAGGAGCTCTTACATGAACCCCCAGACTCCTTGAAATCATTTGCCAAATTTTGCATGCATATGACTATGTACATTTTTTTTTTATAGAGAGCTTATGTCTTTCAGTAGATTCTCTTTTTAGAAAAACTTCTATTTTTAGGTTTGGGGGTACATGAGCAGGTTTGTTACATAAGTAAACTTGTGTCACAGGGGTTTATTGTACTGAGTATTTTATTATACAGGTACTAAGCCTAGTACCCAATAGTTATTTTTTTCTGCTCCTTTCCCTCTTCCCACCCTCTACCCTCAACTAGGCCCCAGTGTCTATTGTCCCCTTCTTTGTGTTCATGAGTTGTTATCATTTAGCTCCCAGTTATTACCGAGAACATGCCATATTTGGTTTTCTGTTTCTGTGTTAGTTTGCTAAGGATAATAACCTTCAGCTCCATCCATATTCCCACAAAGACATGATCTTATTCTTTTTTATGGCTGCATAGTATTCCGTAGTATATATATACCACATTTTCTTGATCCAATTTGTCATTGATGGGCATTTAGCTTGATTCCATGTCTTTGCTAATGTGAATAGTGCTGCAATGAACAGACGCATGCATGTGTCTTCATGGTAGAATGGTTTATATTCCTTTGGGTATATACCCAGTAATGGAATTGCTGGGTTAAATGGTATTCCTGTTTCTAGCCCTTGGAGGAATCACCATACTTCTTTTCACAACAGTTGAACTAATTTACACTCCCACCAACAGTGTATAAGTGTTCCCTTTTATTTGCAACCTCACCAACATTTGTTATTTTTTGACTTTTTAATGATAGCCATTCTGAATGGTGTGAGATGGTATCTTATTGTGGTTTTGATTTGCTTTCCTGTAATGATTGGCGACATTGAGCTTTTTTTCATATGCTTGTCAGTTGCAGGTATGTCTTCTTTTGAAAAGTGTCTGTTCATGTTCTTTGCCCACTTTTTAATGGGGCTGTTTGTTTTTCTCTTGTAAATTTGTTTAAGTTCCTTATAGATTCTGGATATTAGATCTTTTTTAGATGCATATTTTGCAAGTATTTCTTCCCATTCTGTAGGTTGTCTGTTTACTCTGTTGATAGTTTCTTTTGCTGCGCAGCAGCTCTTAAGTTTAATTAGATTGCGTTTGTCAATTTTTCAGCAGATTTTCAAAGGGGTTCTTTACTCCAGAAAAGTTTAAAAGCCTGCAGTTTGAAGGAGATTGCATAATGCCAAGAGATTACCCAATCTTAACGTTTCTTATTATCATGTCTAGGCCAAGCCATCAAGTCCACCCTCTCCCTCTTGCTACCTTCTTCTTTCTTCCCTGCTGCAAGCCCAAGGAGATGGCAACTGAGACTCTGACTGTGCTTCTGCTCTATTTTTATCACAGAAGACATAGTTCACTAAACCTCTCCACCCCATCAGGCTAATTACCTCCTCCCAGAAAGACTTCTCCTCCTGATGCCATCAGAGGAAAACAATATGTGTCAACTAGAAGTGACCTGTTCTTCAATAGGCATTGAGCACTGGTTCACTTCTAGGAACTTTTCTACAATTAAATACTTTGCCTAAATTAATATTCACTACAACTCCATGAGTTGCCCTTTTTTTTTTTTTTTGAGATGGAGTCTTGCTCTGTTGCCCAGGCTGGAGTGCAGTGATACAACCTCAGCTCACTGCAACCTCCACCTCCCAGGTTCAAGCAATTCTCCTGCCTCAGCCTCCTGAGTAGCTGGGATTACAGGCACACACCACCACGCCTGGCTAATTTTTTGTATTTTTAGTAGAGACCGGGTTTCACCATGTTGGTCAGGCTGGTCTTGAACTCCTGACCTCATGATCCACCTGCCTCGGCCTCCCAAAGTGCTACGATTACAGGTGTGAGCCACGGTGCCTGGCCGAGTTGGCTTTTTTTATTATTATTTTAAAGAGGAAGTAACTGAGTCTAAAAATGATTAAGTAAATTGTCCAAGTTCACATGTCTGGTATATCCAAAAGGAAACCATTGAAGGATATTTAAGTTGGAGAGTGGTATAGTCAGTTTGCATTCTTAAAAGATTACTGATGCCTGTGTGGAAAATTAGTTGAAGGAGTATAAGAGTAGGATGAGAGAGAACACTTTACAAGCTATTGCAGGACTATAGACAAGAGATGATGGTGGCTTGGAGCAGAGAGGTAACAGTAGATGGAGTCAGAGTATAGATATGGTAGACTGGATTTGATATTGACTAAATGTCGTAAAGAGAAGGAGTGTAGTGTCAAAATGACTCTCAGGTATCTAGTATGAGCCATTGGCTTGACAGTGGTGGTAACCAGCCTCCAAGATGGCCCAAATGATCCTTATCTCCTGGTCTTTACACTCTTATGACTCACCTTCCACATTAAATTGTGGCTAGCCTGTGTGACTAAAAGAATACTGAGAAAGCGACAGTGTTTGCCTTCTGAGGCTGGGTTATGAAAGATATTGCAGCTTTCTCCTTGTTCTCTCTTGGATTGCCTGTTCTGGAGAGGAAGTCAGCCACCATGTTGTGAGGACAGCCAAGCAGCCCTCTGGAGCCCTATAAAAAGGTCCACATGGGGAAGAACTGAGGTCTCCTACCAACAGACTGCACCAGCTTACCAGATATATGAGTGAGCCATCTTGGAAGGGGATCCTTCATACCCATTTGAGCCATCAGATGGCTGCAGCCCTGGCCAACATCTTACTGCAACCTTGTGAGAGACTTTTAGCCAGACCACCTAGGTAAACTACTCCCAAATTTCTGACCCACAGAAACTGTAAGGTAATAAATGTTCGTTATTTTTTAAACCACCAGATTTTTGTAATTTGTTTCACAGCACCAGATAACTAATTCATTAGTACCAGGTTAGGGTTTTTGAATAAGGAGTGATAAGTTTGGCTTGGGCATGTTGAGTTTGAGATGCCATCTAAATGGAGACAGTAAGTAAACAGTTATGCATACAAATTATTATACACAATCTGAAGCTCAGGGAGATCTGGATTAGAGATTTGATCTGGGAGTCCTCAGCATATGGATGACATTTGAAATAAGAATGAATATGAAGAAACAGAAGAAAAGAGAGCATGGAAGGCTTCTGGGAGGAGGTAATAGCTGATCTAAATTTTTATGTATGATTAGGGGTTAGCCTGGAAAAGGAGCTGAAGATATAAACAGGAGAAATCCTAGGAAGTTAGGATATAAATAAACTACTTGTTTTGATTTGATTTGAGGCTATGTGCATTTCTAAGAATCCCCTAGCTAAATGATAAAGTTCTCAGTCCATCATGTACCTCCTCCAAAGGCTATCCTTGATATTGTGTTAAAAGGATAAATGAAATTACTACATAAAAATAAGCATAAATATTTGTGCTTAATAAAGAATATATATGCAGCAAAAAATTTATTTTTGCAGATAGAAAAATTAGAATTAGCAATAACAAAGTAATTGGTAACAATGTTCTATACCTCCTCAAGCCCTCTTTCATAAGCCAAGTGGTTGGAGAAATAGGTATTTTCACTCAGCTGCCTCTTTCATTTCTCTTTATGTGTCCTGGTTGCTACATAGAACCTATATTATAAATAAAACTGTAATATTTATATATTGAATGATGTATTAAAAAGTGGCATCGAGAATACCTGGAAAGATTTCAGAGATGAGTTAGATTCTAAGAGTCAAATAAGAACTACAGAGCTAGCAATCAGGAAAAAACGATAGATATTTAAAGTTACTCTGCCATTTGATTAGCCCAAATGGCAAGTGTCTATGTTCACAATTCCTGCGTTCAATGTTCAATAGAAAAAAAGGAATGTGTTTTCTTCTCTGTCACAGTCAGGTGAGAAAGGATTAACTCAGCTACCTGACTTTTGAAATTTAATGGATGTATTTATGGAGGGATATTAGAGGTGACTGATCTTGATTCAAAAATGTTAAATTTCCTAAACCTGGACTATGTTTTCAAAAATTCAAGATGCATTTAACAAAGCAAGGAAAAATAAATTCAGGCTGCTAGCTTGGCAGCTGGTCTGGATACAGTATTTTGCTCTGTTTACTCTGTCAGGAAGCCAGTTCCATTTGATTAAATTCTGAAATTAGAATGCATGCACTCTGGAAGATACTAAGCAGCTTCATGCTTTTACCCGTATGGAAAACGTGATTAAGGAAATGAACTCAATGGCTGTAGCATCAGAAGAGATCAATGCAACAGCTGTATTCAACTGGGCTCAATGGGCTAGACCTTTACTTTATTAAAATGGATGGCTTTAGCATAGAAACTGTGTCCACATCACAAAACTGCCATATTGCTCTGAACTCAGGCCTAGAAAGGAGCCAAGTGGAACTGCCATCAAATATTATGGCAGCAGTGGAAATGAAGATCTGCTCTCACACCACAAAGCTAAAATTTAGCCAAAATGAGAGATAATTAAAGAATTTATATGCAGTATTTCCACACCAACATATTAGATTGTTTCCAAAACTGCTGGAATGTCATCATTTGGCAAGTTTGCCAGAATTCCCCCACAAAAATCTTGAAATTTCCTGTGGCGTGGCAACATCTTTTGCTTTGCCTGAAATGAAGTAGCCTATAAATATTAATTTATATGTAAAATATTGTCAGAGGCCAGCTACACCCAGATAACCCAGCAACAAAGACCTCACTGTGTCCATTTACCCAGTTAACAGCAAGAAAGTTGGGATTTTATTGGAAAATACTTACATTGTTGACCTATGATTGCCAAGTCTTCACTTTGGCCATATAGGCTTGTTAATAAGTTGAAAAATGAAATGGAATTGAGGTATTATTGTATCTGTGAAGTGCAGAGGATGTAAAGGAAGTATGACCTAAGAGATGTTGAACTGGAGGATGGTCGAGAAAGGACTTTCTAGAAACAGAAGTGCATTAATATAGACACTGTGCTCGAGGAGCTGATCCTCAAGCTTCAGATGTTAAGGAGCTCTTTGTAAGGGCCTCCAAATATGATGAGGTTCTTTGGAACTGTCTCATACTAACCAAACTGACAAGAAGTTGGTACATAAAGCAGAATGCCAATAACCATGTGCTATGGTTTGAATGTCCCCTCCAAAACTGAAGTTGAAATTTAATTGCAAATGTGATAATATTAGGAAGTAGGACCTTTAAGAAGTGATTAGGTCATAAGGGCTCTGTAGGAGTTTGGCACGTTTTTCTTTGTCTCAGCCCTTCCTTGCTCTTCTGCCATGGGATAACACATTGCACAGCATGAAGGCCTTCACCAGATGTTGGCATCATGCTCTTGGATTTCCCAGCCTCCATAACTGTTAACCAAATAAATGTATATTCTTTACAAATTACTCAGTCTGTGGCATTCTGTTATAGCAGCAGAAAATGGACTAAGACACCTTGGGGCTTGGAATGCTCAGATGAACTGAGTACACTCTCTCCCTGAAGACATGCTAGATCGATGTTTGCTTTTACAGCTTGGAGCAAGGGCAAAACAACAACAACAACAACAACAACAACAACCGATGGGTTTCACTTGGCAGTTTTATCTGGCCAGGCATGAGATGTTAGTGTTCTCACATTGGGGCACACACTTCCCTACAGGAGAAACCCTGGCAAATACTTGCTTATAAGATTGTCTCTTTATAAATACCATGTAGACTACCCTTTTTGCAATAAAATATTTTTGTTTATTTTCCAATTTTATTGAAATATATAATTTATATACAGAGCCAGGTGTGGTGGCTCACACCTGTAACCCCAGCTACTCAGGAGGTTGAGGTGGAAGGATCACTTGAGCCCGGGAGTTTGAGGTTACAATGAGCTATGATCACACCACTGCACTACAGCCTGGGCAATAGAGCGAGACCACATCTCTAAGTAAATAAGTAAATAATTTATATACAATAAATCCATCCATTCAAAATGTACGGCTTGATAAGTTTTGACTGTTATATATACCCATGTAATAATCATTACAATCAAACATAGAATATTTTCATCACCTTCCAAACAATTTCTGTGTCCTCTCTTCCCAATCAATTATCATCCTCAAGCAAGCCCCAATAAGCTTTTACCAATATACATTAGATTTATCTTTTCTAGAGTTTCATCTACGTAGAATCATATGTATATAGTCTTTTGTGTCTGGCTGCTTTCACTCAGCATGCTCTTGAGATTTATTGATGTTGTGTGTATATCAGTAAATAATTCCTTTTTATTGCTGAGTAGTACTTCATGGCATAAATATACTACAACTGTTTACCCACAATAGCCTTAGACAGTACTTTCAGAGTAAGTTTATAAGGTGCCCTCCTATTAGAGCCAATTATGAAATGGAACTTAATATAAGATGCAGTTAATTTTTGTTTTTTTTTTTATAGCCAGGGTCTCACTCTGTTGCCCAGGCTAGAGTGCAGGGGTGGGATCATAGCTCACTGTAACCTTGAACTCCTAGGCTCAAGCAAACCTCCTGCCTCAGCCTCCTGAGTAGCTGGGACTACAGGTACACACCACCACATACTAATTTTTTATTTTTTGTAGATACAGGATCTCACTAGGTTGCCTAGGCTGGTCTCAAAGTCCTGGCCTCAAGCGATCCTCCTGCTTCAGCCTCCCAAACCCCTGAGATTATGAGCGTGAGCCTGTGCCTGGCTAGGGTCTATTTTTAGTAGCCACATATAAAGAGGATTTAGTGACATCATCCTAAGACCTCATATATGATTTTACACATGTATATTTTGCACAATGATCAGAATGATGACCTCCCAAATCATATTATATACAGGCTCACACACATAACTTAGTTTTACAAATATATTTTAAAATGATTTAAAACAAGCATTGAAAAAAGGGCTTCCCAGAATTAAACAACGAAAAAACAAAAACATGATCTGCACATTTTAAATAAGGTTTTATATCTAGGTATTTTATAGATGTAAATAAACACACGTTAAACTAAAGAATGCCACCTTCTCCAGTTAATAAAGAGACTACTTGTGCTCAACAAATTCATTGAGTCCAGGGACCATAATCTAACCCACTATTGTATCAATATGAACCATCTTTGTTGTTTTTTTTTTTTTTTTCAAGACGGAGTTTTGCTCTTGTTGCCCAGGCTGGAGTGCAATGGCACGATCTCAGCTCACTGCAACCTCTGCCTCCTGGGTTCAAGTGATTCTCCTGCCTCAGCCTCCTAATAGCTGGGATAATTATAGGTGCCCGCCACCACACCTGGCTAATTTTTTGTATTTTTAGTAGAGACGGGGTTTCACCATGGTGACCAGGCTGGTCTTGAATTCCTGACTTCAGGTGATCCACCTGCCTCGGCCTCCCAAAGTGCTGGGATTACAGGCGTGAGCCACCATGCCCCGCCCAGAAAATACTTCTAAAACTTTAAATTATCTGTAAAATATTTAAATAAAGATATTACTATTTCTCTTTATTTCTTTTTTTTTTTTAATTAAAAAAATTTTTTTTGTAGAGATGGAAGTCTTCCTATGTTAACCAGCTGGTCTCCAACTGCTGGACTCAAGCAATTCTCCTGCCTTGGCCTCCTAAAGCACTGAGATCACCGGTGTGTGCCACAGCACCCAGCCTCTCTTTCTTTTCTTTTCTTTTTTTGAGACAGAGTCTCACTCTGTTGCCCAGGCTGGAGTGCAGTGGCACGATCTTGGTTCATTGCAACCTCCATCCCCTGGGTTCCAGTAATTCTTCTGCCTCAGCTTCCCAAGTAGCTGGGGTTACAGGCATAAGCCACCATGCTTGGCTAATGTTTGTATTTTTAGTAAAGACAGGGTTTCACAATGTTGGCCAGGCTGGTCTCAAACTTCTGACCTCAGGTGATCCACCCACCTTGGCCTCCCAAAGTGCTGGGATTACAGGCGTGAGCCACCACACCTGGCCTACAATCTTTGTTTTGATAGAGTTTAACAATCTTTGTTTGACAGTGTTTAAGAAAAATGATTCAGCAGAGCTAATGCATTTGTTCTTTGGCCTAGGCTGTAGCCCCTATACATAATTTATTATTATTTTGAAATGACCTACTGGGAGGACAATGCAAGAATTGATTGATTTATGTTAAGTAGTTAATAATAGTCTAAACTTAATATGATTAAGAGATACAGAGGCCAGGCATGGTGGCTCACGCCTGTAATCCCAGAACTTTGGGAGGCTGAGGTGGACGAACACCTGAGGTCAGGAGTTGGAGACCAGCCTGGCCCACATGGTGAAACCCTGTCTCTACTAAAAATACAAAAATAAGCTGGGTGTGGTGGCTCATGCCTGTAATCCCAGCTACTCGGGAAGCTGAGGCAGGAGAATTACTTGAACCCAGGAGGCGGAGGCTGCAATGAACCAAGATTGTGCCACTTGCACTCCAGCCTGGGCAACAGAGCGAGACTCTGTCTCAAAAAAAAAAAAAAAAAAAAAAGAGAAAAGAAATAAAGAGAGGCTGGGCACTGTGGCTCATGCCTGTAATCCCAGCGCTTTGGGAGGCCAAGGCAGGAGAATTGCTTGAGGCCAGGAGTTGGAGACCAGCTGGTTAACATAGTAAGACCCCATCTCTACAAAAAAAATTTTTTAATTAAAAAAAAGAAATAAAGAGAAATTGTAATAGCTTTATTTAAATATTTTACAGATAATTTAAAGTTTTAAGAGTATTTTCTGGGTGGGGTGCTGTGGCTCACGCCTGTAATCCCAGCACTTTGGGAGGCCGAGGTGGGTGGGCTACCTGAGGTCAGGAGACCAGCCTGGTCCAACATGGTGGAACCCCGTCTCTACTAAAAATACAAAAAAATTAGCCAGGTGTGGTGGCAGGCGTCTGTAATCCCAGCTACTAGGGAGGCTGAGGCAGGAGAATCGCTTGAACCTGGGAGGCAGAGGTTGCAGGGAGCCGAGATCGTGCCATTGCACTCCAGCCTGGGCTACAAGTGTGAGACTCTGTCTCAAAAAAATAAAATAAATAAAATAAATAAAAAATTCTGACTGGGCATGGTAGCTCATACCTGTAATACCAGCGCTTTGCGAGGCTGAGGTCAGAGGATCACTTGTAGTCAGGAGTTCAAGACCAGCCTGGGCAACATAGAAAGACCCCATCTCTACAAAAAGTAAAAATAAAATAAATATGTTTCCTGATTAAAATTTGCAATTATGCATTCGGAAAAATATAATGAGCAAAGTACAAATCACAAAAAAATGCCATCACTTAGAAATAACATTTTGGCAATTCTAGTTTTTTAATGCATATTTCATTCATATAGGTAAGATCATATAATACATACAATTTCATATCCAATTTTTATCTTAAATAATATAAATGTAATTATATCACAAATCAGTTCATATTACTAAAATTTCAAAAATATTTGAATGGCTGCATGTTGAACACCATCTTAAATCAGGGGTTGCAGACTCAGATAGCTTCAGGGTCCAGGTAGTAACTAAAATACACAAAATGGATGAGTATAAGATGGCAGGGAGTGGTGGTAACCAAAAATGCATGTCCCAGCAAAAGGGATTCAAATTTATTTTATTTCTAAACATGTGCTGACAAAATTCAGTGGGGACAATAAGCAAGTCACAAAAGAATATGTGCAATATAATATATTATGTTGTTTTAAAACATGTAAAACAATTAGATATTACACTTAGGGATACATCAGGGATAGACACGTAGTTAAAGCTGTTTTTTTTTTTTTTAAAATAAAGCATGGGAATGCAAAACACCAAATTCAGCACAACGATTATGTTTGGCAGGAATAAGTGATGTGGGCAGATTATCAAGCTGAGTTAAACCAAGGGTGTTTAACATGTGGAGCAATATTTTACTTGAATGGTAAGTATACAGGTATTGGTTGCATTTTACTTACACTGTTTTGTACATATTAAATATTGTGGCCAGGCACAGTGGCTCATGCCTGTAATCCCAACACTTTGGGAAGCTGAGACTGGCAGATCACTCGAGCCCAGGAATTCAAGACTAGCCTGGGAAACATGGCGAAACCCCATCTCTACAAAAAAATTAGCTAAGGGCTGGGTGCTGTGGCTTATGCCTGTAATCGCAACACTTTGGGAGGCCGAGGCGAGTGGATCACTGGAGGTTAGGACTTCGAGACCAGTCTGGCCAACATGGTGAAATCCCGTCTCTACTAAAAATACGGAAATTAGCCAGGCTTGGTGATGGGCATCTGTAATCCCAGCTACTGAGGAGGCTGAGGCAGGAGAATCACTGGAACCCGGGAGATGGAGGTTGCAGGGAGCTGAGATCATGCCACTACACTCCAGCCTAGGTGATAGAATGAGACAAAAAAAAAAAAAAAAAAAAAGAAGAAGAAGAAGAAGAAAAAAGAAAAAACATTAGCTGGGTATGGTGGTGTGTGCCTGTAATCCCAGCTACTGGGGAGGCTGAGGTGGCAGAATTGCCTGAGCCCAAAAAGCCAAGGTTACAGTGAGCCATGATCACCGCACTGCACCCCAGAGCCTGAGCAATAGAGTAAGATCCTGTCTCAAAAAAAAAAAAACAAAAAAAAATTGTACAATGCATCTTTTTCAGGAAAAAAAAAAAAATCCTGTTAGCCACAGAAAACCCCGTGCCAGATCTGCCCACTGGCCACTCTAGCATGATAAGTGGTATTGCATAGTCAACAAGTGAATACTCCCTCCACCACTACATAGTTCTGTGCCTTTAGGCAGTTACTAAAATTCTCTGCAAACTAAGGCCTGAAGGCTAAATCTAGCCCTCTGCTAGTTTTGTACAGTCCTCCAGCTAAGAATGGTTAGTACATTTAGAAATGGTTGGAAAGTAAAGTGGTACCTTTAACCTGTTACTGAACTGTGAACGGGTTCAGCAATTAGCTTTTGCTGCAGACTTATGTTTCTCAAACCTAAAATTATAAGGCAAAACAGCTCTTACATGCCACACTTATAGGGTGGTAAAGTCATTTCAACAACAACTTAACATTGTTTGAACACCAGCATCTCAAGCTGCTTTATGCCTTCCTATCTGTTAAAAGTTAAAACAAGAAGCAAGATCTCCACACCCACACATACTTGCAGTAGATAAATTTTACAAGCTCAAGGTAGAGTTCTAACAGTGTCTTTTAGACCTGGACATAAGTGCAAAGAATATGTTCACAATTCAAAGTCCATTTAACTCTGCAATTGAGGAGCTTCTACTTCAATCGGAAGCAATTAATTTGCAATGTAATGACAGGCTAAAAGGCAAATATCAAGAGAAAAATGTAATAGAATTTTATAAATGCCTTCCCAATGATGAATATGTTCAATTAAAATCATATGCCTGTGGATTCATATCAGTATTTGTCAGTACCTATCTGTATGAAAAGACATTTTGAAGATGAAATACACAAAATCTCATTAAAAATCAGCATTTATAGATGAGCATTCGCTATTGATTTTGATGATAAAGAACACTTAATTTTGTACTTCAGTTAAGTGAAATGGTATCCCTCCAAAAAAAGAATTCCATCTTTTCCTTGAAAGCATTAGCACTACAAAAAATTGTATTCAATTAATATACTTTGAATTTCATTTGAACAAACTTTGTGAAAGTTTGTTTTCTCTCTTGTTATGTAAGTATTTACATAAGAGCTTCGATTTTTACCTGTTGGACCACAAAGTCTAAAATATTTACTACCTAGGTCTTCAGAAAATGTTTGCCAATCCCTGTCATAGCATGATTGTGAGGATTAAATAAAAGAATCCTTGTGAAAGTGGTTAGCAGCAAACTAGAATATAACTTTTTTTCTTTTTGAGACAGAGTCTCGCTCTGTCGCCCAGGCTGGAGTGCAGTGGTGCGATCTAGGCTCCCTGCAAGCTCCGCCTCCCGGGTTCACGCCATTCTCCTGCCTCAGCCTCCCAAGTAGCTGGGACTACAGGCGCCCATCACCACTCCGGCTAATTTTTTTTGTATTTTTGGTAGAGACGGGGTTTCGTTTCTTTTCTTTTCTTTTCTTTTCTTTTCTTTTCTTTTCTTTTCTTTTCTTTCTTTTCTTTTCTTTTCTTTTCTTTTCTTTTCTTTTCTTTTCTTTTCTTTTCTTTTCTCTTATTTTCTTTTCTTTTCTTTTTGAGACGGAGTCGCACTCTGTTGCCCAGGCTGGAGTGCAGTGGCACGATCTTGGCTCACTGCAACTTCTGCCTCCCAGGTTCAAGCGATTCTCCTGCCTCAGACTCCCAAGTAGCTGGGATTACAGGCACCTGCCACCACGCCTGGCTAATTTTTGTATTTTTAGTAGAGATGGGGTTTCACCATGTTGGCCAGGCTGGTCTCAAACTCTTGACCTCAGGTGATCCACCCACGTTGGCCTCCCAAAGTGCTGGGATTACAGGCGTGAGCCACTGCGCCCAGCGAGACGGGATTTCACCGTGTTAGCCGGGATGGTCTCCATCTCCTGACCTTGTGATCCGGACTCCTCGGCCTCCCAAAGTGCTGGTATTACAAGTGTGAGCCACCACGCCCAGCCAGGTATTGACTTTTTTTAATCCATCATCTATTTTGGGCATAGGTTTCCAGGGTTTTTTAAAATTATAAACAGAAAAATGTTATATGCATTAAATATTTATGTTCATAAATATTTGTCCACATCTTGGATTAGGAGCTAACTTTAGGTTGTATTCCTAGCGGCAGGTTGATTTCAAACTGAAGTAATCCTTTAAGAAAAATTTATCTTACCTTGTTACTCTTATTTGCCCAGGCAACTAGATAATTGCAGACAAAAGAGACTACAATTTATGCCCTTGCCTTCCTGACATGTTGTATTTTTGGATTTTGATTCCAAGGAGACATAGCCTATCCGTGAAGGTTATTCATTCATTCAACACGCATTCATTAAATATCTACTCTTTGGGCACAGGATAAATTTAGACATGTTGCCTACCCTCAGGGAGCTTCTACAGAGGAGAGATAAGACATAGATTACACCTCTATCCCTGGAATTAGCTGTGAAGTCTCACCCAAATACTTGAACACAGAGTGAGGAGGTGCCCTCTGCCTTCCCAGCTCTGTCAGTCAATATAGTTCATTTTTTGCTTAACCTGGTTAAAATAAGTGTGTTCTTTGAATGTAAGGAGCCATTTACTAATCTAGATGGATAAAAGTTTAACCAACAGAAAATGAGGACAAGCAATTTGGTTAAGGGCGTTGCCACAGATGCAGAGAACAGCAACCACCTGGGGGAATTAAGGAGGAAAGGCTGGCAATGCAGCTTGGTCACATTATGGAAAGTCTGAAATGTTTTTGGAGTGTGCAATGTATGAGAGTTGCACTGCTTCAGTGACTCTCAGGTCTTTGGGAAGTTGAAGGCAATATTTTCTTCCTCTGATTTAGAAGTGCATTTTGAAGTAGGGCAGCCTTCAGATATTCTAGTGAAATAAGGAGCCAAGTAAACTGTTACTTTAAAAAGAAAATACATCATTAGCATTGTTAAGAAACACTTGCACTCACCTGTATTCATCAGTGGATGTTCCTAATGTCTGTCATGAGTAATAATGCCAATTTTGATCCTCAGTGCCTAGGGAATCTGCAGCTGCATGCTTGCCTCCCTTCTCCCACCCACTTGCCAAAGACATTGATAGGTATGGGTCATCATGTGCAGTCAAGATAGGGTTGAACCTTATCAAACCAGGAGTGAGAAAACCAGCCCATCTGCCTAATTAGTAACATTGTTTGTTTAGAAAGAGTCTCCCTCTGTTGGCCAGGCTGGAGTGCAGTGGTGTGATCGTAGCTCACTACATTCCTCCAACTCCTGGGCTCAAGGGATTCTCCCACCTTAGCCTACAGCCTGGTACTACAGGCCCGACCAATCGTGCCCCACTCCTAAAATTCTGGAAGCTTACCAAAGTCTGACACACTATATAAAAATCCATTTCTAGTACCTGAAAAATTGGATCCATTAGGGAGCCAGTGGAGCTTTTTAAGTAAGGCATTTCTAATTACGTTTCTGTAGAAGAGAGGCTCCCCAGGAAGGCAGTAGTATGCAAAGATTTTAAATTTATGGACAAATAAATTTGTGAAACACAAGTTGAAACATCATCAAACAGGTGTCTTTTTCTGAACCTTTAACATGCCCTTACACATTATGACTCCCTAAGAAGGCAATAAAGCATGTGCTTGTCAAATTTATTGGCCTCATGCCTTTTTTTCAAAGGTGTATCTTGTATTTCTAGTGAAAGTTCTGTAGAATATACTTTGGGAAACACTAAAGTATTAGTTATGTGATCAGAGATGTGCTTTAGGAATATTAATTTGGAGGCTACACACATTTAGGATGAAGTAGAGAGACAGAGGCAAAGAAAACAGGCTACATGTCCAGGTAAATATAGTCCAGGTGATGAGTGATTACAAAAAGATAACATAAATATATTTTGAATTTCAATTGGGCAGGACTTTGCAACTGAATGGAAATAGGCAATGAGGAAAGGACACAGGTGGTACTGAGTCAAAGGTATTCAAACATACATTTTGTTGGCTAGAAAAATTGGTAAACTCTTCATAGAAATTAAGAAAACAAAAGCTGCACCTTAGTGGGATCTGGATAAACTTACCAAGGGAATGAAAGACATACAATTAATTCTGCTGGAAAGAAAGTTGAACCTTACTCTTTCCTCCTATTGGACTTTTCACCCTCCTTTCTTCTTCTTTTCTACCTTCCAAGTCAGCCCTCTTAAAGTTACCTTTATCACCAGATTGGCTACTGAGGGAAGCAATCTCATTGGTCTTTTTTTCCAATCTCCCAAATGGATATTAAAACAACACAAAACAAAAATAACACAACTCTTCTTTTTCAGAGTTCTTAAAACTGCTTTTTAGGAGTTTTAGTGCTGATGAATAGAGGAAGTAAATATCTTATTAGGGCCCCATTTCAACACATGCTAGCCAGTTGCTTAGTATGATATAAGAAGTAGAGGCAGTAAAAACAAACTGAAAGTTACAATGGCTTTTTAAAAACTTACAGAAGTATAATTGTTTGGGACAATTCTTAGAAATCATCTATTTTAGAATGACAACATGCTATGTTTAATCATTGATACTATATAAAAATTCATTTTGTGCACTAATATATGGATGTTTAATAATATGGTCTGCTCTTGGGAAACTTAGTTGTCCCTGCTTTAGATAATTTAATTAAAAAGGGGTTTATGTTGGTTTGTGCTTCTACAATACAGTCTTTGTGACTCGAGGGTCACATTGTAACTTGAATGCTACTGCAGATGTTAAGAACAAGAATTTAGATATCCATTGACTCAGATTTAAAATAATGGAGCATTTATGTGAACAAGGTTCTCTCTTGCCAAACAAAACACAAACCACACCATTTTCTTGTTTACTGCACATACACTATTATTCAACCAAAGCCCTATTCTTGATGACCCCATTCCAGAACAAACAGAAATGAAGTCACTCCCACTTGGTCCTCCCTTGCTCTTGAGCACTTTTGTGTACTTTTGTTCCTTCATTTGACAAATCTCATCCTCTTTTCCCTCATAAGCTAAAAAATATGCTTCCAATGCATATTTAGTGCTGAATCATTTTGTAGGTGATAATTACATGAGCCAACTGGTCTGCCTGTCACCTTGGCATAATTGATGGCACCCTCTTCCACTCCCAAGTGCCCTCATTTGCTGATATGGTCACCCAATATGTCATACCTAATTTTTCTCTCCTCATCCCCCAACTCCCCATTTCAACTTTAACCGAGTTTATTTTTTAAAGCATAGGATTATATACTAAATGGGAAAAAATGAAGAAGTCATCTAGTCATATTTCGCACTATGAGGATTCCTTTGACAAAATCCTTCACAAGATTCAGCCTCTCTGAACTTTCTGGCAGCTAATTCATTACCTTTTGAGGTGGTATTTTCCACTACTAGGCATCTCTAAGTTTTAAGAAAGGCTTCTTTATCTTCAGCTTTAATTTTATTCTTCTTCCCCAGTCTAACACTCTGTTTATAGTTTGGAATTCCTTTCTCAACCACGGGTTTTTGTAATGCCCAGATTAAGCCATCCATTGTATATTACAAACTAACTTCTTTTTAGTTATCTGAAAAAAAATTAGTTATATATTATCCTTGGGAAAATTGAGAAAATAGTTACTCAAGTCATTTTTTTTGCATTCAGATGAGGAACCTCATTTGAAAGGCTGCAGGGCTCTATCATTTACTAGCTATATGACCTTGGAAAGTTTATCTCCTTCACGCTGTTTTTCAGTAACAAAATGAAAGTAGAGTACCCCTCTTATGGGCTGCTGTGAGAATCAAATAACATATAAAGTTCCTTAGGAACACATACTTTTATCATGTTCACCACTTTATTCTAAGTGCTTACCGCAGGCAGTAGCAGGTACAGAGTAAGTTCTCAATAAATATCTCTATAAACAATAGAAGTCCTAGCACACTGACTTGCACATAGCACTCAATAAAAGGTAGCTATTACTATTCTTTCAATCATTCTTCCTATGATCTGGTTTCTAGAATTCTCACTATATTAATCACCCTCTTATGGAAGCTATCTTGTTTACTCAACATTCTTCTTAACACGTAGTTATAACAATTCAATACTATGTGGTGTATGGAGATTTTGCTTTATTTGAAGATAATTATTTTAAGGAAGTCTAAACAGACAAGCGTCTGCTGGGAAAAAGCTAGTCTACCTGCTTATATAAAGAGCTGGCACTTACAAAACCCATTAACTTTCTCAAAATACCACCCTTTAAACATTGGGAAATGTATGGTTAAGAGAACAAAAATAACAGCAAATAAGGAGTGATCAGCCAGGTAAGAGAAGAACCAGGATAGTGCAGTATTATGATGAAAAAAAAAAAAAAAAAGTCACTGCAACCAGTACTTATGTTTATTACTGTACCTAATAAACAGCCCAGCGTGGTGATTCCTATTCACTTAGTAGCCTCCCCATCTAGAATATACTCCGTGATCTTTCTTGATGGCCAGACTGTGTAAAATTCATACAGTGTTTACTACAGGGATCCCCAAATATTGTTAGTTGAATGAACAAACACACATTTCAAGGAGGGCACTACAGTGAGTAGATGAACAGTTTTCTGATAGGAGATTGTACAAGTAATGTTTTCACCAGTGTATTTTAGGACAGCAGATTCAGATTAATGCGCTGGGACTGAATGCAAATAGTAAAATTACAAATATAAAGTAAAAATTTGGAACCTTTGCCAAAGAAAGGAATAATAAATTGATTTAATAATTTGAAAGAACTGTAAGGTTTAGGTTTTGTTCTTATTTTTAGTGCGACTGAGATTGGAGTCTGTTTGTAGACATATCTGAAAAAAGTGAAGGGGGAGATGGAAGATGGTAAATGCCAAGGAAAAGATGGAAGGATAAATCAGTGTAATAAAAAGGAGCACTTCTTTTTCGCCAACAGAAGTAAAGGTAAAGGTTAAGTGTCTGAGTTAACGAATGGATTGTTGACCTCTGGGGAGGGTGCTCCCATCAGCTCAGCTTTGTGACGACCTAAGAATATCCCTTCCACACCTTTCCTGATCCAATCGTTCTGGCTGCATAAAACCACCTAAATCAATCAACTGTTACACTTCCCTTAGTGCTAGGACATATTCATATAACTCCCACGTATTAAATGAAAATACATCCATCTAAAAATAAAACAACACGATTGCTGCTACACCAAGAAAGGATTTTAAAAAGGCCTGTTCACAAGCTAAGTGAGGGCCAGAGGAAAGGTGTTCGTTTAAACTGAAATTCGAGCTGCGATAACACCTCCTAATGCAATCAAACGCTGTTGCAGCACACTTCTTAGGAGATCGGGTTCAACGGCAGGGATTGGGTAAGGTGAGAATCTGGCTTGGCGGCTCCGGCCCCGGCCATCTGGTTCCCTTGGGCTCCGGCCGCCACCATCCACTCGACGGCTCTCGGCCCGAACGCTTGGTCGCACCGCCTGCCGAGGTCCTAGATGAATCGCTTCAGGCCTGGAAACGAGGAAGCCGTCTCCGGAGACCATCGCCAACGCTGACGCCCGCGGTCTGAGGTCGCCATGGGAAGAGCGGTAGGCCACCCTGCTCCTCTGATCACCGGAGGACAGGGACACATTGTTCAGGGCCATATTCAAACACTGCCCGCAGTACTTGCGTTACGTCCCTTTGTGAAGGCAGGCCCTTCGCGGCTCCCCAGATCAGTCCAGCCTGTGTCGGACCCGATGACTAAGCACACAGGAACCCATAACTGAGCCTGCGGAAGAGCCAGAAGCCGCCTTGCCTTTAACGAGGGGTATCCTGGCGAGCATGCGCAGACCGTCCGCGCACGTCGTCGCCCGCTGAGAGCAAGCGCAACGGGCGTTTTCGTTTGTGACGCCAGGGAGCGTGAGGACGTGGGGCTTCCGTGAATGCGCAGTGGGTGCGTCGGCCACGACCTTTTGGCCAGGTTAGGGAGGGGGCGACGCTGAGATGGGGGCGGCGGCGGCGGAAGCGGATCGCACTCTCTTTGTGGGCAACCTTGAAACGAAAGTGACCGAGGAGCTCCTTTTCGAGCTTTTCCACCAGGTAAGCGGCTGGGTTCGGCCCTTTGCCTTTCGTTTTCCGTCTCGCCTAGGGCCTGGCCAGCGGCCACCCCGTTTTCTTTTCGTAGCCGTCAGGGGACCCGACGGGTGGCTGTTTGGGGGTGAAAGGCGGGTCTGGGTTGCGAAACGCTCGCTGGGTGTCGCTTTCCTGGAAGATCTTGGTTCGTTTAGGCCGAAAGTGACGACTAAAGGTGGTGGAGGGATCCTCGATCAGGTTTCCCGTGGTAGAGATCCAGGGGTCCTTGGGAACACAGTGTGTGTGTAGGGTCTTCGTTGAGCAGTGCTTTTTCTTATCCTTCCTGTTGTCATCTTCCCCTTAGGATAATTTGTCTTTGGTTTATCTGACTGGGAACTTAATATTTTAATTTATTTGTGTCTGTTTTCCCCTAAAGTTTGCTTATCAAATTGCAGCATTATTAAAATATGTAAAATAAAATGGTTAAGTACTCCGTAGAAAAACAGCATTTTAGTGTTGCTGTATTAAAAAGTGTGAAAAATTCTGAGTATCCTATTCCCCCCATCCCTATCCCCTAATAACTGGTATTGTTTGATTAATCAATACAAAAGTCCGTTTTTAGTTAAAGAAAATCATTCTCTTGTTCTTGATAAATGTTCATTTTCATGGAGTGGCAAAATAATGGCGATTGGTCACTATGTTAAGCCATACAGTGCTGTGAATTGCAAAAGTGATTGTGTTTCCAGTTCCTTATGGGCCCCCTTCCCCAAATAAATCTAATGTTCAGTCATAACTAGGATGTTTACTGTAGCCAAAATGGAAATCCGTGCATCATTTTCAAAAGAAGTTTCTGATTACGTTTCTGTTGTTTTTAAACTTTGTCATATCTTATTTGTAAAATTTGAGTATTTTCCCTTAGTTGCTTTATTTAAATTCTAAACACCTTTTTGTTTGTAGGCTGGGCCAGTAATAAAGGTGAAAATTCCAAAAGATAAGGATGGTAAACCAAAGCAGTTTGCGTTTGTGAATTTCAAACATGAAGTGTCTGTTCCTTATGCAATGAATCTACTTAATGGAATCAAACTTTATGGAAGGCCTATCAAAATTCAATTTAGATCAGGTAACTGCCCAATGAGGTTCGGGGGGCATTGTTTCCTGCTGTTTTTAAATTTATTATTCAGTTTTAAAGAACCTCTTATTTGTAGATGAAACTTCTTTCTTAAGCATTGTGAATAGTAAACTTTATATAGCAAACTTTATATATCCCTGAAAACGGGTAACATTGACACATGGATTTTGAAATTAGAATTTCAAAACTGAGCTTAAAGTTTCATTTTGGGTTAGTGAAAAAACATAAACTGTATCACTAAGAGAGCTGGGCTTGGGTACTCTGAAAAGAGCTAGGTTTATTTTCTGAAAATACTTCTCCTGGCTGCTTTGTAATTACTTTTATATATTTTGGTTCTTGATCATGTGAGGATGAAACTGTCCATGTATCCAGTGTTACAATTTAGGGTGGAGATCAGAAAATTATGGTCAGATTGGATATTTATGGAGTGCTTTGTTTTGCTTATCTGATATTATACACTTATAATTTTCACCCCGATGAAGCCGTAAAGCGGTCTACAGCAGCTTGAGATTCTTTTTTTTTTTTTTTTTTTTTTTTTTTTTTTTTTTTTTTGAGATGGAGTCTTGCCCTGTTGCCTAGGCTGGAGTGCAGTGGTGCAATTTCAGCTCACTGCAACCTCTGCCTCCCAGGTTCAAGTGATTCTCCTGCCTTAGCCTCCTGAGTAGCTGGGATTACAGGTGCACGCCACCACGCCTGGCTAATTCTTTGTATTTTTAGTAGAGGTGGGGTTTCACCATGTTGGTCAGGCTGGTCTCGAACTCCTGGCCTCGAGAGATGTGCCCACGTCAGCCTCCCAAAGTGCTGGGATTACAGGCGTCAGCCACCGCGCCCGGCCAGTAGTTTGAGATTTTTCTCTTTTAGATTGTGTTTACCTTTTTGGAGTGATTTCAAGTGGGGAAGACAAAATTTCAAATTAGATTTTCTATCAAGAATAATTTTTCAAATTGTTTCATTTTAGGAAGTAGTCATGCCCCACAAGATGTCAGTTTGTCATATCCCCAACATCATGTTGGAAATTCAAGCCCTACCTCCACATCTCCTAGCAGGTAATATTTCTCACTTATTGTTAAGATCATTTATCAGGAATTCTTATAGGGAATAGCCTCAAAACACATGAGTAAATAGTCTCCTTCATTATTCTCTTATCTCTTCATTCTGCCGTTATTACTTGCCTTTTGGGGTTGTTGTTATGTATCTATTCTAAGGGGTATAGAATGTGTCTATTCTATAGACAAACACATTGTATATAGTCCCCTTAGAATAGATACGTATATAACTATTTGTTGATTTGTAGCGACATAACCATACCCACATATGTGTACAGTACATGTATACACTTGAAACAAAATTTCTCAAAACATTATTTACCCTCACTACTTGGATTACTATTTCATTTAAAACATTTTAAAATTTATTTTACAGTCATTAATTGGTTGTTACTTACAGTTGAAAAATACCAGTTAGTCAACAGTCTATTGGACTAAGAATTCCTAGAATTGGATTCTAGGTCTGCATCTATCAATTGTGTAATCTTGAGCTAGTCTCCTTTCTTTAGTCCCGTCTTCCCATGTGTAAGGAAAATAAGTTGAATTAAATGATTTGTAAAATCTCTTCAGGTACTGAGTATTAGAAAATATCATATTTACTTAAATGATTTTATTTGCTTTGGGGAGGTTCATATTTTACCAGGGACAATTTTTCCCGGTATATCCATAAAGCTATTTAACAGTCATTTAAGAAAGATTTAATAAATACCTGCCATATGTCAGGTTCTTCACCATATCTTTTACATATATGATTTCATTTATTCCTCACAGCAGTTTTATGAGGGTAGGGATTATTTTTATCTCTACCTCTTATATGAAGGGAAATGAAAAATGGAGGTTAACTTGCTCAGGTTCAGTGGGCTGGGATTCAAACCCAGGCAGTGTAGTGTGATTGAGCCCAGCCACTATGATGTATTATCTAGAGGAGCTTAAAGTCTAAATGAAGACACATATTATATATATTTTTGTGAATACCTGTTCAATTACTGTAATAAGTTCTCTAAAGAAAGAGTACAAAGGGCTTTGAGAAAATTTTAAGAGAAGGAGATGATATAGATGAATGTGGAACTGAAAGAAGCCAGTGTACCTAGATCATAATGAATGAAAATGGAGAGCAGTAGGGGATTTTGGTAGATAGGCTGGAGAGGGTCTTTTAAACTATAATCAGGATTTTGAGATTTTACCCTAAAATGGAGTAGGAAGGCAGTGAAATGTTTTAGGTAGGGTACTGATAGGAACAAGTTTATATTTTAAGAGTTGTTTGGTTGCAGTGGGAGAATGGATTGGAGGGGGCAAGAGTGAAAATAGAGCAGTGAGGAAGCTTTTGGTAGCAAGGCATTGATGTTGGAAGCTATTGATGGATGAGGTTGATAGTTTAGATTAAGGTGGTGCCATGAGCTGGAGAGAAGTGGATGGATATGAAGAGATACTAGAAAGTGGAATAGTGAGCCAGCAATAGTGCAAAAAGTGTACCCTCCCGGTGTTCTTTCTTGCCAGCTGAAATTAATTAACAGTGTTTAAACATTTCTTGGTAAAGTTGGCATTTAAAGCACTTCCAGCCCCTTTAATGGAGTCTTCAAAGGCATCCTAGGTAGAGGAAAATAAAAAGTTTTCCCTCTTAGAATTTCTTGGGGAGAAAAAACCAGGTGCAGTGACCCATTCGTATAGTCCCAGCTACTTGGAAGGCTGTGGTGGGAGGACCACTTGAGGCCTTGAGTTTGGGACTAGCCTAGGCAACATAACAAGGCACTCTCTCTATTTAAAGAATTTCTTTGAAAAAAAAAAAGTACAAGTAAATACTTTGGTTTTAATCAAAGGCTAGAGAGTTTATAATTTTTATACTATAAACTAAATTGTACTGCCCCCCTCAGCATACAGATAATATAACCTGATTTGAAAAAACGCAAAATTAAAAGATCCAAAGTGTAAGACCAGCCAATTGGCTATTTGATTCTAAAGACATTTAAAAATAATTTAAAACATTTTTAAAGTGAGCTTTTCTGTAGAGCAAGTTATCCCTTTAATAAATAGGGAATAAGGTATAAATCCTCAAAAGTAATATCCTATGTATGTTACAGAACTCTTAATTCCTTACCTCCCAAAACCTCTTTCTCTTTTTTGTCTCGGGAAATATCTACCTAATTGCTCAAGCCAAGTCTAGATTTGATCCTTTGTTTCTTCCCTCATTCCACATATCCAGTCGATCAAATTCTTTTCATTTTAGTTTTCAATCTAGGTCTTTGCATTAGCTCAGGGACTGACAAATTATTTCTAGAAAGGACCATATAGTTAATATTTTAGACTTTGCAGAAGATACTGTTTCTGTCTCTGCCATTGTAGCACTAAAGTAGCCATAGATAATACAAAAACAATGGTGTGGCTATGTTCCAGTAACACTTTGTTTAGGGAAAACTGAATTTGGCAGTTTGGCCCACTGGCTATACTTGCTCACCCCTGCACTAGTCCTTCAGCTGGGAAGTTTTTGCCTCTAGGTAACCTTGGTGTTCAGTTCTAACTACAAATGTCACCTTTTTAGAAAGGCAGTCGCTCACCAGCTAAAAGATAGGGGAACCTCCTATCTGTTTCACTTCCACTTGATCTTTAATCATACGTTTTATCACTTAAAATCATGAGAAAATATCCTGTTGTCTGTATTCTTATTCTGGCTGCATGAGAGCAGATACCTTTCCTGTCTTGTTCATTCCGACCTTTGAGAAATGTGTTCTGCTCATGGTTGTTAGTTAGTAAATATTTATTGAATGAATGGTTACATGTTGGTTTTCTTTTTAGCAGGTACGAAAGGACTATGGATAACATGACTTCATCAGCACAGATAATTCAGAGATCTTTCTCTTCTCCAGAAAATTTTCAGAGACAAGCAGTGGTAGGTTGACTATTTTTCAACTTGAATTGCCAAAAAAAAATCATCCTTAGTTAAAATGTTCGCATTGTATCAAATAACTGGTTTTTAATTAACTTTGTTAAGTTGGAGGTTTTGTTCCTTTAGTCCTCAAGGCGTAAGTGAACTTTTTAGATAACTTTTTCTCAAATTTTTGTTAGACTAGCATGATTTGTAGATTGAGCACTCATTTTAGTTTTCACTGGGCTGAAATATATACTTAAAAGACTGAAGATAAATAGAAGTAAAACTGCTTTTACATTTGTTTTTCTTTTCAACCATCATTTACTCATTGTCTGATGCTCCTGTACCCTATCCTGAGTGACTTATCATAAACTTGGGTCTTCTAGACCAGTTCCATTTTAAACTTAACCTTTTCTTTTTTTGGTGGTGGTAACATCATCATGAGACTAGGCTTAAAATCTTAGCTATCTTTCACTGTTTCATCTTTGTCATCATTTGTTCAAGTAGGAAGCTGTTGGTAACTATTTGGTGCCTAAATCATGATCTTGACTTGTAGTCCCCAGGCTTTTGTATTTCATAGGTCTGCAAAATGAAATATAGAAGTCAAAATAAATTTGAGAGACCAGTATAAAGGATGTTAACTTTTATGTACATATTGCCTATTTTTCTAATTGTACCGTAGACTATTAAAATAAAAATGATCATATACTAATATTTATCCACAGGCAGAATTTGGGAACCACCGGTCTAGTCAATTATGCCCCCATTTTCCCCTCACTAGTTCATCTTGCACACCATTTCAGAATTAATATTACAATTCTGTTTTGCTTATCTTCCTTGCACATTGACTTTCCATTGTTTGTAAGATGAAGTCAGATTCCTCTAGCCCAATTATTAGGGATTCTTATTGTCTGATTCCAGTAAACCCTGTAGCCTTACCTTTAATTGTTCACTGCTTATTAAGATCTGAAGGCCGGGTGCGGTGGCTAACGCCTGTAACCCCAGCACTTTGGGAGGCTGAGGTGGGTGGATCACGAGGTCAGGAGTTCGAGACCAGCCTGGCCAAGATGGTGAAACCCCGTCTCTACTAAAAATACAAAAATTAGCCGGGCGTGGTGGCACAGGCCTGTAGTCCCAGCTACTTGGGAGGCTGAGGCAGGAGAATCGCTTGAACCCGGGAGGTGGAGCTTGCAGTGAGCCGAGATCTGTAACCTGTCTCAAAGAATTACTTGGTATTCTATGAACCTGTTCTGTGTTTCCCTGTTATTTTTGTTTGTGCAATTTCCTTTTCTTGGCATATCTCTCCCTTAAAATATGAAAATATTCCATCCATTGTTTTAATACCCAGATCATATGCCACCTTCATGAAACCTTTCCTAATGATACTGATCTCCTGATTCTTTGTTTTTTACACAGTGATTTTGCATTATAGTCATTTTGTGTGACTTATTCTGAGTTGCATTCTTGAGGACAAAGAGTAGTATTTATGTATATATATGTATCTTGTAGGTATACATTGGAATGATTGAAGCTATTGTACTGCTTTAGTTGTGGATCCATCTAGGCAAGAGTGACTTTATTTTCTTTCATTTTCTGTTAACTGACCAAATACATATTAGCTTTGATATCTAGAAGTATTAACATTTCCACTTTTCCTATTCCTCAGATGAACAGTGCTTTGAGACAAATGTCATATGGTGGAAAATTTGGTTCTTCACCTCTGGATCAATCAGGATTTTCACCATCAGTTCAATCACACAGTCATAGTTTCAATCAGTCTTCAAGCTCCCAGTGGCGCCAAGGTACACCATCATCACAGCGTAAAGTCAGAATGAATTCTTATCCCTACCTAGCAGATAGACATTATAGCCGGGAACAGCGTTACACTGATCATGGGTCTGACCATCATTACAGAGGAAAGAGAGATGATTTCTTCTATGAAGACAGGAATCATGATGACTGGAGCCATGACTATGATAACAGAAGAGACAGTAGTAGAGATGGAAAATGGCGCTCATCTCGACACTAACACATGTTAAAAGGACATTGTTTTTATAGGGTCATTTTAGGCCCTTTGACTAAGTTGATATGGAAATATTTTGTTGAAAAACTGTACAGAGCAGCTTTACAAGTTGTCACATTTCTTTATAAATTTTTTTAAAGCTACAGTTTAATACAAAATGAATTGCGGTTTTATTACATTAATAACCTTTCACCTCAGGGTTTTATGAAGAGGAAAGGGTTTTATGCAAAAGAAAGTGCTACAATTCCTAATCATTTTAGACACTTTAGGAGGGGGTGAAGTTGTATGATAAAGCAGATATTTTAATTATTTGTTATCTTTTTGTATTGCAAGAAATTTCTTGCTAGTGAATCAAGAAAACATCCAGGTTGACAGTCTAAAATGGCTACTGGTATTTTAGTTAATTCAAAAATGAAACTTTTCAGTGATTCACTTTACTAACATTCTATTTGAGAAGGCTTATTGGTAAAGTTTGGGGATAAAGGCATTGCTTAACTTCTTATATAATTTAGGTATAAATTCTGTGACATGCTCTTGAGCTTTACCCTAGTTGAACATACATGTGTAGATTTACACATACTGTTTCATTCTAAAATTTAGAAATTGTTCATTAAATCCCATTTGAGGTATAAGTCACTCAGGAAGTTAAAATATCTCTACACGTATATTTTTACATTAAAAATACAGTGTTAGCATAAATCCCCTTTTCAGGAAGAACAAAAATGTCAGTGCATAGTTAGATAAAATGGTAAAATGTTTTACTGAAAGCATACTTTTTTGGAAAATAGATTCATGAAGCCTTTAAGTGCTGCTTCTGTCAGTCAAACGTTAAAAACTTTAACATTTTCAAAGTGCCCAGACTGTGTACAAAGACACATGTAATGGAGATTGTACAGGTTGTTTTTTTGTTTGAACCTTTGAAAGAGTTTAATCTTAACGTTTTCTAATTTTAAAATTTTAAAATCTTGTTTAACAAAAGCTTGTATTAAGATACTGTTTTCATTTCATTACAGAATTGTTTATAAAAGTTCATTTGTTGAAAAATAAGGATCCTTTTTAATACCACAGCATTTGTACTGTTCCTTTTTAATATACTGAAAATATAAAAGGAAGGGTGTGTGTTATTTTTTTTTTTTTATGTCACTGACTTCAGAGACATTGTACACAAAGAATTAACATACTTTTATTCACTGATTGCCTGCTGTTTAGAATATCAGTTCTTTAATTTTGAGCATCCTGAAATACATCTTTTGTACATATAGAGCATGATGTTTCACAATCAGATTTTCAGTGACCCCTCGATTATAGCTTGGAGTACTTTAGTTACCCTCAGTGGTCTCTAGGAGTTAAAGTACACTTAGATTTCCTGTTTATAAATGAATTCAGTTTTTCTGTTTCTAAGTAAATGTAGCTATTCAACTACTCACTATAGAATTAAGATAAACAATTTGTTTGCTTAAGCATTTTCACAGAATTTGTTTCCAATGAGATTATTATTTTTGGGTATCTTATCCATATGAAAACTTAGTAGGTTTGTAGATGTTAACGAAGATTAATACTGCATGTTTGTTTTTGTTTTTTTTTTGAGACAGAGTCTTGCTACGACACCCAGGCTAGAGTGCAATGGCGGGATCTCAGGTCACTGCAACCTCCATATCCCGGGTTCAAGTGATTCTCCTGCCTTAGCCTCCCGAGTAGCTGGGATTACAGGCACCCACCACCACGCCTGGCTAGTTTTTGTATTTTTAGTAGAGATGGGGTTTCACCACATTGGCCAGGCTGGTCTCAAACTCCTGACCTCAAGTGATCCACCTACCTTGGCCTACCGAGGTGCTGGAATTACAGGTGTGAGCCACCGCGCCTGGCCTAATACTGCTTTATTACAACGTTATCTGTGGGTCGGATCCTTTTATATTGGTTAACAGATGACCCTGACTCAGAATAATCTTTTTCAATGGCTTTTTGAGGGAAGCTTGTGAAGTTCTGGTGAATCTTCTTTTTCACTTCACTTTCAGTGAGCTGAAAGTAACCAAACTAAATACATGTATTGTGTAAAGGGACAGGACAAGACAGCCTTAAAAAATTGAATATAGTTGGTGAGACAACTCAGAAGTACAGGTTTGAGCATCCCTTATTCAAAATGCTTGAGAAGTGTTTTGGGTTCTGGAATATTTGCATTAATGCTTGCCAGTTGAGCATCCCAGGTCCGGAAATCCACAGTGCTCCAATGAGCCTTTCCCCTGAGTGTCACATCTGTATTGGCACTCAAAAAGTTTCATATTTTGGAGCATTTCAGATTTCAGATTTGGGATGCTTCATCTATATTGACAGCTGCAAGAACAGAAAGGAAGAAGAGATTATTTTTGTGGGAGAACAGTTTCTCCCATAGTGTTTCCTGTGGAATGCTAGTGTCTCATAAAGTCTTCTAAAAAAAAGAAAAAAAAAATCAAATGTTTGGAAGCCATTTTGTGTTACTGTGTGACTTTCTTTTACTCAAAAACAGCACCATAAAATTTCTGACAAGTACTATAGGTAAAGAAATCCCTTTATACTTAACCTAGTATTTTCTACCTTTCCCCATCTAAAATAAAATTTTTATACCACTTTCTAATTATGTTGTGTGTGCCCACTTTCCCCATACCTACTGCTACCATCTTAGAGTAGGCAATTTTCTCAAGAGGATTATTCCAAGAACACCCTAATGTTTTCCTGCTTCCAGTCTTCTTTCCTCAAATTTATTCCACACTCTTAAGAATTGAAGATGTAAATCTGTCACTCGCCTGAATAAAGCTTCAGTGGCCTCTGACTTAAGTACAAAATTCTCAACTTAATATGACCCCTATTTGGCATGTGCTACTTCAGTCTCCTCTGATGACTTCCCCACTTTAGTTCTCATAGTAACTGCCCTTCACTGCTCAATCTATGCATTACTTCCTCTAGAAAGCCTTTCCAGAGCTCTGAAATCCAGATTCAGTGCCAAGTTATGTATTCCCCAAATATCTTTTTCTTTTATCATAGCCTTTAGACTGTATTATAATTTTCTTTTTACTTGTCTGTCTCTGTAGACAGCTCTATGAAGACAGACCTTATCTTATTCATCACTGCATTCCCAGGATCCAGTGCCTGGCATATATTTAACAGTGAAACTTTTTGATGAAAGGAAGAACGTCTGTTAATTGAATAAGGAAAAGGAGGATTCAACACATAAAACTTTGAATAGGCTCTCTAAACCTAAAACATTGCATCCTGAGAATTACATGTCACAGTACATGTATTCTAGAATTCTATTTGTTCATTTTGTCAAACTTCAAAAAGTTTTGGATCTGTATTCATGAATAATGTGTGACTTTGTTTTTATTTTATTTTAATTTATTTATGGCAGAGCCTCACTCTGTCACCCAGGCTGGAGTAGAGTGGCACAATCTCAGCTCACTGCTACCTCCGCCTCCTGGGTTCCAGTGATTCTCTCACCTCAGCCTCCCGAGTAGCTGGAATTACAGGCACCCACCACCACGCCTGGCTAATTTTTGTATTTGTAATAGAGACGGGTTTTCCCCATGTTGGCCATGCTGGTCTTGAACTCCCAACCTCAGGTGATCTGCCTGACTCGGCCTCCCAAAGTGCTGGGATTACAGGCATGAGTCACTGTACCAGCCTGATTTTGTTTTTTAATTGTATTATCTTAGTTTGGTTTAGGAGTATGGTTCTGCTAGCCTTATAAAATAAATTGGCAAGCTTATCATCTTCTATGCCCCCCCCCAAATTTGAATAATAAAGGAATTAGCCGTTTCTGCAAGATGTGTTGAACTCATTTATACAACTATCTGGGTTTGCTTTGGAAATAGCTCTTTGATTGCTTTATCAATTTCCTTTAGAGTTATCTTTTCAGGTTTGCTACTTTCTCAGGAAACAATTTGGATAATTTATACTTTTCAAGAAAATCAACCATTCCCTTTTTCTGAATATATTGCTATAGAGTTGTACATAGTATTTCTTATAATTTTTGTAAAACTCCTAATATTGTCAATAGTGCAGTTTTAGTTTCTGACGATATATTTTACCTTCCCTCTCATCCTCAGATGAGACTGGCTGTGCTGTTTTGGCATACATCTTACATTTATATATGTTATAAGCCCCACACTACCTTGTTTTTGTTAGGCAGATTCTTAAATAATAGAAAATTATATATAATACTTAAGAAAAAATAGGAAAAAAAATCTTACTATTTACCCCCATAGTTACCATTTCTGGAGCTCCTCATTCCTTTGTGTTAGATCCATTTATCTATCTGGTATTATTATTCTGCTTGAAAGACTTCCTGTGGTATTTCCCATAGGGCAGCTTTGCAGGTGATGAAATCTTTTAGCTTTTGTATATCTAAAAAAGTCTCTTTCAGCATTTTGAAATATATTTTGAAGAATATTTTGAAATATATATTTAAATAAATTCTAGGTATAGAATTCTAAATTGATGAGGTTCTTTTCTTTCAATTCATAAAAATAGTTGGTCCATTGTTCTCTTGATTATTTCCCATAAGGAAATCTTACACATAATGTGTCATTTTTCTCTAGCTGGTTTTGAGCAATTGATTACTATGTGCCTTGACATAGTTTTCTTCATGTTTCTTGTGCTTGGGGTGCATTGAGCTGCATGAATCTGGAGTTTTCACCTGATTTGAAAACAACTTTAGACATTTGAATTTTTTAATACCAATTTTCCTCTCCTTTGGAAACTCCAATGCATTTATATGAGGCTGCGTGATTTTGTTATATAGCTCTCTGGTAAGTATAAAATGTTATTTTATTTATCTTTTGAAATTTCATTTATTTATAGACAACGTCTCACTCTGTCACCCAGGCTGAGTGCAGTGGTGCGATCACAGCTCACTGCAGCTTCAACTTCCTGGGCTCAAGTGATCCTCCCACCTCAGCCTCCCCAGTAGCTGGGACTACAGGCACATACCACCACGCCTGGCTAATTTTTTATTTTTAGTAGTGTAGAGATGGGGTCTTGCTATGTCACCCAGGCTGGTTTTGAACTCCTGGACTCGCATAAGCAATGTGATCCACCTCAGCCTCCCAGTGTTGGGATTACAAGCGTGAGCCACCACAACTGGCCTATTTATCTTTTTCTTAGAGACAGGATCTCCCTCTGTTGCTAGGCTGAAGTGCAGTGGCACAATCATAGCTCACTGCGGCCTCAAACACCTGGGCTTAAGTGATCCTGCTGCCTCAGCCTCCCCGGTCGCTAGGACTACAGGAACACACCATCATTCCTGGCTAATTTTTTCTAAAAAAAATTTGTTGCCTGGCTGGTCACTAACTCCTGGCCTGAAGTGATTCTCTTGCCTCAGCCTCCCAGAGAGCTGGGATTGTGGGCATGAGCCATCTTGCCCAGCCTAGTACAAAGTTTCTAAAATTACTTTTTCTCTTTTTGTTCATTGTGAATAGTTTCTAATGCTATGACTTCATCTTTACTAATCTTTTCTTTTGCAATGTCCAATTAGCGATTTTCAATATAATCTTCATTTTAATCATTGTAGTATTCCTCATAACTTTTTTGGGAGGATCTTTTCAATGTCTTTTTTCTTTTTTTAAATTTCAAGTTATTTACCTGATCATGGATCTTTTTTTATATCTTTGTTGTCTCTACCTACATTTTGAACATTTAAAATATACTTTATAGTAATTTTTAATGTCCTCATCTGCTAATTCTAGTATCTTTGTTGGTTCGGGGTTGGTGTCCCACCCTCCTCATTAGTAGATGTGTTTTTGTGCTCTTTATATGCTTTATAATTTTAATTGTATGCTGGGCATTCTGAATTTTACCCATAAAGTAAAATTATTATAGTATTTGTATTTCTATAAATAATCGTGAGTTTTGTTCTGGGACACAGTTAAGTTACTTATAAACAATAGTGTCCCTTCAGGACTTGCTTTTAAGGTTTGTTAGGTGGCATTTGACAAGTATTTAGTCTTGGGTTAATTCACCCCATTAGTGAGGCAAGACTCTTGAATACTCTAATAGGTAGATGCCTCATGAGTTATGAAATGTCCCATTCTGGCTAGTGGGAACAGACACTGATTGTGGTCATATGTGAGTGCTGAGAAGTATTCCCTCTCATTCTTTTGGGACATCCTTTCTCCATCTTTAGGTAGTTTCTTCAAACCTGTATACTGATCAGCTGTCTCATGAATACGGGAGAAAACCTGCAGGTCTCCGAGAGTTCTCTCCCTGTGCAACTTATCGCTTTTCAGTGCTGTGTACCGGCCATTCCAGCTGCCTTTGTTTCGCTGGACTCTCAGCTGTGTCTTCTGAACTCAGTGAGTTTGCCAGGCTCTGCCTGCCCTGTCCCCCAACCCCACACAATGCAGCCTAAACGTTCCCTCAAGGTAGCACGCAAGGTAATCATGCGACTCACTTCATTTGTTTTCTGTTCCTCTGGGATCACTGTCCTTTGTTCCTGATATCCGTGGTCTTGTTTTACGTATTTTGCCTTTGTATTGGGTGGTTCAGGCAGGAGGGTAAATCTAATCCCTATTACTCCATCTTGGCCAGAAGTTGAAGTTAACCTATGGATTTTGATTTGTAATGCACTCACTCTTCTTCATTTTTAATAGTCTGTATTTTTAGTTTTGATTTTTCTCTTTTAACTTTAGATATTCAGAGGAGTCTTTATTTCTAAATGACCTTTTTTCTCCATTCTTCTGTTGTGATTTCTAATTTCATGGCTTTGTAGACAGAGAATGTAACCTATGTAATAAAAACCCATAAAGAGACAAACCAGATTGCTAACAGGTTGATAACAGGATTTTTCTAGGTTGCCTGGCAATGAGTTAGCTAGGCTGAACCGCTGCTCAAGCACACCTCTCCAGAAGATGCCAAGAGAGTCTAGACCCACATCCAACCTCCCTGGCTGAGTCTGTCATGCACTGTGTGACTCCGGCATGGCCTCACATTAGTTGCATGGTATTTGCTTCATGATTTCTTTTCCCAACTTCTATAATGGTTTCATGGATGTTTGAAAAAGATTTGTTTTCTCTGTGTCAAAATTTTATCTTTACAAAATGCTCTCTTACCTGATAAGATTTGTAAATGCAAAAGTCAGACTGAGGGGTCATTTAAAAAATAAAACATTTCTATGCATTTTATTTTAATGTAATACACAAAAATATACATTCAGTTGTCAGTCTTTTGATGCAGGGCCAGGACCTTTTTTTAGTCTTTTAAAAAAAATCTTGAGTACACTGATTGGAGTTCAGTCTGCTTTCTTGTATAAATCACTACCAGACTACATTGCCTATGATTTCTAATTTGGGTTTCTTTATGGTGCAAGGCAAATGTAGAGAAACTGGTGGAGTATTCAAGTTTTCCAAGATTCTCTCTCAAATCATTTTACAGTTGTCTTATGCATACTTATCTGACAACAAATTTCAAAACGATCCATCTTTATTGAATCTTTACAAAGTATTCAACTAGTTTTCTAGAAAGAACTACTATTTTTTACCTTCATATTTTATTAGTTTGTATAATATTTAAAAATAAATTATTAATAAGATCTGACATTAGAAGGTCTGGAATAACTTGACTGGTGAGAGAAAAAGTGGGTGAATATACGAAAGTGGCTTACTCCTCTAGCCTTCGCATGTCAAGGGCATTGGCATTTGTTATAGAAAGAATACAGAACATCAGTTAATCCAATGAATCAGGTATGTGGCATTAAAAGAGCTTCTAATATGATACATAAGGCTTGTTAATTATATTTTTCAAATTCTTGATATTTTTTCTCTTCTTAATCTCTTAATTCTGAGAGAGATGATTTTACTTCCTCATTTTTCTCTGAGTATGTCTGTCAGTTTTTGCCTTGTGTAACTCCAAGCTATGCTAGTTGCAAAAAGAATGATAACATTTCTTCATCATGTACTATAAACTTTATCAATGTAAATACCCTTGGCCCATTTTCATTCTTTTAACTTTTAATTCTATTTTGTTTTATATTACTATCATCATTTCTTTATTTTAATTAATATTTGTCTAATATGTCTTTGTCTATTGGTTAATTTTTAGTACTTCTCTGCCATTTGAATTCAGGAGAGTCTCTTATGTTCTGATGTATTCCTGCTATGCTTTCTTGTATGTGTATATTTGTGATATTGATCACCTTTCTTTGTTCTTTTTCTTTCATCTACTGCAGCATTTCATAACTCTGAGTGCAAACTGTAACCACCTTTCAAAAAGAAAATAGTGCCTAAACTTTACCCCAAAATCTCAGAGGAAGAGAGTGATACCAGTATTTTTTTTAAAGACTAATATTCTGTTAGGGTTGAGAACTCTAGTATCATACTATTTTTATTCCCATGGTGCTTCCCCTTAAATTCTCAGCAATCACAAACTTGTCATTTTCTATCAATGGACAGACTGAAACAGTTGTATCAGTCAAGGTCAAAATCAGAGAAGCAGAACAAAGAGTGATCTAGAATAAGAGTCTGATTCTAGGGATTCAAACATTATGCCACTGGGATTGCTGGTGGAGTAATCTGCTGGCCTGCATGTGGTGCTGGGCCTGAAGTCACCGTGGGTCAGCCAGACTAGCAGTTGGGAAGGAAAGGTGAACAAGAACAAAAGCAGGAACCAACCACAAACTTCTAGAAAAAGATGGAGCTTACATCTGTCTTTCATTACTCCACCTTATGTGACTTGGATGGCCTGAGGCCTGCAGGAGTAGCTGGCACCTCTAGCTATAGGGCTGCACATATCTTTGGCCCAGAACACAGAGAAGTTTGAGGAGATGTGTCAGCAGCTGGAGGAGCTGCTGGTTGGGTGCTGCCACATGCCAACAAGGTGAGCCAACAAGGTGAGCCAGGGGATCAGCAACAATGTGCATGAGGTTCCACAGTGCCTGGCATCCTGCATTAATCTTCCAGAGGGTAAAAATTATGGCTGCTACTTCCCTGTGACTTCCAAATCTCAAGCAAATTTCTCTTGTGGTCAACTGCATTGCAATTCTGACACTAACTGCTTGGAGTTAGGCCAAATTTCACAGGCTAAGGGCTCAGTCCTCTATGAGACTGCTCTCAATTCAGACATCAGCCACATGCTCAGGGATTCCCAGGCCACCCACACTTCTGGCCAACTGGCTACAAATTCAACAGTTTCCACTACTTTCTTAGGTTTAATAACTTGCTAGAAAGACTCACAGAACTTTGGAAAAAGCTATACTTAAGATTACAGATTTATTAAAGCAAAAGAAAACACATCAAAACCAGCCAAAAGGGGAGATGCATAGAGTGAGACCCAGGCGGGTCCTGAAGGTGAAACTTCTGTGTTCACTCCCTGTCACTGTGTATTATCAGCCTGGAACCTTATCCAAGCTTTAATAGCCAGAGTTTTTACTGGAGTTTCATTACATACGCATCATTGAATCCTTGGCCATGTGATTGAACTCAGTCTCTGGTCCCCTCCAATCCCAATCAATATCAGACTGATACCACATGGCATAAAGCCCCAACCCTATAATCATGTGGTTGACTTTTCTAGCATGGCCTGGCCTCATCCTGAAATATCTAGGGACCCTGTAGAGGTCATCTTTGTAGCATAAATGATCAGGGCTCACCAGGAATAATAAAGACACTCCTGTCACTTGGGAAATTCCAAGAATATAGAGGTTGTCTCCCAGGAACCAGGAACAGAGGCCAGTCAAATCCTGGCCTTTGTTGGCACTGGTGTACAACACCAACTCTAAATGGAAACTAGACAGAGAAAGGAATTCCGGGAACCATAGTTCCACCTCAGCTAAGTAGACACAGTACAAAGCCACTACAACAGTATTTATTATATCTGTCTCCCCTACACTCCACCAAGAAAATACCTTCAGCAAACTCTATTAGTCCATTCTCATGCTGCTATGAAGAGATACGTGAGACCTAAGACTGGGTAATTTATAAAGGAAAGAGGTTTAATTGATTCACAGTTTAGCATAGCTGGGGAGGCCTCAGGAAACTTACAATCATGGTAGAAGGGGAAGCAAATACATTCTTCTTCACAAGGCAGCAGGAGAGAGAAGAATGAGAGCTGAGCAAAGGGAGAAGCTTATAAAACCATCAGATCATGTGAGAACTCACTATCACAAGAACACTAGCATGGGGATAACCACCCCCATGATTCAGTTACCTCCCACCAGGTCCCTCCCACGACACATGGGAATTATGGGAACTACAATTCAAGGTGAGATCAGCTAAGCCATATCACATACCTTCACATTCCTTGCTGCTTCTCTTCTGCCTCTCACATAAAGACCACTTCTACTGCAGTGCTTTAACACAATCACTTAGATTTTAGGTTCACATTGTCATTAATATTTTAAAACATTATCCCATCTCATCTAAAAAAGTTGAACTCATAGAAGTAGAGAGTAGAATGGTGGTTATCAGAGGCTAGTGGGGTAGACAGGGAAAGGGGAGGCATTGATCAAAGGGTACAAAGTTTTAGTTAGACTGGAGGAATACATTCTGGTGTACTATCACATAGCATGGTGATCACAGTTAATAATAATGTATTATGTATTTCAAAATAGCTAAAAGAGGAATTTTAAATGTTCCGAAGATCAAATTCTAAACTATTATGTTTATTTTAATTATGTGTGGCAGCATTGAACATAGACAAAACTGCTTTAGTGGCTTGATTTATGAAATTCTTATGTTTTATGCTTAAAATAAGAAATTGTTTAGTTTTTATTATTCTGGTAATTTTCTGTCTATCAATGATAATAGCAAAGATGCCAAGGGCATAACTACTTCTGCAACAATTACAGTTATATGTAGTTTATATTCTCAGTAAATGAAAAGCCAAATTGAACAGAATCATTGTTATATTTATCTTAATATTGACTTTTGAAATACAAAGCTCTATTGATATACCATTTTAAAATTATTTGTGTTGCTTTTACAATTTATTTCTTAGAATAGATAATACATTTGTGTGGTTCAAAAATCAAAACAATATTAAAAGGTGTATATTGCGAAGTATTCCACTCAATCCTGTTCCTGTCAGCTCATTCCCTACCAGTTCCCAGTAAGGAATCATTTTCTTAGTTTGTGTCTTTCTACTGTTTCTTTATCAAATATATTTTCATGTTCTCTATTTTTTTTCACATGGTGCTTTTTGCACTTAATATAACCCAGAGGTCTTGAGTTGTGATTATTTGAATGCAATTTTTATGGATCTGATAAGAACATTTTTCAGGAAATTTGCAGATTACCATTTTATGTGTCTTATTGCTTTCCTTTATTTTGGCATCAGGGTACAATATACTTTCTTTTCTAAAAAAAAATAATAATGTTTCCTTAAATAAACATTAATATTTCTTTGCCTAAGAAATAAGAGAGTGACCCAGTTCCTAGCAGTGAAGGTAAAAATTCATTTGTTTTAATTATCTATTGCTTTTTAACAAGCCACCCTAAATCTCACTGGCTAAAAAAACAATCATTTGGCCAGATTCAACAGGGATGGCTCTTCTCTGCTCCACTTAGCATCACTGAGGTGACTTAATGGGGGCTGAAAGATCCACTTTCAAGGTGGCTTACTCACATGGCTATCAACTTGGGGCTGGCTATTGTCTGGGTGCTCAGAAAGGGCTGTGAGATGGGTGCTTTGGTTCCTCTCCATGTGGGCCTCCTTGGGCTTCCTCACAGCATGGTGTCTGGGTTCCAAGAGTGAGCATCCCTAGACAGCCAGCTGGAAATACAGGGTATTTTATGATCTAGCCTGAGAAGTCCCTTCTCATGTACTTTATTGGTCAAAGCAGTCACAATCATCTATTTTCAAGGTGAGCAGGCACAAAGCCTACTATTCAGAGGAATTTCAAAGTCAGATTGTAAGAGAAGAGTGTGAGACAGTAGCTATTGTTTTGATCATCTTTTAAAAATTCAATCTGCTGGCTGGGCGCAGTGGCCCACGCCTGTAATCCCAGCACTTTGGGAGGCCGAGGCGGGTGGTCCACCTGAGCTCAGGAGTTCAAGACCAGCCTGACCAACATGGAGAAACCCCATCTCTACTAAAAATACAAAATTAGCCGGGCATGGTGGTGCATGCCTATAGTTCCAGCTACTCGGGAGGCTGAGGCAGGAGAATTGCTTGAACCCGGGAGGCAGAGGTTGTGGTGAGCCAAGATCATGCCATTGCACTCCAGCCTGGGCAACAAGAGTGAAACTCCGTCTCAAAAAAAAAAAAAAAAAAAATTCAATCTGCCACACCATTGTTCCAGGACCTGGATTCTGCAAAAAAGGAAATCACCAAAACTAGTTGCTATTGTTTTCTTCGAGCAATTTTATTTTTAATTTTTCCCATTTAGATGCTTAATACATTTAGACTTTATTTTGGTATAAATTGTGAAGGCAGGAGCCATTTAAGATTTTTTTCCAAATAACTACCCAATTGCTAATAAAATTTATTATTAATCCATCTCTTCCCCAGGCTACTTTTGGGGAATGTTTGTCCACTCCAAAACTCATGTTAAAATGTAATTGTCAACATAACGGGATTGGGAGGTGGGGTCTTAAGAGGTGATTAGGTCATCAGGGCTCCACTCTCATGGGTGTGTTTAATGCCTTAATAAAAGAGCTTTTAAAAGTGGGCTCTCTCTCTTGGCTCTTTTACCTTCTGCAATGTGAGAATACAGCCTTTTTCTCTTCTGGAGGATGAAGCAAGTAAGGTGCCATCTTGGAAGAAGAAAATGGCATCACCAGAAACTGAACCTGTAGGCACCTTAATCTCAGACTTCCCAGCCTCTAGAATTGGGAGTCAATATATTTTTGTTTGTTATAAATTACCCAATCTCAAGTATTCTATTATAAATAGGAGCACAAATGGACTAAGACATCCCACTTATATGAAGTGGTGTCATTACCATATTCTAAACTCCCCCATTGTATTAGGTCTATTTCTGGACTTTATGTGTAAATATTTGACTGTTTATTGCCTAGAACCTAATTATTGGAGGACTTACCCCACACCCATGCCATATGCCATCACTCTTCTTTTTCAGAATTTTGCTAATTATTACATGTTTATTTTTCTTTTCTTTTTCTTTTTTTTTTTTTGAGACTGAGTCTTGCTCTATCACCCAGGCTGGAGTGCAGTGGCATGGTCTCGGCCCACAGCAACCTCCGCCTCCCGGATTCAAGCAATTCTCCAGCCTCAGCCTCCTGAGTAGCTGGGATTACAGGCATGTGCCACCATGCCCAGCTAATTTTTTTGTATTTTTAATAGAGGCAGGGTTTCACCATGTTGACCAGGCTAGTCTCGAACTCCTGACCTCAAGTGATCTGCTTGCCTCGGCCTCCCAAACTGCTGGGATTATAGGTGTGAGCCACTGTGCTTGGCCCTATTTTTCTATATAAACTTTATAATCAGTTTGTCTAGTTTTTAAAGTCTATTGGTATTTTAATCAAAGTGATAACTATTTTAAAATTTCTTTTATTATTAATGAGATTGGATATTTTTGCTTCTATGTACCAATTATATTCCTTCATGAATTCTGTGTTCCTATCCTTTGTCCATTTCCTTTTTAGAATTTTACATTCCTCTTATTGATCCTCAAAAGCTCTTCGTATTTAAGAATACCAGAACATTGTTTGAAATGTTTCTTGTAAATATTTTCCCTGGTTAATTTTGTTTCCAATGCTTTTTGAAGTCTTAAAATAAATAGTAAATGTCCATGTTGTGTGTGCATGGAGGTAGAGGGGTGAAAGTTAACCTTGTTTTCTTGTGTGGTTTCATTTGCTCTTTTATTTATTCTTAATTTTTGTGGGTACATAGTAAGAGTATATACTTATGGGTGTATATATTTATATACATGAGATATTTGATACAGGTGTGCAATGCATTATAATTACATCAGGGTAAGTATGCATCACATCAAAGATTTATCCTTTGTGTTACAAACAATTCAGTTATACTCTTTTTAGTTATTTTAAAATGTATAATTAAATTATTTTTGACTACAGTCACCCTATTTTGCTAGCAAATACTAAATCTTAGTTATTCTTTCTTTTCTGGGAGCCTTTTTGTTGTTGTCATTTTCGGCTCTCTACAAAAGGAGGAAGAGAGAGTTTTTATTACAGCTTTGATCTCATTACTTGGTATTGGTCTGTTCAGCTTTTGGATTTCTTTATGGTTCAATCTTGGCAGATTGTATGTGTCTAGGAATTTAACCATTTCATCTAGATTTTCCAATTTATTGGCTTCTGCTTTCTTATAGTAGCCACTAATGATCCTTTGAGTTTCTGTGGTATCAGTTGCAATGTCCTTTTTCATCTCTGATTTTATCTATTTGAGTCTTCTCTCCTTTTTTATTAGTTGGTCTCGCTAATGGTTTGTCAATTTGTTTATATATTGAAAAAACAACTTTTTGTTTCATTGATCTTTTGTTTTTTTTTAATTTCCATTTCATTTATTTCTGCTCTGATTTTTATTATATTCTTCTCTTACTTTGAGGTTTGGTTTGCTCTTGCTTTTCTAGCTCTGTAAAATGCATTGTTAGGCTGTTTATTTGAGTGTTTTTTTTCCTTTTTGATTTAGGCCTGTGTAGCTATAGACTTCCCTGTTGATATTGCTTTCACTGTATTGCATAGGTCTTTGGTTTGTTGTGTTTCTATTATCATTTGTTTCAATAAATTTTTCAATTTCCTTTTTAATGCCTTCTTTGACCCACTGGCTGTTCAAGAGCATATTATTTAATTTCTATGTGTTTGCATAGTTTCCAAAATTCCTCTTTTATTAATTTCTAGTTTTATTCCATTGTGGTCAGAGAAGATGCTTTATATAATTTCATTTTTTTGAAAGTTCTAAGACTTGTTTTGTGGCCTAACATATGGTCTATGCTTGAGAATGATCCATGTACTAAGGTGAATAATGTGTATTCTGCAGCTGTTAGATGAAATGTTCTGTAAATCTCTATTAGATCCATTTGGACTACAGTGGACATTAAATCCGATGTTTCTTTATTTTCTGTCTAGATGATCTGTGCAATGCTGAAAGTAGGGTGTTGAAGTCTCCAGCTATTATTGTATTGGAGTCTATCTCTTTCTTTTGCCCTAATAATATTTGCTTTATATATCTGGGTGCTCAGTGTTAGGTGTATATATATTTACAATTGTTATATCTTCTTGCTGAATTAACCTCTTTATTATTATATAGTGACCTTCTTTGTTGCTTCTCATTTTTGTCTTGAAATCTATTTTGTCTAAGTATAGCCACTCCTGCTCTTTTTTGGTTTCCACTAGCATTAAATATCATTTTTTCCCCTTTATTTTCAATCTGTGTGTCTTTGTAGGTGAAGTGTGTGTCTTGTAGGCAACAGATCATTGGGTCTTATTTTTTTTTTTTTTTTTTTGAGACGGAGTCTCGCTCTGTTGCCCAGGCTGGAGTGCAGTGGCGCGATCTCGGCTCACTGCAAGCTCCGCCTCCCGGGTTCACGCCATTCTCCTGCCTCAGCCTCCCGAGTAGCTGGGACTACAGGCGCCCGCCACCACGCCCGGCTAATTTTTTGTATTTTTAGTAGAGGCGGGGTTTCACTGTGTTAGCCAGGATGGTCTCGATCTCCTGACCTCATGATCCGCCCGCCTCTACCTCCCAAAGTGCTGGGATTACAGGCGTGAGCCACCGCGCCCGGCCTGGGTCTTATTTTTTATCCATTCAGCAACTCTGTCTTTTGATTTGTGAGTTTAGTCCATTTACATTCAATGTTATTATTAATAAGTAAGGACTTAACTCCTGCCATTTTGTTATTTGTTTCCTGGCTCTTCTGTGGTCTTCTCTTCATTCTTTTTTTCCTTCCTGCCTTCCTTTTATGAAGGTGTTTTTTTCTGGTGGTATGATTTCATTCCTTGCTTTTTATTTTTGTGTATCTGTTGTATGTTTTTAAATTTGAGGTTATCATGAGGCTTGCAAATACCATCTTATAACTCATTTTTTATTCTGATAACTTAACACTTTGCATAAACAAACAAGCAGAAAGAAAACTAATAAAAGCTCTACACCCTAACTTTGTCCTCGCACTTTTTAACTTTTGGTCATTTTTATTTATATCTTATTGTACTGTCTATGTCTTGGCAAGTTGTTGTAGTTATTACTTTTGATAGGTTCATCTTACAGTCTTTTCACTTAAGAGTAGTTTACATGCCATAGTTACAGTGTTATAATGTTCTGTGCTTTTCTGTGTACTTCCTATTACCAGTGAGTTTTACACCTTCAGATGATTTCTTATTGCTCGTTAACCTCCCTTTCTTTCAGATTGAAGAACTCCATTTAGCATTTCTTCTAGGAAAGGTCTAGTGTTGATGAAATCCCTCAGCTTTTGCCTACCTAGAAAAGTATTTATTTCTCCTTCATATTTGAAAGATATTTTTGCTGGATATGCTATTCTAGGGTAAACAACTTTTTTCCATCAGCACTTTAAATATGTCATATCACTCTCTCCTGGACTGTAAGGTTTCCACTGAAAAGTCTGCTGCCAGAAATATTGGAGCTCCATTGTATGTTGTTTCTTTTCTCTTGCTGTATTTAAAATCCTTTCTTTATCCTTGACCTTTTGGAGTTTGATAATTAAATGTCTTGAGGTAGCCTTCTTAGATTAAATCTGCTTGGTGTTCTCTAACCTTTTTGTGCTTGGATATTAATTTCTTTCTCTAGGTTTGGGAACTTCTCTTTTATTATTCCTTTGAATAAATTTTCTATCCCTATCTCTATCTCTATCCTCTCTTTAAGGCCAATAACTCTTATATTTGCCCTTTGAGGCTATTTTTTAGAACCTGTAGGCATTCCTCATTTTTAAGAAATTCTTTTTTTTTTGTCTCCTCTATGTATTTTTAAATAGCCTGTTTCAAGCTCAATAATTTTTCTTCTGTTTGATCAATTCTGCTGTTAAGATACTCTGATATATTCTTCAGTATGTCAGTTGCATTTTTCAACTCCAGAATTTCTGTTTGAGTCTTTTGAATTATTTTTAAAATTTATCTGATAGAATTCTTGATTCCTTCTCAGTGTTATCTTGATTTTTTTTTTTTTTTTTTTTTTTTTTGCATTTCCTCAGCTATTTTGAATTCTCTGTCTGAAAAGTCACATATTTCTGTTTTCCCAGGATTGGGTCCCTCATGCTTTATTTAGTTCATTTGGTAAGATCAAGTTTCCTGGATTTTTTTGATGCTTGTGGATGTTTGTCTGTGTCTGTGCATTGAAGAGTTAAGTTCTTATTGCAGTCTTCACAGTCTGGGCTTGTTTGTTCCCATCTCTCTTGGGAAGGCTTTCCAAGTATTTAAAAGGACTTGGGTATTGTGATCTAAGCTATTTCTGCGTTAAGGGTCACCCCAAGCCCAGTAACACTGTAAGTTCTTTCAGACTCATAGAGGTACAACCTTCATGGTCTTAGATAAGATTCAAAACAATTCTCTAGATTACCAGGCAGAGACTCTTGTTCTCTCCCCTTACTTTCTCCCAAACAGGGTCTCTCTCTCTGTGCTGAGCCACCTGGAGCTGGGAATGGGGTGACAGAAGCACCCTTAAGACCACCACCATTGGGACTATGCTTGGTCACACCTGAAGTCAGCACAGCACTGGATCTTGCCCAAGGCCCTCTGTAGCCACTATCAGGCTAATGTCCATGTTTTCTCAAGGCTCTAGGGCTTTACAATCAGCAGATGGCAAAGCCAGCCAGGCTTGTGTCCTTCACTTCAGGGCAGTGAGTTTCCCCAGACTCCAGGCAGGTCCAGAGATGCCATCCAGGCGCTAGGGACTGTTCAAACACCTTAGAAACCTATGTGGTGTTCTGTTGTTCTGTGGCTGGCACTCAAACTGTGAGACAGTCCTTCCTACTCTTGCCTCCACTTTCCACAGGCACAGGAGCTTCACCCCACTGCCACCACCACTACAGACCCATGAGGAGTACTGCCAGGCTACCGCCAATATTCACATAAGGCCCAAGGTCTCTTCAGTCAGCTTGTGGTGAATGCTGCCAGTCGTGGGATTCACCCTTCAGGGCAGTGGGCTCCTGTCTGGCCCAGGGTAGGTCCAGAAATGCTGTCCAAGAGCTAAGGCCTAGAATCTGGAACCCCAAGAGCCTGCTTGGTGTTCTATCCCCCTGTGGTTGAGCTGGTATCTGAGGTACAAGACAATGTCTTCTTTACTTTTCCCTCTTCTTTTCTCAAGCAGGAGAAGTCTCTCACCATAGCCGCCACAGCTGGAAATATGCTGGGTTTCACCTGAAGCTAGCATGTCTCAGAGTGTCACCCAAGGCCCGTGGTGTAATGTCCATGTGTCACTGCTGGTTATTTAGGGCCCAAGGGCTCGTTAGTCAATAGGTGATATGTCCTGCCTGAACTGCATGCTTCCTGTCAATGTAGTAGATTCCCTCTGGGCCTAGAGTGTGTTTAGAAATGTCTTCTGGGAGCTAGGGCCTGGAATGGGGGCCTGAAGACTCTGACTGGTGCCCTACCATACTGTGACTAAGCTGGTATCCAAGATTCAAGGCAAAGTCCTCTTTACTATTCCTCCCTCTTTCCCTTCTCTTCTCGAGAATAAGGAAGGGGTCTCTTTTGGACCTGCGATCTGTGCTGCCTGGGGCTGGGGGAGGGGTGGTGAAAGCACTCCCTTACCTGCCCTGGCTAGTGTCTCAGTAGGTTGCATGCCTCTGAAGGCCACTGGCTCTGAGCCCAGCTCAGCACTAGGACTTGCCTAAGACTTGCAATCCTTGTGGCCTGAACTGCCTTTCATGTTTAGTAGGGGCCCAGAGCATGTTAGCCTACGTGGCATGGCTAACCAGAACTCAAGTTCTGACCACTGAAATGGGCTGCTGGGATGGGCGATTCCTGGCTAGGGCTTGTCTAAATACTCCCTCCGTGGGCTTGTGTCAGCTAAGCTCAGCCCAGTTTTGCTTTCTGCTGTGACTGGGCATCACTGAGTTAAGTGAAAAGTCTCACAATCTCTGTGCTCTCGCTCTCCCAAGCCATGGATTCTCTCTCTGCACCACGTGGTTGTTGGGGATGTGGGAGGCATGCTGTTGGAAATTCAAAACTATCTTTCCTATCATCTTTAGTGCCTCTTGCAGCAATATGAAGTTAAAACCAGGTACTTTGAGTGCTTACCTGATTTTTGGTTCCTATGAAGGTACTCTTTTTCTGTAGATAGTTGTTACATTTGGTTCTCCTACAGGGGGTGAGGATGATGGATAGAGCCTTCTTTCTGGCCATTTTGCTCCACCCCTCTCCTTCTGCTCTTTTGAGATTTATACATTCCTTTCCTACCCCCCCCAAAAAAATTCAATCATATGTTTGCACAATTTTTCATAACTTTTTTATATTTAACTGTTTGATCCATCTAAAATTTATTTTAGTAATTTGTATGAATTCTAGTTGAACCATTTCTTCCCCTAGTCAATTTCTCCAACACTATTAAACAAATGCTTTCATTTATCTAATTTTTCAGAGCTCAAAATTGGATTAAAACACTACTTTTCAAGTTTGAAGAAAAATTCAATTATGATTTTGACTGTGATTGTGTAAAGCCTCAAAGTAATACAGGAAGAACTGGCAATATAGCTTGAGTGTGAATTTAATGTCCTCTAGTTTATATTTTAAGAAGATGGTCCCAAATTTGATGATCTGCGAGTTTTAAATTAAAATTTAGAATTCATTTTCATTATGAAATAATTCTATTACAATTTTTCATTGGGTTAAAATATATGTAACCTAAAATTGGCCATTTTAACCATTTTAGGGTGTACAATTTAGGAACATTTAGTGCATTTACAAAGTTGTGCAACTATCACCCTAAAACTTTTTCATCACCCCAAACTGTGTACACGCTAAGTATGGTAACCTCCAGTCTACTTTCTGTGTCCATACATTTGCCTATTCCAGTTATTTCATATAAGTGAAATAATGCAATACAGTCATGAACCACATAATAACATTTCAGGCAATGACTGACTGCATATGTCATGACAGTCCCATAAGATTATAATACCATATTTTATTATACCATTTCTGTTTAGATATATTTAAATACACAAATACAATTCTGTTACAATTGCCTACAGTATTCAGTACAGTCACGTGCTGTACAGGTTTGTAGCCTAGGAGCAACAGGCTATAACATATAGCCCAGGCATGTAGTAGGTTATACCATCTAGGTTTGTGTAAGTACACTCTATGATGTTTGAACAATAATGAAATCGCCTAAGGACACATTTGTCAGAGTGTATCCCCATTGTCAAGTGACAATGATTGTATTTGTCTATGTCTTGCTTATTTCACTTAGCATAATGTTTTCAAGGGCCATCCATATTGTAACATGTATCAGAGCTTCATTTTATTTTATGACTAAATAACATTCTGCTGCATGTGTGTACCACATTTTGTTTATCCATTCATCTGTTGCTGGACACTTTGGGTTGTTTCCACCTTTTGACTATAGTGAATGGAAATAATTCTATTTTAATCAACCACTTGGTTATCTATCACCAAACTTTCACATTTTCTTTCCTAAAGAAATAAATAGGTGATTAGTTTTTGAGCAGCTCTTAAAAACAACTAATCTAAAAAAAATTAAGCAGGTTAGGAGTGGTCCAGTGCCAAGAGTTCTTGAATATATGTATTGTTCTGTTTCCTGTCTCACTGAACTTTTACAGAAACATAATTCCAAAAAAAAAAAAAGAGGGGGAAGCATAGCAGTTTTTGAATTGCCAAATGTCCTGTTCTCTGTTGCTATGCCGTTGGAGAATTTTAAGAACCTAAAAAGAAAAAGGAATATCTATTAAAAAATTCTCAGATATCTGCCAAAATGTATTTTCTGAGGGAGAAGCAAATATAATAAAATAGTTTTCATTTATTATTTAATTATAATTATAAATAATTTCATTCATTTATCATAAGATGTGGCTGACACATGAGCTGATGTAATCTTCACAGTAATTTCAAAAAGTAGGGGATAGTTTTTTTTAAAAAAATAAATCATAAATGGAGGAAAAAGCAATTAGATAGGTTTTATTCCTAGTCCAAGGTCACGCAGTGATCAGTAGAGTCAGAATTTGAACGTCGATATTTCTGACTCCTAAACCCACGGTGAAACACTGAGGTAGGTACCACATATTCTCTCTCTCCAACCCCCATGAAATGTTTGGCTTTGGAAACAATTGTTTATATGTGGCAAAAAAACATAACATTAATTTTTTTATGTCTGTCATTTTTTATTCCCTATTTTTTCCCCTTGGAATAAAATTATTAATAGACCACTTTGAAGTCAGTGTCAAATTAGAAGACAGGAAATGGGAGATGTCCTCCTGCTTAGAATGTTTAGGATTAGTAATCAAAGTGTTTTCTAAAGTGAAGCACATATTTCTTATTGCTTTAAAAGATGTATTTTTTATGGACACATAATAAACATATTTTGGGTGTAGATGCAATAAATTAATACATTCATATAATTCGTCTTATTGATTTTTATAGGAAGCAAAATAGAGACAATACCTGGAATGAAATAGTATTGAGGAGTTTGTAGAGTCTGCCTTTATGGGAATGCCTAAGTTTAGCATTATCACCTTTATAATTTTTGTAAAACAAAATGCAATTAGATGAAACAAAAAAAATTATTAAAAACTTCAGTTGTGGCACAAAATGGGGACTGAAATTTAGAGGTACATGGTAAGCTCTGAAGAGCATTTGATTTCCTGAACATGCTTCTGCTATATTAATTTACTCTCAGTCTATTCTTTATCAATTACAATTTAAAAAAATAGAAGGCCCATTTAAGCTAATTATGTAGTTTCCCCAACAACTGCGTTTCCATATGAAGACTTTTGTTGTTGTAAAATCTTTTCCTGTTCAATATTAAATACTGAGTGTTGTTATGCTTATTTAAAATGTAATGCAAGTATTTGAAGATGGTACTTAATTTACCAGGTAGAAATAAAATTACTGTTGTCAGCACTTACATTTGAAAAACATTTTGTCAGTGAAACATAATCAGTGAATATAAATCAATAAAAAATAATCAGTGAAAAACAGGTCATTCAAAGGAGAAGTTTCCTTTATAAAAATGATAATTCTAAGGCTTGTCCAATAGCTGTGCATCTGTGCCTATGGTTTTGTTCTTTCAGAATCTTTTGCATATATCCCTTTCTAAGTTTTATTCCTCTCTCCGCCTCTTTCATTTCTTAAGCTTTCTCTTTTGGCTGCAATATACTCTTTACTCTTAGCGAAGTTTGTTCCTTTACTACTTTTCTTTCATTCTCTCTAAGATATCAAAAGAGAACATTTATTTCCTGTGTTTTATCAACTTGCAATTCTCTTGTTTCTCAAGCTGCAGTAGAATTTTGCTTCTAGTGAGAAATACAATGACGTCTTTTGAGACCTCATCCTGAGTCTAATACCAATGCCTTCACATCTTCAGTCAAACTTTCTCTTCCTTTAATTTTGTAAGGCTGCATTTTCTTGAATCTCTCCCTCCCATTCTTACCAACAGCTATTTGTTTCCTTTTCTGAGTTCTTTTCCTTACTCACCATTTAAATATAGGCACTCTCCACAGTGAGTTCTGTATGAGTTAGAAATTGGGTTAGGTGGTAAACATAGTGGCTTAATCTACTAGGGATTTTCTTTTACATGACTTAAGTTTCCAGTTAGAATGAAAGCTCCCCTGAGCCACCATCAAGAGACTTAGGTGGTTCTTTTCTGCTTCACTGTCTTCCACTGTCCTCACCACTAGTTTCATTCTCAAAATCACATCATGTTTCAATATAGACACTGGGGCATCATTGCCAAGCCAAAATTCCAGATATCAGGAAGGGTAAAGGAGCACTTACTTTCTCTTTTTCTTAGAGATGAGGTTTTGCTATGTTGCCCAAGCTGGTCTCGAACACCTGAGCTCAAGTGATCCTCTCACCTAGGCCTCCCAAAGTACTGGGATTACAGGCAAAAGAACCCAGCCACGGGAGCATTTTCTCAACTAAATCAACTCCTTTTAAGAAAACTTTTGGAAATCCCATAATTTCATAGGCCAGAACTTAGTCACATGACCATACCCAGCCACAAGGATGTCAAAGTGCCCAGCTAAACACCAAAAATATGTTTTTAACGAAGAAAGAGGTGTATTTGATACGTAATTATCAAGTCTCTGTCACAATTTGTTTTCTCAAATGTTGGCTACATGATGAGAAGTGATCGGTGTTTACAATTGTTCAGTGGAGTGGGCTTATTAAGTAATAATAAGTGATTTATTTATACTACTTAAGAACCTACCATGTGCCAGGCATCATGTTGCTATCACAAATATTATCGCAAACTTTTACAATCATTCTTCAAATGAAGTAGTGCTTTAACTATTTTTAAAAGGAGTAAAATGAATCCCAAAAAGATTAGAGTGTTTGTTTCTGGCTGCTTTTTCCTTTAGCTGAGTTTTCTCCCAGGGCACTCCTTTTCCAAGAAACAGACTTTAGGCAGGCTTTTTCACCAGTTTGTTCTATATGTGCCAACATGTACACCTTAAATTGAAGATCTACTTTATATGCTAATTAGTTTGCAAGTGTCAACCTGTTTGAGGAAATACAGATATAAAGTAGCTGAGATAGGGCTTGAATTCAGCTTTGTTTGTCTCCAAAGCCTATTGTCTTTTTTTTATTATACATGGCCTGCACTGAATCTTTATTCACACCTATCTCCTTTTGTCCAATAATCATTTAGATTACTCTAGTTTGATGTCATAATTTCTCATGGAGTTAAAACTGGACTCTTCAAAATGATAGAGTTGTCTGAATTTGGCTGCAATGCGAACTACTAATCGATTCAAGCTTGTTATCAAGACACCTAGAGATCACCAGGTAAGTTGGTAGTATGGGAGGTGGTTAAATCTCAGTAGCATGTGGGTGCAAGTGTGTGATACCACATTGACAGAAATAACTCTCTGATGTCCCCCACCTGAATAACACAGGATAACTGCTCTCTCCAAAGCCTCCTGCCCAAGCATTTCTAGGATTCCTAAAAAGTTCCCCTGTCAGGACACTGTCTTTGCTTTGGTTGGCAAGTATACTAGAATTCTCACAATGCCACTGTTTCAGTGTGGTTCCTGGTGAAGTGAGCAAGGACGTAGTTGGATTTTTCCTTTAGTGAGGAGTGGTTAGAAAAATAAAGATGGCGCTAGATTGCCCATGTCTAATTTGTGTCCCAAATCTTGATGTTTACTTCACCTTTTTACAGGGGAACAAGAGAAGCCAGGTGCAAGGGGCCAGGAATATTATGCTAGAGGCACTTCCTCCACATGGAAGGAAATATCAAAAGTGAAGAGTAAACATTCCTCTCTGTTCCCCATTCCTGCTACTGCCTTGCGTCAGTTTTATCTGTTTTAAAAATTGTGCTACCAGAGAACTCAGTGTTGTGTGATACATTATTATATGTGCATTTTATTGAAAAAGCCCTTTTAGAAAACCTGCGGCTCTCTGTCTGCCATTGGCCTTAGACATGAGTCCAGTAAGGACTAGGCTAGGAGACAAATCAACATGACAGTTGCTGTGCTGTCAGAATGATTCTCTCCTTCCCTCCAACTTAGCTATCATGCTGTACAATGCTCTTTGCTTCTGGCTGATTTTTCCTTTAGCTGAGTTTTCTCCCAGGGCACTCCTTACTTTTCCAAGAAATAGACTTTAGGCTGGCTTGCTTCACGAACAATTTGTTCTATATGTGCCGACATGCACAAATTAAATTGAGGATCTGCTTTATGTGCTAATTAGTTTGCAAGAAATAAAATTCTCAAGGTTAAGATGGGTCTATAGCTGCACTTTTTAGACAACTTGCAATTGCTTTACCTCCCATAGCTTCAGGTATCTTCTCTACGTAGTCGCCTTCTAAGCGCAAGTCTCTATCCCTGCCCTCTTTCCAGCTGCCTGCTAGATATCCCCTTGCAGATCTCCCTCTGGAAACACAATTTCAGTCTTTCCAAAACTGAACTCATCAACTCTTACCTGTTCTTCCTGTTCTTCTCTTTCACTTAAAGGCACAATCATCCTAGTTGCTTAGGTCCAAGGTATTCTATCGGTCTGGGATATTGTTACCCACAGCAATTGTTGTCATAGTTCTCTTCTTTCAAGAGCTAACCCAGTTTCATCCTCCTGTATCTCTTCAGTCAAAATGAATCCCCTTTTCCTTTATTCCTATAGCACTCTATAATTCTTTAAAGCATTGGCACCATCTCCTTTATATTGTCTTGTATCTCCCATTTGCTTAAAGAAACAAAGCAAATGAGCACCTATTACGTAATGTATACAGTGTTCTATACGTTTTTATTTAATCATCATATAACCCATTTTACAGATGGGAAAATTAAAGGCGTTTCCTTATCTGTAAAAGAAACAACTCCAAGTTCATAAATACTTAAATACCTATGGTGTCCAGTATAATAAATATCAGTTTAACAGATGTATTTTTTTTATTGTTGTAGTCTAGCATAGTGTTGGATACACACTAAGTACTCAGTAATTCTTTGTTGAACTGAATTGAGAAGAACTTCAATTCAAATTTCATAAAAACTTTTAGAGTATCCATTTTGTACAAGGTGGATTTTTGAAGATTACAAGTTTGGCCACTATTTTTATCCTGCGTTTTTACAGCGACAGACGGTAAAGCCAAAAGATCTGTCATCCTTTATTCCTTCCCAGACCACTGGAGGGATGTAAACAGCAGTTATCAGTTATCAGCAATAAACCCTTATATCAACATTTATCAAGATAAAGTTTCACAAAACAGGAAGAGAAGAGATATCATTATTAACCAGTGAGTATTCATTGGGTACCTACTGCATATTTTTAAATGCTTTTAAACCATAGGACAGTTTATAGGCATGAGATAGTTTCAGTACTTTGGTGACCACTAACCAGTACTGCCAACGTTACTACATGGCTCTATGCTAGTACTATAAAAGTATAAAATAAATATATTCTGTAAATTAAACTCTAATTTAATAGAATGGTGATAAAGTATATCAGATAAAGTTCCCAAAGAACATAATTGTAACAATGTTAGGTTTATGAACTTCCTGTAACAGTTAACATGAGGAACCAGGAGCCTCTCCTAAGAGAAAGTAGGGAAGGACTTTTTTCCTTTTCTTCCCCTCCAGAGACAGAATCTCACTCTGTCACTCAGGAGTGCAGTGGGGTGATCGTGACTTATTGCAGCCTTTAACTCCTGGGCTCAAATGATCATCCTGCCTCAGCCTCTTGCGTACCTGGGACTAAAGGTGTGTGTCGCCATGCCAGGTGTATTAGGCTATTCTTGCATTGCTATAAAGAAATACCTGAAACTGGGTAATTTATAAAGAGGTTTAATTGGCTCATGATTCTAAACGATGTACAGGAAGCATGATGCTGCTATCTGCTTGGCTTCTTGAGAAGCCTCAGGAAACTTACAATCACAGTGAAAGGTGAAGGAGGAGCAGGCACATCACATGGCCAGAGCAGGAGCAAGGGAGTGGGTAGTGCCACACACTTTTAAACAACCAGATCTTGCAAGAACTCACTCACTGTCACAAGAACAGCATCAAGGGGATGGTGGTAAGCCATTCACGAGAAACCCACTCCCATGTTCAAATCACCTCCCACCAGGCCCCACCTCCAACATTGGGAATTACAATTCAACATGAGATTGGGTGGGGACATGTATCCAAACTATATCATTCCACCCCTTAGAGTGGTGGTTGGAGCCCAAGCAGCTGGATGTAAGGAGCAATGTCTCGAGGCTGCTTTTATTTTCTACCACACGGCCAGGCTGCAGGTTTTCCTGACTTTTATGCTGTTTCCCTTTTAAATATAAGTCCCAACTTATTTCTTTGCTCCCACATCTGAGCATAGGTTGTTAGAAGTAGCCATGTCACCTCTTGAACACTTTGCTGCTTAGAAATTTCTTCCAGCAGATACTCTAGGTTATCATTCTCGCATTCAAACTTCCACATATCCCTAGGGTATGGACACAATCCTGCTAAGCTCTTTGCTGAGGCATAAGATGCATGACCTTTGCTCCAGTTCTCAATAAGTTCCTCATTTCCATCTGAGATCTCCTAAGCCTGGCCTTCACTGTCCATATCACTATCGGCATTTTGGTCATAACAATTTAACCAGTCTCTAGGAAGTTCCAAACTTTCCCTCATCTTCCTGTCTTTTCTGAGCCCTCCATACTCTTCCAACCTCTGCCTGTTATCCAGTTCCAAAGCTGCTTCCACATTTTTAGGTTCCTTTATAGCAATGGTCCACTCTCGGTAGCAATTTTTTATATCAAGCCATTTGTGCACCGCTATAAAGAAATACCTGAGACTGGGTAATTTATAAAGAAAGGAGGTTTCATTGGCTCATGGTTCTGCAGGCTGTACAGGAAACATGATGGCATCTGCTTCTGGGGAGGCCTCAGGAAGCTTACAGTTATGGCAGAAGGCAAAGGGGGTAATGGCATGTCACATGGCCAGGGAAGGAGCAAGAAAGAGATAGCAAAGTGCCACACTTTTAAAAAGCCAGATCTTGCGAGAAGTCACTCACTGTTATGAGGACAGCACCAAGGCGATGGTGCTAAACTCTTAATGAGAAAATCCACACCCACGATCCAATCACCTCCCACCAGGCACCACCTCCAATACTGGGGATTACAATTCAACATGAGATTTGGGCAGGGACACAGGTCCAAACTATATCACCTGGATAATTCTTTTTTTTTAATTTTTAAGTTAATTTATTTATTTTAGAGATGAGATCTTGCTTTGTTGCTCAGGTTGGTCTCAAACTCCTGGTCTCAAGTGATCTTCCCACCTCAGCCTCCCAAAATTCTGGGATTACAGGTGTGAGCCACCATGCCTGGCTGAGAAGGACTTTTAAAGATACGATTTGGGATAACTCTAAAGAGGGACCAGGGAAGTGGGTGGTCACTTGTGGATTGATTATCACAGTGATCTTTGTTCAGAAGTTGGGAAGAACAAAACTGGTCTGGGAAAGTCACTGGTAAGAAGGGAGCAATAAAAAATAAAATTAGGGCTGGGAGCAGTGACTGATGCCTGTAATCCCAGAACTTTGGGAGGCTGAGATGGGTGGATTGCTTGAGCCCAGGAATTCGAGACAGCCAGAGCGACGTGGTAAAACCTCATCTCTACAAAAAATACAAAAATTAGCCCAGTGTGGTGGTCTGTGCCTATAGTCTCAGCTACTTGGGAGGCTGAGGTGGGAGCATCACTTGAGCGCCCCAGAAGATGGAGGTTGCAGTGAGCTGTGATCATGCCACTGAACTCCAGCCTGGGTGACAGAGTGAGACCCTGTCTCAAAAATAAAATAAAATATAAAAATAAAAATAAAAATTAAAAACCATGTAAATATTCACAATAGCCACAGGGTGGAAGCAACAAGAGTGTCCATTAATGGATTAATGTATACAAAATGTGATACATACATACAATGAAATATTATTCAGCTTGAAAAAGGAAGAACATTCTGACACATGCTACAACATGGATGAACTTTGAGGAGATGACAGTTTAAGTGAAATAAGCCAGATATGAAAAGACAAATACTGCATAAGTCTACTTGTAAGAGGTACGTAGAGTAGTCAAATTCTTAGAGACAAAAAGTAGAATCGTGGTTGCCAGGGGCTGGGAGTGGTGGTTGGGTGGAGACGGGGAGTTAATGTTTAATGGGATGGAGTTTCAGTTGGGAAGATGAAAAAGTTCTGGAGATAAATGGTGGTGATGGTTGCACAACAATGTGAATGTACTGAATGCCACCATGCTTTATACCAGTGGTCCCCAACATTTTTGGCACCAGGGACCGGTTTTATGAAAGATAATTACTCCATGGATGGGGGTGGGGGAGTAATGGTTTCAGGATGAAACTGTTCCACCTTAGATCATCAAGCATTAGTTAGATTCTCATAAGGAGCACGCAACCTAGATGCCTCGCATGCACAGTTCACAACACAGGGTTTGTGCTCCTATGAGAATCGAATGCCACTGCTGATCTTACTGGAGGCGGGGCTCAGGTGCTAATACTTGCTCCCCCGCCCCTTACCTCTGGCAGAACAGCCCCGTTCTTAACATGACACAGACTGGTACCAGTCTGCACCGATCTGCAGCCAAGGAGTTGGGGACCCCTACTTTATGTGGAAAATGGCTAAAATTGTAAATTTTTATATTATCTATATTTTATCACAATTTAAAAAATAAAAATTAAAAAATATGTAAAAAAGTAGTTATCTCTCAAAAGAGGGAAGGGTTTGTGTGTCCTTAGCCATGTCATGTTAGAAACATTATTCCAGTAGTAAAGTCGAAAAAAATGGTGTTCTTTAAAATTTTAAATACATAATACTTTAAGAAGATAATAAAAAGCCCAATTGATAAAGTTTTCTGTACTTCAGCTGGCTCTACTTTTTTTTTTTTTGAGACAGAGTCTTGCTCTGCTGTGCAGGCTGGAGTGCAGTGGCGTGATCCAGCTCACTGCAACCTCCGCCTCCTGGGTTCAAGCGATTCTCCTGCCTCAGCCTCCCGAGTAGCTGGGACTACAGGCATGCACCACCATGCCCAGTTTATTTTTGTATTTTTAGTAGAGACGGGGTTTCAGTATGTTGGCCAGGCTGATCTCGAACTCCTGACCTCGTGATGTGCCCGCCTCAGCCTCCCAAAGTTCTGGGATTATAGGTGTGAGTCACCGTGCCTGGCCTCAACTGACTCTACTTTCTATGAATTGAGTTTAAAGCTAAGAAAAAACTAAAGAAGAAATGCACACCATTTTTCATAAAGTAGGCCACAAATGAGTAAAAAGGTATAGTAAAACAATGCGACATCAGGCAATGCAGGTAAAATATATACGCATTGTGCACAGTAAGTCTTTATGTGTATAATCTGTGCATACCTTTTGATGGCCCTTCAAAGAGTTTCTCTAGGCCCTTGCAGGTGGTGGGTTGGGTACACAAAATCAGTAGAAGGTGAAATCCAGTACCCTACACTTTCCTTAAAGCTCCTATTAGGCAACAAAGTTTCTCTCTCATAAAACCAGGTAGGATGGACCACAAGCTCTGTAATGAGTAGCAATATGGCTTTCAGAAAAATACATAGAGGTTATAATTCAAAGCCGAGATTGATATTTGTGACAAAGCGGCACTCTGCCACAAATCTGTTACTGAATAGCCAAGATTTAAGAGACTCACAAAATTTGACACTCCAGGGCCTAAAGGTCCTGATGCTGGCCACCTGGACTCCTAGAAATGATAGACATTATAGCAGTCATTGCAGGAGATTAAAGACACCTGGATCAAAGCCCAAGAAGATGGCAGAGCAGGCAGAACTGTTTTAGTTCATTTTAAGTTAGTTTGCTGCATAGATTTGTTATAGGAGGACGAAATTTAACTTTGAGAACTTTTAAGAACAGAGTAGCAAGTTGTCATCATGCAGACACCTAATAGGTGAACTGAAATGCAGGCCGCATTTCATAAGAAATAAGGGATAATCCTTGGCCAAATTGTCAGAGGCATTTGAAGAGTAACCCTATCTTGAATAGGGGCTGGGTAAAATAACACCGAGACCTACTGGGCTGCATTCCTAGGAGGTTAGGTATTCTAAGTGCCAGGAAGGGATAGGAAGTCAGCATAAGATACGGGTCACAATAGACTTTGCTGACAAAACAGGGTGCTGTAAAGAAGCTGGCCAAATCCCACTAAAACCAAGATGACAAAGTGACCTCTAGTCATTTTCACTACTCATTATACAGTAATTACAATACATTAGCATGCTAAACGACACTCCTACCAGCGCCATGACAGTTCACAGATGCCATGGCAACCTTAGGAAGTTACCCTATATGATCTAAAAGCGGAGAACCCTCAGTTCCCGGTATTGTCCACCCCTTGTTTAGCATATAATCAAGAAATAAGTGTAAGTATACTCGGTCGCCCATGCCCCTGCTCTGCCTATGGAGTAGGCATTCTTTTATTTCTTTACTTTTAATAAACTTGCTTTCACTTTATGGACTCGCCCTGAATTCTTTCTTGCAGGAGGTCCAAGAACCCACTCTTTGGGTCTGGATCTGGACCGCTTTCCCATAAGAAAAAGAAGGAAGGTAACTAACTTTGACTGAACACCTGATACGTGCTAAATGATTTCTCAGACAAGATCTTATTTAAATATTTCTAAATGATTTGATGATAATGTTAATGGCCTTCTGGCCCCCAAAAGCACACTGCCTCTTGGTCCCAAATAAATGAGGAAAATATCCAGTTTGTGGAATAGAGGGGCAGGTAAGTAAAAAAAGAAAAAGAAATGCAAAGAAGGAAAGATATACATGAAAAAAATGTCATACAGAGATAATCAGCTCTTTTCCAACCAACCAAAGTAAGAGTTCTTTTTTAACTGCGCGGTTACAACTAACCAAAACTCAGGAAATAACTCCTGGAAGCAAACAAACTTAGCAGTGAAAAACAAGCGCGTCCAGTAACACCAGAAAAACACGTGGCGGGGGTGGGGCATCTGGTCGCAACCGCAGGTGAGACTCTAAGTCCCATCATTCCCTTCGGCAGCCAAGCCAGGCTGTTGAGGGCGAGCCGGCGCACCGTACGCTGGGACGTGTGGTTTCAGCTCGTGCGCCTCCCCGTGGGTTTGCGACGTTTAGCGACTATTGCGCCTGCGCCAGCGCCGGCTGCGAGACTGGGGCCGTGGCTGCTGGTCCCGGGTGATGCTAGGCGGCTCCCTGGGCTCCAGGCTGTTGCGGGGTGTAGGTGGGAGTCACGGACGGTTCGGGGCCCGAGGTGTCCGCGAAGGTGGCGCAGCCATGGCGGCAGGGGAGAGCATGGCTCAGCGGATGGTCTGGGTGGACCTGGAGGTGAGTGAGGTCGGCGGGGGGCTTGGGGAGGCGAGTGAGGTTTCGCTCGTGGAACCGAGGAGTCGAGCCCGTCCTGGGAGAGCGTTGGGGGTCTGGGTCTCAGGTGTGGCAGGTGAGCGCGGCCGGCCACGGGCGGTGCAGGGCAAGTCCGGAGGCAGGAGTCCTGCGGGTGTTGGGCGCCGTGCTGCGCTGTAGGGCTTCTTTCCACAAGGGAGGAGTCCTCCGTGTGGCTTCTTCTCCTCCCTACCCCTCCGCCCAGATGTGGACTTTTCCTAACGCTCTGGCGTCTCTGGGCTTGGGTCACTGGAGTGGGGGCGGGGGCAGCGGCTCTGTTCCCAGCTTCCCCCAACTAAATCCTTAAAGGACCCTAGGTTGTTAGGGCCAGACGGGACTCCGGAGATGACTCAGCCTTACCCCTCATTCCATAAGTGAGAACATTGAGGCCCACAGAAAGGATTCAACTCATTCAAGGTCGTGCTGTTAGTGAGAGTCTGAGTTGAGACCAGAACCCAGTTCCTATCCCTTCAGGCTTTCCATGCCCGAAACAAGGGCTCCTCCCACCGTTGAGCCTCAGTTTATATGAAGTGAGGATAATAACAGTAGTTTTTCCATTAGATTGTGAAGGTCCAGTGGTGTAATTAATGTGAAAACTTTGTAAACTCTGCAGAGACGTGGTGGTGGTAGTTATCCAACTCTTCCAAAACTGAGTGATGTCAGCACTCAGTTTTACTTACTTTGCATCTGTCCCGGAGTAGAATCTCAGTGCTTGACAAATAGCAGGCCCTTGGTAAATGTTTGTTGAATAAACGAGGACTCGTGTTTAGTACCTTCAGTAGTTGCCCGAGGAGCATTCTTTCTCTTCTGTTTCGGCTATGGATTACAAGCTGACTATGTTTGAGGGAATTCCTGTTAAATAAACTTGGGTAAAAGAGGCCAGAATGATGGCTTTGTGTGTGTTATATATTTATTTTTAATTGCAGATGACAGGATTGGACATTGAGAAGGACCAGATTATTGAGATGGCCTGTCTGATAACTGACTCTGATCTCAACATTTTGGCTGAAGTACGTGATGCCATGTAATACAGTCATACTTTTTAAAGGGCACTGGAAATATAACCATCATTTTTTCCAGCTTCTTTATTTAAAAAATAAGAAAGTTGAGGTCTATATGGGTTAAGGTAATGTGCTAGGTCATGGTAGGGGTGGTACTAGAACCAAAGTAATCCATCTCACAGCCTAGTGAAAATTAAAAATTAAACATTATTTTTTAATTAACCATGCCAGAAATTTACAGAAACATAAATTCTGTCGTTTACTGAGCGCTTACTGTATGCCAGCTACAGTTTCTGTGTGCTTTATATGTCTTTGTTCTTAGTTCTCACAGCAACTATAAGTTAGTTATTGTTATAATGCTCATTTGATGGATGAGGACACTTGAGCATAGAGATGTTGGGTAATTTGTCTGAGGTCCCAGTGGCTGTTTACTGGGGGAGCCAAGAGTTTAACTCAGGCTGTCTCAGTAAGGTGCTCCTAACAAGTAGGACAGCCAGCTGTCCTCCCATCAGATTTGGTGACTCGTGCCAATGTTTGCGTCTTTATATCATAACCTTGACTTTAACTTGACTCCATATTTACAATTCTGCCTTTTCAACTAGGACATGTGATTCTTCTAGATCAGTATTAAGATTTTAGAATTTCTGTTAGTGCACACCCGTAAAGTGTTCTGTTGTTGACAGATTGGGCATGATTAAGGTTTTTGCATGCTACTTCCAACTGAAACATTTAGCAAAACAAAACACACCTGCTGCATTTCAGCCACTCATGAAACATTTAATAAGGATGTGACACCATCTGGTAGGGGGTGAAATCCCTGACCCTGAATAATTCTGTTTTATACTGTCAGCAGTATTCAGAGCCAGAAACTCCAGAATAGGAACAAAGTAGGGATGTTTGTGGAAAAGAGAGTCTTGTTAAAATAAGTTCCTAGAGGGTAGCATTGATATGTTACTGGCACTGGATACATTTCGTAAATCTGCAGTTAACACTTTTGTTTGTTTTGCTGTGTAGGTAAAAGAGGTGAGGACGTATTTCTAGATTAATGACTGCGTTTGTGGAGTACCAGGCTTATCCTCCCCACATATCAACTGTAGGAGAATCATGAGACTTTGTACTTCTCATCATAACAACTTTTTTAACTTTGTATAAATAAAGCCCTGAGTTTTAGATTTGGTTGTTTTTTTCTGTTACTTGGGATTTATTGGAGATCAATAGTGAAGAGAAGTGTCTTTATTTTACCAGTCTAACTTACCCTTGGCCGAAGAAGAGTGTTTCCTTTAGACTGTTGATATAATGTGAAATACTGACAGTTTAATGGACCCGTAGGTTGATATGTACCCTGGAGGAAATTTGGGTATGTATTCACACAGCTGCAGATGAATGCAGCATTTGTAAATGGACTAAGTCAGATGAGGATAAAGATGTTAAAAAAAAAAAAAAAGCTTAGGGGCTATCAGTTCTGCAGTATGTTTTATTCTTTTATAAGAGTCTGAGAAAAATGTTTTATGCTGGTAGAAGAGCAGGCATCCTACTCTGAAAATTTTTCTGTAGGTGTGGTCCCTTGGCTTGCTAAATAGGGATCTAAAATAGTTTGTAGTAGTTTGATTTTTCCATCATTGTTAGTATTTTTTTTAATAGTATGAGTATTTTTTTTCATTTTCATAGGTTTGGGTTTTCTTTTTCCTTCGTGACTATCATAAAACATCTGTTATCCAAGCAAAATTTTTTGTTTCTTCGCAGAGATTACCAACACCAGTTTTCTTGTTTGGCTAAATCTCCTTTTTAGTAGTAGGATGTCAGGCGTATTTTAATTAAATTCTAGCCATTTCTTTCAGTGATTGTGAACTGTTTTTACCACCTTAGTAGTAATAATACCTTGGATTTATGGAATACTTTTCTATCAGAGAGTTCAAAGAGCTCATATCTATAATTTCTTTTATCCTGTTAACATTTCTATGAGGGAAGGGGTACAGTTTATTATTATCACTATCTTACAGAGGGAGAAGCTGAGGTGACTTGCTTTAATGCCGTAGCTACTGTTAACTGCCAGGACTTATCTGAGAGACTCATACTTGGATGTTCTATGAAATGGAGCTGAGAATTTGAGGGCTACTTTGTGTTTTGGATATCAACAATTACCTCTTTAATTTTTTTTTAAATATAAAAATACTGTTAAAACAGTGTAACTATCCAAAGTATGTGTGTAGTGAACTATTGGATTTTTGTCCTGTTCTATTGCTCCTTCTTACTCCAAGTTTATGTATTGTCTTGATATTTTGTATGTTTATATAAATGCGTGTTTTTTTTAAAACAAGTGTAAATGAAATCATACCTATACATACATGGTTTTGCAATTGTTTTTTTCACCTGCAATATAGATACTTTTTTTTTTTAAGAGATAGGGTCTCACCCTGTCACCCAGGTTGGAGTGCAGTGGCATGTAGCTCACTGTAACCTCGAACTCCTGGGTTCAAGTGATCTTCCTGCCTCAGCCTCCTGAGAAGCTAGGACTGTAGGGGTGTGCCACCAGGCCCACCTAATTTTTTTTTTTTTTTTTTTAATTTTGTAGAAATGAGGTCTTGCTATGTTGCCTGGACTGGTCTTGAACTACTGGCCTCAAGTGATCCTCCCACCTCGGCCTCCCAGAGTGCTGGGATTACCATGCTTGGCCTAGACACTTTTCAAAATGAACTCATAATCAAGGGTTGACAGACTTTTCTGGAAAGAGCAAGTTATTAAATTGTTTAGGCTTTGAGTGCAGTCATATGTTCTTGTCATATGTTCTTTTTTTTTTTTAAACAATCTTTTACAAATGTAAAAATCATTCTTAGCTTTCTAGCTATTAATAAATAGCTGAAGTGTGGGGCCATAGTTTGCTGACCCTTGATAGATATCTGTGTCATCTATTTGTAGGATTAGAGTTTTCAGTGGTGTGTGTATGTTCGTATGTTCTATTTTGCCTTAATGAACAGTGCTGGAATGAAGGGGGAACACTTAAAGTATCCTTATCTCTTACTTTCTCTGATATGTATATTTAGTCCTTAAAACAGCTTAAGCTTTCCCTCTGAAAGTAAGGTTATTCCTGTTGTTTCTTGGTGACTGATGGCGTTTCCCATCCACAGGGTCCTAACCTGATTATAAAACAACCAGATGAGTTGCTGGACAGCATGTCAGATTGGTGTAAGGAGCATCACGGGAAGGTAACATTACCAAATAACAGGATTGCTGCTTTGGGGATCAGTAGCAAGCTTTTTGCTCCCACACCTGAATCCGATACCATTGTTGGATGGTATTTTAAAAAGGCTTAGAGAAGATTGCATGGCAAGCCTGGGAAACTGCTTGCTTGTTTACTTTTCATCTTTGGGACCTCTCGAGATCATCTTCTCCTGAATGTCCTCTTTTTTTTCTCTCCTACATTCAGTCTGTCGCGAACGCATTGTGGATTGTCAAGTATTACTCAAGTCAGTCTTTTGGATAAGGTTAGACATCAACTTTCAGAGAAGGGGGATTGCTGCTCTCCTGTTAATAGTTGTTTCTTCCCAGAGGTTAATATCCTTGGACTTTGAACACCGTCTTTTTTGACTGTGGACATGCTATTAACAGTCAGGATCATAACTAAGTTGGCTTGGATTCTTGAAGAAAAAAAAATGGTGCAAAGATGGCAGTTGCAATTTGAACTTGAGCTCTAAAAATGGTCTATTTGTGGTTATATTTGCCCATTTTAAAAGTGAAATTTCATTTCTGGATGCCTTTGAAAACTGACTTTACATGTGTTTTTGGTGGGGGGCTGGGGATTCTCTCTTGCAGTCTGGCCTTACCAAGGCAGTGAAGGAGAGTACAATTACATTGCAGCAGGCAGAGTATGAATTTCTGTCCTTTGTACGACAGCAGACTCCTCCAGGGCTCTGTCCACTTGCAGGTAAAATCCAATCCTGTGTATATCTTATAGTCTTCCATATGTAGTGGTTCAAGAGACTGCAGTTCCAGAAAGACTAGCCGAGCCCATCCATGTCTTCCACTTAACCCTGCTTTGGGTTACACATCTTAACTTTTCTGTTCAAGTTTCTCTGTGTAGTTTATAGCATGAGTATTGGGAAAATGCCCTGAAACCTGACATGAGATCTGGGAAACACAAACTTACTCAATAAGAATTTCTCCCATATTTTTATGATGGAAAAATTTCACATGCACAGAGGAGTGGATTTAGTAATTGTTAACCTTGTGTCGTATTTGTTTTACCTATTTTTTGTTGGACATTTTAAAGGAAATTGCAGGCATCAGGACACTTCATTCCTAAATACTTCATCAAACATCTCCTAAGATAAAGACATTTTCTTATGTAATACAATGTCATTGCATTGAAGATAATTAAACATTATTCAGTATCATATGATATCTAGTCCACATTAGATGTTCCC